>NC_000008.11:1269140-1571425 GCF_000001405.40 Homo sapiens | reverse complement strand
ATTCACCCTCTCTCCTCTCCATCTCATCAGATGCCCCCACAGTTCACCCCTCTCTCCTCTCCATCTCATCAGATGCCCCCACAGTTCACCCTCTCTCCTCCCCATCTCATCAGATGCCCGCACAGTTCACCTCTCTCCTCTCCATCCCAGAAGACACCCCTCCAGTTCACCCCTCTCTCTTCTCCATCTCATCAGACACCCCCAGAGTTCACCCTCTCCCCTCTCCATCTCATCAGATGCCCCCACAGTTCACCCTCTCTCCTCTCCATCCCAGAAGATGCCCCCACAGTTCACCCCTTTCTCCTCTCCATCTCATCAGATGTCCCCACAGTTCACCCTCTCTCCTCCCCATCTCATCAGATGCCCCCACAGTTCACCTCTCTCCTCTCCATCCCAGAAGATGCCCCTCCAGTTCACCGCTCTCTCTTCTCCATCTCATCAGACGCCCCACAGTTCACCCCTCTCTCCTCTCCATCTCATCAGACACCCCCACAGTTCACCCTCTCTCCTCTCCATCCCAGAAGACGCCCCTCCAGTTCACCCCTCTCTCTTCTCCATCTCATCAGACATCCCCACAGTTCACCCTCTCTCCTCTCCATCTCATCAGACATCCCCACAGTTCACCCTCTCTCCTCTCCATCTCATCAGACACCCCCGCAGTTCACCCCTCTCCTCTCCATCCCAGAAGATGTCCCTCCAGTTTACCCCTCTCTCCTCTCCATCTCATCAGACACCCCCACAGTTCACCCCTCCCTCCATCCCAGCAGATGTGTCCTCTCTTCATCCTTCTCTCCTCTCCATCCCAGCAGACGCCTCCACAGCCAGCCTCTTGGGCATTACAGCGTCTGCACCTACACTGTGGTGAACATGTGAAATCCAACTGAGCCTTCTCAAAGCTTAGGTGGGAATGGTCAACTCAGAAATCAATTTTAAAACTAAGACAAATGAGGAATTGGATTAGGAGAACATGTTTGGGATATGAATATTCACCTGCTACACGTTAAAAATGCTGATATTTAAATGTGCCTAGATTGAAAGAGCCCCCAGGAGTGAACATTATGAAAGGGCTGTGCGTAATGGAACAGGATGCAGAGACGACATCATGGTGCCAGCCACAGTCATAGGGGGTGCTGGGCGTTCACGTGGGTGAAACCCAAGTCGTTCCCAGCACAGTTAACATGACCCTGGAGGCCAGCAGAATGAAGACGGCACATGGATGTGTATGTGCCTCCCCGGTCTTGTCTTTCCTGTTTAATCTGAGGTCCCTATGATGTGCTTCTGACATCTCCACTGTTAAAATCTTTCAAGAGAATTTTGTCCACACTCACTACAGCTCAGCGTGCCCTTGTTTCCTGGAAACACAGGGTTACAGAGTGACAACTATGGGAATTCTCCCAGTCCTGGCCGTTTTCTTCCTTTCTCTCCTCTCCCCACAGTATCTACCCTGGCCTCCGCCACTGCCCTCCACAGAGCAGTGCCATGGGGTGAAGATCTACCCTGCCCTCCACAGAGCAGTGCCATGGGGTGAAGATCTACCTGCCCTCCACAGAGCAGTGCCATGGGGTGAAGATCTATCCTGCCCTCCGCAGAACAGTGCCACAGGGTGAAGATCTACCCTGCCCTCCACAGAGCAGTGCCATGGGCTGAAGGCCACGGGGCTTGGGGCTGAGCTACCTTCAGCTGAGAGCCTTGGTGGCTTGTGCAGCCTCCAGCACCTCATTTCCCTGAGTCATGTTTCTGTCCATAAAACAGGCATCATGAGAGCTTCCCTGAGTTACAAAGCTGAGCTTCAGCAATGTCATCTAAAATGGAAATAAATGAATTACGTTGGAATCCATAAAACGTGAAGGAATATAAGATAAACTAAGATGCGAATAGGCAACAGCAAAAATGTGTTGATACCTCCTGGTAACATAATATTTTTTTTTTGCAGAAACTTTCATTACATTAACCCCCAAAGAGTGACTCAGAGGAGTTTCGAGGACTTTCAAGTTAGCAGGTCCCTGGCAGGCAGGTCGCTGTCCAGACCCATCACATGGCTGCTTTCTCTGCTTTATTATCTACAACACGGCGTCAGATTTAGGGAAAAAGAATGATTGGGGCACGTATAAATCGAGTTTGGCAGAATGCCTGACATTTGTTGGACTCATCAATGGAGTGATAAATCCTGGATAAATGGAAGAATGGACCCAACTGTTGCACCATCTCTGCTAAGTGGACAATGGCATGGGGGCCATAGGCAGAGTGGATTTGTGTCTGCTGAGTGGGCAGTGGCATGGGGGCCACGGGCAGAGTGGATTTGTGTCTGGTGAGTGGGCAGTGGCATGGGGGCCACGGGCAGAGACGGATTTGTGTCTGCTGAGTGGGCAGTGGCATGGGGGCTGCAGGCAGAGTGGATTTGTGTCTGCTGAGTGGACAGTGGCATGGGGGCCACAGGCAGAGATGGATTTGTGTCTGCTGAGTGGACAGTGGCATGGAGGCCACGGGCAGAGTGGATTTGTGTCTGCTGAGTGGGCAGTGGCATGGGGGCCGCAGGCAGAGATGGATTTGTGTCTGCTGAGTGGACAGTGGCATGGGGGCCATAGGCAGAGACGGATTTGTGTCTGCTGAGTGGACAGTGGCATGGGGGCCACGGGCAGAGACGGATTTGTGTCTGCTGAGTGGACAGTGGCATGGGGGCCACGGGCAGAGCGGAATTGTGTCTGCTGAGTGGGCAGTGGCATGGGGGCCACGGGCAGAGACGGATTTGTGTCTGCTGAGTGGACAGTGGCATGGGGGCCACGGGCAGAGACGGATTTGTGTCTGCTGAGTGAACAGTGGCATGGGGGCCACGGGCAGAGACGGATTTGTGTCTGCTGAGTAGACAGTGGAATGGGGGCCACGGGCAGAGTGGATTTGTGTCTGCTGAGTGGACAGTGGCATGGGGGCCACGGGCAGAGACGGATTTGTGTCTGCTGAGTGGACAGTGGCACGGGGGCCACGGGCAGAGTGGATTTGTGTCTGCTGAGTGGACAATGGCATCGGGGCCACGGGCAGAGTGGATTTGTGTGTGCTGAGTGGACAGTGGCATGGGGGCCACGGGCAGAGTGGATTTGTGTCTGCTGAGTGGACAGTGGCATGGAGGCCACAGGCAAAGACGGATTTGTGTCTGCTGAGTGGACAGTGGCACGGGGGCCATGGGCAGAGTGGATTTGTGTCTACTGAGTGGACAGTGGCATGGGGGCCACAGGCAGAGACAGATTTGTGTCTGCTGAGTGGACAGTGGCATGGGGGCCACGGGCAGAGTGGATTTGTGTCTGCTGAATGGACAGTGGCATGGGGGCCACAGGCAGAGACGGATTTGTGTCTGCTGAGTGGGCAGTGGCATGGGGGCCATGGGCAGAGTGGATTTGTGTTTGCTGAGTGGACAGTGGCATGGGGGTCCACGGGCAGAGTGGATTTGTGTTTAGAACAGGAGTAACGTAGGCAGCACATCTCACCCATTTTCCTCACATCTGATCAGATTTGAGGCCATGGAATGCTTTCTGGTCAGGTGTTAAGGGCTGTTGGTGAGTGAACTCCCAGAGGGTTTCCCACTTGGGCAGGGAAGGGTCTGGCCAGTGTTTAGGTGATGCTGTCAGGGGGCCTCAGGCTCACATCCTTCCGCTGGTTTTTTGAAGAGTTTCAACTACATTGGGTGATGGTGTGAGTTTTGCCAGTGTAAAGTTCTGAGAGTGTCCTTTGAACATTGTTAGTACTGGAGCCTCGTACAGGACTCTGGGCCAGTCCCTGATGTGAAGAAAGGAATGAGACACTGTCTCTGCCACTGAAGAATGAGGTGATAATGATCCTGGGGGACCCGTGGCAGTGATGGTGAATGAGTGGAAGAAGGAACCCGTCAACAGGAAAACGCCGTTCGTAATTCTTAAAACACTTAGTCCCTGCCCATGGTCTAAAAAAGGCTTTGGTTTTTTCATGTTTTGCTTTCAAACATATAGAATTATGCAATGAATCACAAACATTTAAAGTGGGAAGTTAACCAATGGCTGTTTACCTGGGGGTCCAAAACCCCAGGACTGAGGCTGGCCTTGGAGCCCTGGACCCACGAAGCATAGCTTCTGCATGTGTGTGCTTTTCCCCAGAAGACGTTTCAGATAATTCATAATTCTCCTAATGTCTTTAAGTGTGCCAAATAAAAGGTGGGTGAGAGCTGACATCCAGTCCAATCCTTCACTTTCCTGCTGGAGCAGATGGGTCAGACAACTTGGCTCTGCTCCCAGCTCTGTCCAGCTCCCCAACCCCTTCCTGGTAATCATCTTTCCTGGTTATTTCCTGGCTTACAAACACCTGCTCCCCATTTCCTTCCAACAAGTCTAAGAGCTTCCCCAGGGCAACATTTTGGCTTTGTTCTCAGCCACTCGTCCCACAAGCTGGCACTGACCACCCTCTGTGGAGGGAGAGGAGATGGATGGGCCTGGGCTGGGCAGACATGCGGCCCGGTCTCAGGGCATGACTTGTCTGGCATTCCTACACCATAGCTCTTGAATTTAGCTGAACTAGGCAACAATGATAGAGTTCGGATTTGTGAAGTTCTAATTTGTAAGATTTGGTTTCAATTTAAAATTTCACTTTTTCATCTTGTAAGCCAACAGCGATGAATAACTAGATGTATTGGAAGAGGTTATATGGTCACTGGCTCATCACTGGGTGCACTCGGCGTGGATAGAGACAATACAGGGAGGGCCCTGTGGCCCAGGGCTCCCTGTCTGATGTGTGGGTCATAATTAATAACTCTTATGTGGCACTGGCCAAGGCTGAGAAGCAGTTCCGCCCTGCCTATCCACTTGCCCAGGACCTCACAGCCGGCCGCAGAAGGCAGGGGTAGCTTCCAGGCAGTTCTTGGCATTACCACCCAAACTAACTTGTGGGACTCAAGATACACAGCAGCGTGGCTGTTGACAGTAACAGTCATATTTTCATGGTTCATAGGAATTGCTGATTTCCCAAAGAGTTTTATCTGTCTATATTTTCAAAATTAAATTTATTAATAATAAATTTTGGGCAAATATGTAAAGTGTAGGGTATTATATTTATAAAGCTAGTCCATTTCCTCCCTCCTCTACAAAAAAATGTGTTGCCTAGAAATGCACTTACAAAGTTATAGTCAACAACAAAATTCCGTTAACGAGTTTTACTCACAAAGACATTCAAACACACACCCATACGCACACATTCATACAAACAGAGACATGTGCTTGTCCTGAGGATAATCTGAATGATCAGAAAGATACGATGGCTCATGTTGGCTTTATAATTTGACAAGGAAGTTGCCCAAGCACACTTCCTTAATTATTATGTAATTGATAAATAACAAAAGCTCTGGTTGTTCTTTAAAAAAATACTTGAAAATTGACAGCCATGGGTCTAATATTTTCAGCTTGGCAATTTAGTTTAAATGGATGGCACTCAGCTCACGGTGAAGTGGTTTTGGAGAGGGAGCTCGCAGGCAGTGGGAAAGTGCTTGGAGTGGGAAGGCAGCTGGTCTCACTTACGTCTGGTGCTCTCCAAGCGGTCTCTGTCCGATGGACTTCAGCAGCGGCTCTGGTAGGATTGCCGACTTTGGTGATGTCTTGGGGCTGGAGTCTGACTCTCCGCTCTCCTCGTCCCCCATGGCTTTAATGTAACTCCCACTTCTCATTCTCCTGCAGGGAATCTCCTCATCTTTGCCACCGGTGGGGTACCCTCCCCACTCATCCTGAGGTACCTGGGAGCAGACAGACATGAAACACGCATCAACTTTGTCACTGAGAACGGCAGCATCAGCTCCTTTTTGGAAACAAATCCTCTACAATTCCATAAAGATACACCTCTTTACAGTCATTTATCAGTTAAAGTCAGATGTATAAAAATGCATATCCTAAAAGGAAATGAATATAAAAATGTTGGTTTTTCTTCATTATAAGTGATAGGTAAACACTATGGATAAAGTGAGAACATGTGAGAAAAGTAAGAGAAGAAGGGACACTTGCAATCTCAGCAGCTGGGACAAAGCACTGGCTAAAATTTAGTTTTATTTCCCTCTGGTATAAGAGGAAATTGAAAGTTGAGAAACTGAACAGAGAAGAAAAGGAAAAAAAAAAAAGAAAACAAGGGAGAAAATGCCTATCTTATTGTATACTTATATCTTAATTGCAAGCAAATAAAAGAGGACGGTTTTAAATCTAGAAGCCAAGTTCTATCATACATGCAAATTCTCAGTACTCAGAGTTGCAAAAGGATCTTGCCCAGCCACATCACATTCCACCTGACATATCACCAAGCACCTGTGCATGGAATATGTCTGCCTGTTACAGAACTCAGCACCCGCTCATGTTATATATCTGGGTGGTACAGAGCTGATCACCTGTGCGTGTTATACGTCTGCCTCGTACAGAGCTGAGCACCCATGCATGTTATATGTCTGCCTGGTGCAGACCTGAGCAACCATGAATACTATATATCTGTGTGGTATGGAACTCAGCACCCACGCATGTTATATGTCTGCCTGGTGCAGACCTGAGCAACCATGAATGTTACATATCTGTGTGGTATGGAACTCAGCACCTGCCTGTGCATGCAATATATCTGTGTGGTACAGAGCTGACCACCTGTGCTTGTTATATGTCTGCCTGGTACAGAGCTGAGCAACTATGCATGTTATGTGTCTGCCTGGTGCAGACTTGAGCAACCATGAATGTTATATATCTGTGTGGTATAGAACTCAGCACCCGTGCGTATTATATATCCGCATGGTACCAAACTGAGCAACTGTGCATGTTATACATCTGCCTGGCACAGAGGTGAGCACCTATGCCTGTTATATATCTGCCAGGCACAGAACTGGGCCCATGTACTTGCTATATATCTGCCTTGCACAGAGCTGAGAGCCCATACATATAACCCCCCTGTGCTGTGTATCTGACTGTTCGAGAACTGAACCCACGTGCATTTTATATATCACCCATAACGGCCCCACAGGCTGCCTGCTGTGTGTTTGCGTTACGTGTCTCTCTGAGGGGAGGGTAAACCATGAAGATGACAGTGCAGGCCAGTATTCTGTTTCCATCCACCATCTGTGAAACTGGAAACCCAACATAGCCATGAGCAAAAAGTCATGGAACTGGAACACAATGGTTTCCATTGCGGGAGCTGCTCCCTGCAGGTCAGGACCTGGTTTCTTTTCCCCACGGTTCATTAGCTTTGAACAGCTCCCCAGAGGCTCTGGGTAAAGTTCACTCCATAGGTCAAACTCACGTTTACAAAGGCAAAAGAACACAGCATGCAGTCGCTGAGTGTAGAGAACTCCAAAGCTTTCCACAGCAACTAGCTCATCACCCACAGTCTGTAGTCAAGGAACTAACATAGCATGTTTTTCATGTAGGAGAAGAGAATCTCCCCAAATGCTGTTTACAGAGAAAGAAAATAAAAAATTTCCATATTTAAAAGGTCTTCAGACAGGGTATTTTTTTTCCTTGCTGTAAAATACTTAGCTACTGAGGTATACTACTTATATCATCAGAAAAGGAACCTGCCATCTTTCCAGTGTCCATATTGCCTGTGAGCCGATCGACAGCACTACCAGCAGGGATCTGCGTGGCTGGTGGTGAAGGCAGGTCTTCTGGCTGAAGGCCCCTGTATTCATTCCTAAATGCCATGCCACACCAGTGCTCCGGCAGATCTGACATCTTCCACATTGCAGCCCAGGACAGGAGCCAAGGGAGAGGGAGAGGCATGCTCATTTCTGTCACTCACATATCCTGGACTTCCAGCCTGGACGAGCAGGAGCTCCCCTTACCATGGACCCCGTGTGGCAAGGAGTCCTCAACACCACACAGTCCCGCAGCAACGAGGCGCGGACACCCGGACACTGCACGGTCCCCGCAGTAACGAGGCACGGACACCCCAACACCACACAGTCCCCCAGTAACGAGGCGCGGACACCCCAACACCACACAGTCCCCCAGTAACGAGGCGCGGACACCCCAACACCACACAGCCCCCCAGTAACGAGGCGCGGACACCCCAACACCACACAGCCCCCCAGTAATGAGGCGCGGACACCCCAAAACCACACAGCCCCCCAGTAACGAGGCACGGACACCCCAACACCACACAGTCCCCCAGCAACGAGGCGCAGACACCCAACACCACACAGTCCCCCAGTAACGAGGCGCAGACACTCCAACACCAGTCCCCCAGTAACGAGGCGCAGACACCCCAACACCACACAGCCCCCCAGTAACGAGGCGCGGACACCCCAACACCACACAGTCCCCCAGCAATGAGGCGCGGACACCCCAACACCACACAGTCCCCCAGCAACGAGGCGCGGACACCCAACACCACACAGTCCCCCAGTAACGAGGCGCGGACACCCCAAAACCACACAGCCCCCCAGCAACGAGGCGCGGACACCCCAACACCACACAGTCCCCCAGTAACGAGGCGCGGACACCCGGACACTGCACAGTCCCCGCAGTAACGAGGCACGGACACCCCAACACCACACAGTCCCCCAGTAACGAGGCGCGGACACCCCAACACCACACAGCCCCCCAGTAACGAGGCGCGGACACCCCAACACCACACAGCCCCCCAGTAACGAGGCGCGGACACCCAACACCACACAGTCCCCCAGTAACGAGGCGCAGACACCCCAACACCACACAGTCCCCCAGTAACGAGGCGCGGACACCCCAACACCACACAGCCCCCCAGTAATGAGGCGCGGACACCCCAACACCACACAGTCCCCCAGCAACGAGGCGCGGACACCCCAACACCACACAGTCCCCGAGCAACGAGGCGCGGACACCCAACACCACACAGTCCACCAGCAACGAGGCACGGACACCCAACACCACACAGTCCCCCAGTAACGAGGCGCGGACACCCCAACACCACACAGTCCCCCAGTAACGAGGCGCCGACACCCCAACAACACACAGTCCCGCAGCAACGAGGCGCGGACACCCGAACTCCACACAGTCCCCCAGTAACGAGGCGCGGACACCCGAACACCACACAGTCCCCCAGCAACGAGGCGCGGACACCCCAACACCACACAGTCCCCCAGTAACGAGGCGCGGACACCCCAACACCACACAGTCCCCCAGTAACGAGGCGCCGACACCCAACACCACACAGTCCCCCAGTAACGAGGCGCAGACACCCCAACACCACACAGTCCCCCAGTAACGAGGTGCAGACACCCCAACACCACACAGTCCCCCAGTAACGAGGCGCGGACACCCCAACACCACACAGTCCCCCAGTAACGAGGCGCGGACACCCAACACCACACAGTCCCCCAGTAACGAGGCGCGGACACCCCAACACCACACAGTCCCCCAGTAACGAGGCGCGGACACCCAACACCACACAGTCCCCCAGTAACGAGGCGCCGACACCCCAACACCACACAGTCCCGCAGCAACGAGGCGCGGACACCCCAACACCACACAGTCCCGCAGCAACGAGGCGCGGACACCCCAACTCCACACAGTCCCCCAGTAACGAGGCGCGGACACCCAACACCACACAGTCCCCCAGTAACGAGGCGCGGACACCCAACACCACACAGTCCCCCAGTAACGAGGTGCAGACACCCCAACACCACACAGTCCCCCAGTAACGAGGCGCGGACACCCCAACACCACACAGTCCCCCAGAAACGAGGCGCGGACACCCCAACACCACACAGTCCCCCAGTAACGAGGCGCGGACACCCAACACCACAGTCCCGCAGGCCCCTGTGGGTCACGGTGCAGGTGGATCACAGCTGTAGCACCCCCAAGGTGGCCCAGGCACACGGCAGCTCACAGTGACACCCTAGCACCACGCACACTAGAAGATCCAGATGCTGTGATGAGGAGAGGGTTGGACAGGATGGGAAGTTCCAGATTCTCCCTCCACCCAGATTCCAAGAGGCCCAAAGGCTCAGGACAAGGATCCTGAACTGTGACCGTGAGCTGGACAGGCGGTGTCTGTGGTGCTCTCCAGCCGGGTTCTTCTAAAGCCTTTATGACCTGGTGCCTTGTGCCCAGGTCTGCACGTGTTCAAAGAGGAATACAGACCGCGCTGAAAGGGAATTGGAGGTATTGTATGCATCTCTTCTCACACTGCTAATAAAGACATACCCCAGACTGGGCAATTTATAAAGGAAAGAGGTTTAACTGACTCAGTTCCACGTGGCTGGGGAGGCCTCGCAGTCATGGCAGAAGGCGAATGAGGAGCAAAGTCATGTCTTACATGGTGGCAGGCAAGAGAGTGTGTGCAGGGGAACTCCCTTTTAAAAAACCATCAGATCTCATAAGACTTAGTCACCATCATGAAAACAGCACAGGAAAGACCCACCCCATGATTCAGTCACCTCCTACTGGGTCCCTCTCATGACACATGAGGATTATGGGAGCTGCCAGGCAAAACGAGATTTCGGTGGGGACACAAACCATATCGGGTATTAATGACATGGTCAATGTAAATGTCCCACAGATGACACCGCAGAGCTGCAGAGCTGTAGGTCAGGTAAGAGACAGGCCTGGGGCCTCAGCCACAGCAGGTTCTCTCAGCAAGAAATCAGCAGTTAAGAAAACAGGTGTACATTTGCCAATGTTTTGTTCACATTTTGTCCGTGTGAATTTTGGTTTACATTTCCTGACAGTGAGGAAGTTTGAGCACTGGAAAAAGATGACTAAGGAAGAATAAAGAATTCACAACTTTGGGGACTTGACAATTCTTATCTCCGTGTCTTCAGGCCAGGTGGCGGGCAGTGGAGCGCCCGGTCTTTCTGGAGATGACTGGAGGCCTTCGGACTGGTCATGTCCTTAGAGTGGGCAACTTTCCTTCCATGAAGCTTCCCCAAGACAATGCAGCCCAGGGTCAGGGACTGGGGAATTGGTAATCAGGGAAAGAGGAGAAATGACAACAGTACTGTATCATAGGGGATGGCTTACAATATTTATTAAAACCACAGGATGGATACTACCCAGCTACCAAAAATACTATTCCAGAATGTGTATTTAGCGATGAAAAGATGCTCACGAGGGCGAAAAGCACAGGATGGATACTACCCAGCTACCCAAAATACTATTCCAGAATGTGCATTTAGTGATGAAAAGATGCTCATGAGGGGGAAAAGCAATTTTTAAAGCACTTGACATTTTTATGTCTTTTAAAGATGTAACTGTGTTATGTGCAGAAGCAGCCAGAAGATGTGAAACAGGGACCGTCACTAGGAGATGAAGATTACAGGGTTTTCAATGACTTTTCTTTATATTTTTAAATTGTCTACATGAACCCTATATGACTTTTGTAATAAACACCCTTATTTTTAATTTAAGAAAAGCCACAGTTCTCAATGACATTACAATTCGGTACAGGAGATGGACATGAAATGAGTGGTAGCATCATCAGGGTGGAGAAGCCAGTGTGGAGGGGACACGTGTTGAAGGTCACTGTCGGCTGACGGGAGGGGCCAGGATCAGGAAAGGTCCTGGGGTGAGGTCCGGGTTTACTTTTGTCTGAGCTGGACCAGCAGAAGGTGCAGGCAGAGGCGATGGGGCAGAAGGAGGCCCGGCCACCCAGTTCCTGGGCACGGGGGAGCTCACGCTGCCACTCTCCTGGGAATGTGTGAAAAGCTCAGTTCGGGAAGGGAGGCTGAGGCTGGCTGGTGGCAGATGGAAGAGCAGCTCCTCTGCCATCAAAGAAGAGATTCACTTTGGCAGGTTTATGGGATTTTTTTTGTGAATTAAAAACATGTTTCCATAAAAAACAAAGTAAAGATTTTTTTCTTCAGCAGCCTGCAAATTAACTAACAAATGAGACCAGCTTGTATGTTTCTGTTTCTGATTTAAGAAGCCAATTTCGCAGGCTTTGACAGAAGAAATTTCAATACAGAAAGAATGTCAACCAGAGTCAATTTCAAAGCATGAATTCAAGTACCAAATCCCCATTCCAAAGCATATGTCTGGAGACTATCAAAAGAACAGAAGAGCAATACTAAAATGCCAGCCTGCCTCAGCAAACAAATCTCTCTCCGTTATGTTACAGCATTCGAACCCTGCAGCCCTCAGCCCAGGGTGGCCTAGTGCACGCTCTGAAACCAAAATGGCTTTATGGCCTTCAGTGAAGGAATGAATAAATTTCTTTCCACGACGGCTACCAGACTCTGCAAATCCAGTTTGCAGTCCCTGCTGCATTTAACGCCAATCAATTACCCTAATTACCTCCTTGTACCTAGTGATGGGTGATGTTCATAATTTCTAACAAAAAGGCATTTTCATAAGGGTGACATAAGCATACATTTTGACGTCTCCTGTTACTTGCTTTAGGGATAGTTCAACACTGCACAAACTGGAATATCTTTTCTTTCTTCCAAGCTGCAAAGCCCAGGTGAAAGGGGCCAGGATTATATCATCATATTCTCTTGGAGGCACTGGAACCGAGGAAAAACATTATCGTCCATTGCTGTGCGTTCCCACAGGGAAATGTCTTCTGCATTCCTTTAAGCCGTGTGTGTGTGTGTGTAAAGTACGTATATGTGTATGTGTGTGTGCAGGTATATGGGTGTGCATGCATGCCCATGTGCGTATGTGTGTTTATGTGTGTATGTGTAATGTGCGTATATGTGTATGTGTGCAGTTATATGGGTGTGCATGCATGCCTATGTGTGTATGTGTGGGTATGTGTAATGTGTGTATACGTGTATGTGTGCAGGTATACGGGTGTGCATGCATGCCTATGTGCATATGTGTGTTTATGTATGTGTAATGTGCACATATGTGTATGTGTGTGTGCAGGCATATGGGTGTGCATGCATGCCTATGTGTGTATGTGTGTGTATGTGTAATGTGCATATATGTGTATGTGTGCAGGTATATGGGTGTGCATGCATGCCTATGTGTGTATGTGTGTGCATGTTTGTATGTGTCTCCCTCCTTCCCAGAGACTGTGGCAAAGGCTCCTGCCCACGCTTCCCTCTTCTCCTGCCTCCTGACCCATAGGTGTGTCCCCCAGGCCTGCGGTGTGGCCTCACTCTCTTCTGGGGCTGTGAGTTGTGAACTGTCTTTCCTATGGCCATCTCCAAACCTGTGGGCCACACTACAGCTGAGTGTACAAAACCCCCATCTAAGCCGCCTGCGACTGGGCACACGTGACTGGGCCCTTTGGCCCCGTCCAGCTCCTATCGCCCTCATGCTTGGAATGGGAGCCACGGGCTCATGGACACCAGGAGGCCACCAACAGAGGCGCTGCATGCCTGGCATAACCCCACCCACATGGGAGCCCCCAGGATGCGTGGATGCCACACTCACCCCTCGAGGACCAAGGTGCCTGCTCCAACCTGCCAGGAGGTGCCAGCCAATGGCTGAGTCTCTCCAGGGCATGCCCTCAGCCATTCAGCGGGAGAAAGCTGCCTTCCCCACACCCCTCCTTGGGAAGGACACACAAGTTATGGCCTGAATTGTGTTCCTCCAAATTCCTATGTTGAACCCTAACCCTTGGGACCTCAGAATGTGATTATTTGGAGATGGGACGTTTACAGAGGTGAAGAAGGTAAAATGAGGTCACCAGGGTGGGCACTGATCCTGTCTGCCTGGTATCCTCCTAAGAAGGGGAGATGAGGTCACAGACAGACAGAGAGGGGGCAACCCTATGAGGACATGGGGAGAGGACGGCGTCTGCGTGCCCAGGAGAGGCTCAGCAGGAGCTGGCCTTGGGACTCCACGGTCTTGGGCACCAGCCACCAGGACCCTGCGGAATGAATGTGCCTTTACACGCCCCCCGGGTGTGTATGCCCGTCATGGCACCCGAGCTGACTCACGCACCACCCAGGCTGGCGGCATGAAGGCAGGACGGCCACTCCTTGCCTCGGTGCGGAGACCCCTGAGTTCACACAGCACCTGAGTTCTCTCAGAATCGGCCGAGACCTGTCCCCGCTGCTCACCCCTGCCCTCTGCCCCATCCTGTGTCCTCACCCCTCAGCCACCATCTCCTTGTTGAGAGGACACCCGTGGCCATCGGCACGTCCATCTCACCAGGGGCTCTTTCCGGGACCCTGAGGGAGGTCAGGCAGGCACAGTTATAGCCATTTATTTCCATGGAAAGCCCCTATTGTGAGCCCCCCGGCTGCACAGCTTGTGAGAAGGTTCCACGCGTCTGTCTTGTTCTAAAGCTCACGCTCTTTGGATGACACCAGCAGTTCCCAACCAGGTAATTCTGCCCCCAGGGGACATTTGGTGACATCTGGAGATATGTTTGGTTGTCACTAAATGGGGGTGCTTCCGGCAGGTAGTAGGTGGAGCCCAGAAATGCTGCTCAACATCCCCCAGTGCATAAGACGTACCCCACAAGCGTCTCCCAGCCCCCACCCCCGTGCTGAGCTTGAGAAACGCTGGGTGCATGGCTGTGCTCAACATCCCCCATTCCATAAGACCGACCCCACAAGCATCTCCCAGCCCCCATCCCGCTGTGCTGAGCTTGAGAAATGCTGGGTGCATGGCTGCTGCCTCCCGGGATGTACATCTCAGCTGAAGAGATCTTCGCGATGCTGCTCAAATCCACCCTGGTGTCCCTACAACAATTTAGCTTGGGTGGGAAGTCTTTCCTTTCCTGTTTGTTTGTTGTGGTTTTTCCTCTGAGCCACTGAAACCAAGTCAGAGTTAGGTTTAGAGTTCAGCTGCCCACTTTATTTTCTTAAGGACAAACTTGATTCCATTCCACTCCTTAACACCAAGACAGACAAGGGATAACTTAAATTGCAGTTCACCGGCCTGAGCTCCAACAGCTCCTAGTCCTGCTGTACTTTGGGTTGGGTCAGCCCTTCCAGGATCATTCACAGAGCAGTACTGCATGTGGACCACCAAGTCTGAGGCAGGAGACACAGACTCAGCGGGAACAGACAAGCCTGGGGCATCCACTGCCCTAGGAGGGAAAGAACAGAGCCGGACTCCGCCCAGCTGCACACCCACAGGAGCAGACCCCTTAGCTGCCCTGGGAGGAAGAGGTCAGAGCCAAACCCCGTCCACCTGCACTCCTGCAGGAGCAGACCCTCAGCTGTCCTGGGTGGGAGAGGACAGAGCAGGACTCCGCCCACCTGCACACCCACAGGAGCAGAGCCTCATCTGCCCTGGGAGGGAGAGGACAGAGCCGGACCCCATCTACCTGCACTCCTGCAGAAGCAGAGCCTCAGCTGCCAAGTTGAGGGCACTGTGCCCAGAACAAGGTGACCACTCGGTGGCCGTCATGGCATAAATGCAGATGGTTCCTCAGGGTCTTAGATCACAGAATCCAAGGACCCAGTCACAGGTCACAAGGTTTCTGCACCCAGTCACCATGAGGTCTCTGCATCCACGACCATCTTGAGTTACATGTAGGCCATGTCATTCTCCCCTGGTAAACCTGGATAAAACAGCGCATGCACCCACCCAGTGTTCCATGTTCACATGAGTTATGATTTCCAATGTGCTTTTCGGAACACTGTCTTGAATCTCACCACAAACGGAGGCGTGAAGGATTGAAGAGGCAGAAAGATTTACCAGACACAAGGCTAGCCAACAACCCAAAACCAGACACCCTTCAACATCCATCAGCATTTCAACAAACATTGCTGGAATTTCCGTCATGGGGATAAGAATGTGTTGGGTCCTAAGATGATGTCACTGAGATGTGACACAGCCCAGCGATCTCCCTGCCTGCCCGGCACCAAGCTGCTCCCAGCGATGACACACCGAGTCCCAGGACAACTGGGGGGTGATGGAGGAGTCCAGCCGGGGAGACAGTGAGAGGCTCGAAGGCACAGGCCCAGCTCCTGCACTCCTGCAGACGGTCCCTGATTACACGAACGGGCTCGGTGAGCACCAGCGAGATCCTGCCAAGCCCTGTGTGACGGTACTCAAGGTGGGAGAGGATTCTGTGGCAGTCGGGGCCGGGGGGAAGCGGTGGCCCAGAGGCAGGGCAGTTGTGGAGGAGCCCCTCACAACACAGGCTTTGCAGTCAGGAAATGGTGTGGCCTGGGCCACAGGACAGGGAACATAGAGTGTGGGGGGCAGGCACACGTGGCTCCTGGAAGCGGAGGTCACCGCTTTGTCTCAAGGAGGCGTTTTAGGACTCACACTGGATGGATGGGGCAGCTGGTGGCTGGGTGTCAGTGCAGGAGAGATCCAGACCAGAAACTCGAGGGGCTGCGGAAGGATTGTGCAGGGTTGTGCGTCTGTGTCCAGAGTGGCTTAAAAGGGGATGAGAAGCTCCTCCCGGACCTGCTATTCCACTACGGGATTGGAAGTGAGGTGTGGCCACACCCCAACTCTCCTATCCATTCACGGCCCCAGATCTATACCATGAGCCACTTAAAACAAAAGCCCTCCTTTCAAATTGCAAACGTGCATTAGAGTGGAGCACAGCCAGGCTGGCCAGTTCTTTCATTCTGCTGAGCACTGGTATCGCTAAGGATAGGAACCAACCACAGCAATCTCCTTTCTCCCTCTTTTGCCCCTAAAACTACAAATACAGAGAAGTTTTCTGAGAAGCTTGTTAGAACTATTGGTTTTCTGGAGTTGAAAGCACCCCATAAGCCACAACGCCAGCCTTCCTGAACTGGTGGGGATACCGTGAGGGTGGTGGGCGCGGGGGAGGGGGGGCTGGGGCGCGTGGGTCCTTCCTGCTTGCCAAGTTCTGGAACATGGGACACCTAGGTGCCCGGAGAGACCCTTATGCTCAAGCCAGCATCCTCTGGAACGCTGCAGGATACAGGTGCCCCTCGCTAATTGTTACTGAGTGTGTTGGACCCTCCTAGATACAGGGGCAAAGCGGGACAAAGACAGGACCCGGGCTCAGGAGGCAGATGGGCAGCAGAGGGACCCTCAATAAAGGTCAAGGTGGAGGCCAAGCTGAGCTGAGGGCGTGAAGGAAACCAGCAGGGAGGGGTCACCCAGCATGTGGAGGTGGGCCTGTGGCAGGAGGGCCAGAGGTGGCCCAGGCTGTCCCAGGCCACCACACCCAACTCTGATGAGACTCAGGTTCCACCCCAGATCGGGCAGAAAGAAGCAAATGGCCAGCATCGTGCATTCCATGACAAACCATTTTATTTATTTATTTATTTATTTAATTAATTTATTTATTTAGAGATGGAGTCTTGCTCTGTCACCCAGGCTGGAGTGCAGTGGCGTGATCTTGGCTCACTGCAACCTCCACCTCCCACGTTCAACCAATTCTCAGCCCTTGGCCTCCTGAGTAGCTGGGGCTACAGGCACTTGTCACCAGGCCTGGCTAGTTTTTGTATTTTTAGTAGAAACAGGGTTTTGCCATTTTGGCCAGGTTGGTCTTGAACTCCTGACCTCAGGTGATCCACCTGCGTTGGCCTCCCAAAGTGCTAGGATGACAGGTGTGAGCCACCGTGCCTGGCCCTGTGACAAGCCTTTTAAATGCTTATTGTAGAGACAAGAAACAGGGGAGCCTGGCTCCATTTTGTAAAAGATGGATGATTTTTCTAAACTACACCGCAAGGATGACCTGTTGACCTGGGAGATGGGACTTTTAAGATGTGTTTTTGTACCTAACTGGAAACCTCACAAATGCAGTAGCTGAGCCTGAAAGCCAGGGATCTGCACGGCCTACAAAACAGACACGTCGTTCAGAGAATGGCTGCAAGGAAAGCTCAGAACTCGGTGATGGGACCCGCAACACGTCCTTCAGCGAATGGCTGCAAGGAAAGGTCAGTACTCAGTGATGGGACCGGCTGCAGAGGGCGGGAGCAGGGAGAGGTTCTGAAACACTTTACACGCAGGGAGGGAATGCTCAGGGCTCCCCGTTTTCATCGCACCCCCTCCCCTCTGTGTTCTTTTCTGCCATTTGCTTCCAACACGTGAACATGTAAAAAGCCTGACAGGTAAAACCCAAAGTCTAACGGGGCTGCCCGTGAACACGCCAAGCACAACGGGGCTGCTGACCGTGAACACGCCGAATAAAACAGGGCTGCTGCCCGTGAACACGCCAAACAAAATGGGGCTGCTGCCCGTGAACATGCCGAATAAAACTGGGAGTCCGAACCTCTTCATGTCAAATAAAGAGTAGGGTCCGAACCTCTTCCCCAGGAGGGCCAGGGTTGCGGCCGGGCGACGCCAGGTGGGGAAGACACTAGAAGAGGAGAAAACCAGGAGCGCAGGACGCGGTGGGAGACTGGGAGGCTGCAGAGAGGAGGCCTGAGGACAGGAGGGAAGGAGGCGGGGACAGAGGCCGAGGGCTGGAGGGGCTGCCGGGTCTTCTCTGGGATGCAGCAGGGGCCCCGCTGTCCCTCCATCTGATGCCGCCAGGAGCCTTCCCGGGGAGGCGGCGTCTCTCCCTCCCTGCACGTCCCTGGGAGTTTCGGTGGACTGTGGCATAGAGAGCCTTTGGCATCCTGAGCTAAGCCACGGCGAATCCGTTCTGCATTCCTACAATGCTCATGAAAAGTTTGACCTTAGATGCTTAGTCTGCTGATGCAGAAAAGATGAAAACAAGAGCTTTGTGAAAGAATAACGTGAGGCCTGAATTGCCTTTCAATTCCACTTATTCTCCGTTTTGACCTACTTAAAAACAAGAAAAAAATCTTCCTCTAATGTGAACCACATACTCTGTACAAACCAAGGGTGAAAATGAAAAGTGATCCTGTCGTTCAGCTGCAAGTGCTCCTAGTGAAAAAAGGAAGAAAATTTATAAACATTTATTTCTCTCTTCTTATTCTTTTAAATCTTATCCGTACACTAGGACCCACAGACAAATTCCTTTAGTTTCCCTGTTTCCTGGCTGCGAAATAAAATCTGGGGTTGTGAGGACCCAGAAACCTGTAGTTTTCCACCAGAAAGTTTAATGCAATTGACAGGAAGGGACAGCCCTGCACAGGCATCTTTGAAAATGCCAGACGTCAATCCAGCTGAGTCCTAGGACAGAAACAGCCCGAGGAGGTTGCACACAGCTCCTGATATTCAGCTTCATAGATCCTTCCATGAGGGGTCCAGCAGCAACCACTGGGGGACAGTGAGGAGGGGAGAGAAGTCACCGAGCTGCATGCCCCGAAGAGGTGGTTTCACTGGGAGGCGGATGTGGGGATGGGGGAAGCTTGCTACTGCAAGAAAACGCCCTTGTGAACGAGCGCCATGAAAGCCGTGGCTGCTCCCTGCAGACGTCCTTCTATCCTCCGATCCTCCGGGCAGTGCTTCCCAATGTCGGCACGATAACGCTCTGTGTTGTTTCCGAGGATGTGTCATCTGAGTGGACGTGAGAGGGAGGCCAGTGGCGTCAGGGCAGGGAAGTCCAGGAGTGGGTGGCTGGCTGCAGAACAACAGGACCAGAGTGTCTGGAATGACCCCATGGCACGGAACTCAGACTGACAGACACAATCAGACCAACCAGCTGGTTCCAAACAAAAAAAATCTAGGGGGAGGAAGAGAGGAAAGAGAGGAGAAACCTCGGGCTGAACGAGATGAAGAGGCTCATCAGCAGCTGCCAGGCGGGCCCCTTCTCTGGATCCTGATTCAAATAAAAGCCAACAAGAGACAGTGAGCCCTCAGGGGAATGTGACCACTGACCAGGATGATATAATGCAGGTGGTTATGTTTCAAAAGAAAGCGTACTCATCATTCCGTGTGGATCTCTGGGAGATCAACACAGGCATATTTACAGTTGTATCTGTCTGTCGTGTGGGATTTGTTGCAGTGTAGCCTGGGTGGGAAGGCGTGAGTGCAGATGGAATGAGGTCACTTTCGGAGGGATGGTTTTTGAAAGGGGCTGACGGTGTGTGGGTTCATTCTGTCTCACTTCACCTTTGTGGACGACTGGTATTCCCTGCACCTAGACCGTGGAATAGCTGTTGGAGGCAGAGAGAAGCGTGTTCCTGGGAGGAAGTGGGTGGAAGAAGCTCCTTGGAGAAGGCAGGTCCAAGGGGCACAGGACCTGTGGAGAAGGCGCAGCTGGAGGGGCTTGGGGAGAGTGGCAGGCATTGGAGGCAGGTGACCCTGGGGCAAAACCTGGAGGCTCTGACAGTGTCCTGAAGTGCTCATTCAGGGAACACTGACTATCCACACCAGGCACAGACAAAAACAAGAGAGCTATGTGTCTGTGACAATGAGGAGACAGATCAGAGTGAACCCCGATTCTTTCTACCAGGCTTCTCTAAACAAGCAGACACAACTTTTACATTTGGATATGATTAGGGTTTGCCGACGGCAAACAAAATTTATGCCTCTTCCATTGCTATAAAATAATATTTTATGCAACTACCAATTTGTCTCTGAATAAATCTGCCTGCAAAGGCAATTTGGTTAGCATTTCCTTTCAAAACAGAGCTGTTGAGATGTGGACGCTGGACCTGATGGTGACGGTGCCACTGGAAGGATTTGCCACCACGACTCCCAGAAAGAATCACGGCTGCTAGTCCCCCTGTCCCATTAGTTGACTGCCTGTTGGCTCAGCCAGCAATGGCCCATTACTCCATGAAGATGTCTCTAAGCTGATGCGAGGCCCACAGCCGCTGCTCTAGGCAAGCAAGAGTGATTTGTGAGTTGGGACACACATGTTATGTTTTTTTTAACAGCGCTATCGACTGATGGAAGTCACTGAGTGGCATCCTCAGAAGTAGCGTGTGCCTCCCAGAGAGCTTCTCCAGTAAACTCAGGCATGGCACAATTCAGAGACAGAGAGTGAAATCACATAAAACAGGGAATTCTGCAATATGCCAGCTCTAGGGATCTACCTTCTTTGTTTTTGCCTTTGGTAAATTCATTTAATCCACACCCCAGAGACACAGAGGCCTTTTCCATAATCAGGCTTTTTGTAGTGGGGGGTGCTTAGAGAGGCTGTGGCCAGGTGCAGGGAGTGAACTCACGAATGTCGCAGGCCCACTTCCATTAGGCCGGTCCATCAGCTCTCACATGGAAAACACCCACATGGGCAAGTCTGTGTTTGCTGTGGTTGTTAAACCCTCCAGCCTTAGAGGCCTTAAAGAAATGGCCCACTGTGTTTAGAGGGATGGTTCCAAGGAGGAGTCGGGATCTTCAGAGGCCCTCCCAGAGCAGGCCAGACTCACGCATGAGAGCTGCCCGTAGATAACGTCCCGCCATCCCTGCAGCCCCGCGCACAAAGCCATAGCGTGCCGTCAATCCTCGAGTCTCCCGGCAAATGATGGATAAAGAAGATGCGGTACATACACAGGGGACACTACTCAGTCTTTGAAAGAAGGAGATCTGCCATTCTCCACAACACAGGTGAGCTGGAAGAAACTGCAAAGCAGGATGAGCCCGGCGCACACAGATAGAGGCCACATGGTCCCTCTCACGGGTGGCATCTGAAACAGCTGAACTCATAGGAGCAGAGAGTGGAACCGTGGTTACCAGAGGGACTGGGGATGGGGAAGAATTGGGAGATGTTGGTCAAAGGACAACATTTCAGTGAGGAGGGGTCAGCTCAAGAGACCTGTTGGCCAGCACGGTAACTGCAGTTAACAACCACGTATTGAATAGGTGGAAATCATCCAGAGTGGATTTTAAGTGCTCCCACCAAAAAAATTACGTATGTAAGGTAATGCGTGTGTTAACAGCTCAGTGGAGCTGTCCCAGAACATATCCGTAGCTCAGAACATCCTGTTGCACAACCTAAATGTGTATGCAGTTGTTATCTGTCAATTAAAAAAGGAATAACGACAATACCACCTGCTGTGCCGAGACGGCCTCCACAGGGCCGTGAGCCTGCTTACCTGGAGGTAGTGGCACGGCCTCAGGGCGGGCTTGGCGTCCTGGTGCAGCAGCGGCTTGTCCAGGTTCAGCGAGCTCTTGCGGTAGGCCTCCTTGGCCTGGCTGACCGTCAGCGTAGACCAGGAGCTGCGCTTCAGGTACTTGGCGTCGGGCGTCAGCGCCAACCCCTCACAGGCCGAGCACTTGACGTCGTTGTTGCTCTTGGAGGTCTTGAGGGACAGGTCCCCGAAGGGGCTCTGCAGCGCGTCGGGGTAGCAGTGGGCCACGGGGCCCAGGTGGTGCCGGTTGAGCACGCTGGGCGTCCGATAGGTGCTGTCGCTGTCCAGGTTGTCGTCCGAGCTCCACCAGCTGCTCATGCCGGGCCGGGGCTTGCCCTCCGGCTTGCGCTCCTTGCTCTTGCTCCTCTTGCTGTGCTTGGCGTGGTGGGCGTGGTGGTGGTCGTCCGCCCGGCCGTCCGCCTTGGTGCCGTTGGCGTTGCTTTTGGAGGAGCCCTCCAGCGAGTGCGACTTGGTGAAGAGCTTCTGC
This sequence comes from Homo sapiens, assembly GCF_000001405.40. NCBI lineage: Eukaryota > Metazoa > Chordata > Mammalia > Primates > Hominidae > Homo > Homo sapiens. The sequence continues at coordinate 1,549,160 of NC_000008.11, read as the reverse complement.
ACGGAGTGTACCAGGTGGCGGATCCGCCCGGGGCTCTCGCTGCGCTGCTCGGCGGCCGCGGACGTCCTCTGGTACTGCAGCGTGTGGAAGCCGTCCCGGTGCAGCGGCAGCTGCTTCTCGAACTGGTCCAGCAGGTTGGCCGGGATGCGGTTGATCTTGGCGCCCGCGTGGGCCACAGCGCAGTCGTCGCGCGTGTCGTAGTGCGAGCTGTAGTGCATCCGCGGGAAGGTGCTGCTGGACACGTGGTCGCCCAGCACCACCGGCATCATCACGCACTCCGAGTGCACCGAGCTGCGCGGCGAGCAGCGGTGGCGCCCCCCGGGGCAGCTGTCGGCGGGGCTCAGCAGGTAGGGCGGCCGCGCGTCGGGCCCGTGGTGCAGGTGCTCGCAGTCCTCCGGGGGCGCCAGACCACACGTGTGCCCGGAACACAGCGGCGGCTGGGTCCGACTTCCGGAAAGGCCCTTCATGCTCCTGGGCGCGGGCGAGTAGCGCTCCTCATTGAAGTGCTGCGTGGGCGACCATGAGTACTGCGGGTCTGTGGGGAAACAGAAACGGCATTGAACACCCGGAAGCGCGGCGGAAACCCTCAGGTGCGGGGAATATGTGACCCCCACCGTGGACTTCATTAATCAGTGTCCATGTCTGGCCTGGGCACTCGAGAGGGCAGATTTGTGGGTTTTTTTTTTTTTTTTTTTTTTTTTTCTGAGACAGTCTCGCTCTGTCGCCCAGGCTGGAGTGCAATGGCGCGATCACGGCTCACTGCAAGCTCCGCCTCCCGGGTTCAAGCGATTCTCCTGCCTCAGCCTCCCGAGTAGCTGGGACTACAGGCGCCTGCCACCACGCCCGGCTAATTTTGTATTTTTAGTAGAGACGAGGTTTCGCCATGTTGGTCAGGCTAGTTTCAAACTCCTGACCTCAGGTGATCCACTGGCCTCAGCCTCCCAAAGTCCTGGGATTACAGATATGAGCCAGGACACCCGGCCAGGCAGTTGTTTTTATATCGCAAAGTGTGAGGAGTGGAGAGGAAACACTGATGTTCCCAAATGGTTAATGACCAAGATTTAGCATCTAGTAGATTGAACAGGTCTCTTGACAGCCGGATTTTGTGGTATTAAAGGAAATTAACAATTTGGGGGAAAAGCATAGTTGTATTTCACATAGATTTCAGTTTTGTCGTACAGCTTAAGAAGTTTTAAAAATAGCATCTGGTACTTGATGGGTGATATTGTCTAGTAAGCTCATGTATCACATACACAGGTATTAATCGTGAAATCGTTTGTTCAGTCCACACCCTTACAGGCCAGTGAGGATGGGAGGAGCTTTCTCGAGGTCCCATCTGTGTGGGGGCAGCTGTGCCTCCTTCCCCAGAGGAATCCCGCTTGACTCCTCCCTGTGTCCTTCTGCGGCCTGTGATGGGCTTTCCCTGAATGCCTGGAGGAGCGAGGCTGTGGCTACAACAAAGCACCACCTGTCTTATGGCCACTGAGCCACCAAGGGGCAGGTCGCTTGCTCTCTCCTCTCTCCCTGGGAAGGCGGCTGGGCGCTGGGGTGACCTGCAGAGAAGGAGGATCTGCCAGCTCCACGGCCTGTTGCTCCCCTGGTCTCTGCACTCACACCTTCCTCCTTCTGGCAGGCCCCCCTCAACCCCACATCTGCCTCCTCCATCCCAGGCCCCTCCTGCCCCAGACCCTCCTCCTTGTCACCAGGACCATCACGATGGCCTCCTCCTCTCTCTCCCTCTCCCCCTGCCTCCACCCAGACACAGCTGTGGGGCTGACCCCCTCAAATGCACCCCAGCCCATCCACCAACTTTTAGGGGAGCCCTGTTCTTCTCAGCCTGTCACCCAGGGCCACATCTAGGACAGCAAGCTCCCTGCGGGCACAGCTGCCTTCCTTGTGACAGCCACGGGCCATCCCGCAGCAGTGCCAGGCCCAGACCAGACGTCCAAGCTCTGTGATGACCAGAGGAGCTGCCGAGCCTCCCTCTGCCCCACGGTCCGCACGTCCCTGTGAGTCTGCTGAGCCTTAAGCACACCCGGCTGCCGTCATTTGTAGATGTCGCTGCCCGGGTCCTGCCGCCTCTCCTCCCAGGCCTGGAATGCATCCCTGCATTCACTCCAAGACCCGGCTCCACACCACTCGGCCTTGCTGTGTGCCGTCCTCGAGGCCAAAGACCCAGACAGGAGCAAGAAGTGGCCACCTCGACGGCTGAGCGTGGCCGTCTCCTCAGGAAGGGAACTATCCCCCCACACGTTTGTCCAATACCTGCCTCTCCTGGACCACCTCCATGCCTCGGATCCCGGAACGAATTCCTGCCTGCCAGCTCTCCCGTCACCATAAGCGTCTCTCCCACTTGCTCCTCTCTCGCCACCACCCTAAGCAGCCTGAGATGCACCCCTGCTTGCAGTCTTGGGGTGAGTCCATCATGCCCTGCGCTTGGAGAGCCACCCACTCTGACTCCCTGAGCAACATGGATGCCAGGGAAAGCAAGCAGAGTGATGGGGAGTGAGAGTTTTCCCATCGTGTCCAACCCCAACCCTCCAGGTAACCAAGGCAAAAACAAACAAACAACAACAACAAAATCCCCTGCTGATAATGTTTACCAAGTGACTAGTCCTAGGTATGGCCTCAAAACGTCGCAGATTTCAGGATCCAGGACGGCCAGCCGTCTGGGCCAGCATGGCCATGGAAACATGGGATAAGGAAGGGATACGATTTCATGAGTCCCTGGGAAGTCAGGGACCGGCTTCTCACACCCAGGTGTGAATGCAGAAGGGAACGTAAAGATTTCCTGAGGGATCCCGAGAGACTGACAGCAAGGTGTGGGGCTGTTTCTCCCACTGAGGCCAGCAAAGGGATTGCTCCTGCATATTCTCACAGTAAACAGTCCCCAGTTGAAGGATAAAGAGATCCTTTAACTTCAAGGTGAGCCTCACTGTGTTATATTTCAGGTGCCTACGCTGTCTCACAGGAGCACCTACACTGTAATGGCCGGCGGCGTCTTCCTTTCTCAAACAGTCAAATTATAATGAGAGCACTTTAATATATTGGGGGAATATTTAGATATTATTTTAATATAATTAAAAGCAAATTTTCAAATGAAATTCAATATTCAACTGCTAAATAGCAAAACTATGTGCTGTAATCCAGACTTTACAGCTGCATAAAGTTGTCATCCTATTATCTTTTGCTTTGTTTTTCCATTAACGTGTAATTTAATACAATTTTAATCTTCCTTCATATTAAAAAGAGAGTCCATTACTGCCCCACTCACGTATCCTACTTCTGCCTAATGTTTAGCCTAGAAGCTATGTTATGAATGTGGCTTCATAAAAGAATGGCATAAAAGATAAAATTTAACTGAAATGAATTAAATTTGATTATGCCACATGTTGATACCACATTCTCATTTCCACTATACAGGACTGGATTTCCTGATGGATGCATGGAAACATGTACTTTAAAATATTATCACAATAATGACAATGGCAGCGTGCTGTAAACAATGGCAACACTAGAACATGTAACGAGCACTAAGCTAGGTCTCCGGGTTTTTTAGGTGTGCACAATGTGTAATAAATACTTAGGGGCTGGTAATTTCTTTTTGTGAAAATGAGGTAGCAAACACAAAATGCGGAAAGCATCTTAGTTTCCTAATTTCCACTGCTTCATGACACCATTTTTGTCATTGAGAGAAAACAGCAATTATAGTCATTTATTCATGAACGTACAACCATCTCCCCAAATTCAGAATAGAATGTAAATGCACGTCTTACTGTTGCACTTATGGGGCGGCCGGCCTACCCAATCTAAATAGCATATTGTAAGTATAACAATAAAAATATGAAGAATGCAGCAAATGTTTACAGGGTGCACGCCGTGCTTGTGGGACGAAAAGTTCAGGACCAGATGGTGTCACAGGTGAATTCTATCAATATTTAAAAAAGAATTAACACCGATCCCTCTCAAAGTCTCCCAGGACTAGAATAGGCAGGAATGCTTCCAAGCCCATTCTATGGTAATTCTATCAGGGCCAGAATTACCCTGCTAGCAAAGCCAGATAAAGACAAGAAAAGAAAACTATAGATTAATATCCCTTATAAATAGAGATGCAAAAAGCCTCAAAAATAGTCCAGGTATGGTGGCTCATGCCTGTAATCTCAGCACTTTGGGCGGCTGAGATGGGTGAATCACAAGGTCAAGAGATCGAGACCATCCTGGCCAACATGGTGAAACCCCATCTCTACTAAAAATACAAACATAAGCTGGGCATGGTGGCGCATGCCTGTAATCGCAGCTACTCAGGAGGCTGATGCAGGAGAATCGCTTGAACCCGGGAGGCAGAAGTTGCAATGAGCCAAGATTACACCACTGCACTCCAGCCTGGCGACAAAAGTGAGACCTCTGTCTCAAAAAAAAAAAAAATCCTCAAAAATACTAGCAAATCAAATATAGCAGCATATGAGGAGAATTATATACAGTGACTATGTAGAATTTATCCTAGCAATGCAAGGGTGGTTCAACATAGGAAAATCAATCAATGTAATAAATCACTTTAATAGAACAAAGGGGAAAAGGCCACATACTCAACACAATTGATACAGAAAAGGCATGTGACAAAGTACAACACTATTTCATGATAAAAACACTCAGAGAACTAGGACTGGAGGGAACTTCCCCAACATGATAATGGGCATTTATGGGAAACCCACAGCTAACATCATACTCAATGCTGAAGGGCTGAAAGCTCTCCCTGTGAGAAGAGAACAAGACAAGGATGCCCACTTTCACTGCTGCTCAGCAAAGGAGCAGGTTACAGGAGCAAAATAAAAAATCAATTGTATTTCTATACATTAGCAATGAGAAACCCAAAAAGGAAATTAGAAAAGCAATTCCACTTAAAATAACATCTAAAAGAATAAAGTCCCTGGGACCGCCTAACCAAGGAGGTAAAAGAGGGCCAGACGCAGTCACTCACACCTGTAATCCCAGCACTTTGGGATGCTGAGATGGGGGAATCACTTCAGCCCAGGAGTTTGAGACCAGCCTGGACAACATGGCAAACCCTGTCTTTAAAAAAAAATACAAAAATTAGCCAGGCATAGTAGTAGGCACATGTAGTCCCAGTTACTTGGGAGGCTAATGTGGGAGGATTGCTTGAGTCTGGGAGTTCAAGGCTGCAGTGAGCCAAGCTTGCATCACTGCACTCCAGCCTAAGTGTCAGAGTGAGACTTTGTCTCTTAAAAAAAAAAAGAAAAAAAGGACGTGAAAGATTCGTACACTGAAAACTAGAAAACATCGCTACTGAAAGAAATTAAGCAAGACTTACGTAAATGAAAAGACATCCTATGTTCATAGATTGGCAGACTTAATGGTTAAGATGAGGTAGGTCCTACCCCAAGTGACCTAGAGATTCCCTGAAATTCCTGTCAAAACCTCACATGGCTTTTTTGCAGAAGTGCAAAAGCCAATCCTCAAATTCATATAGAAATGCAATGGGTCCTGAGAAGCAAAAACAATCTTGAAAGAGAAGAACCAGGTTGGAAGACTCACACTTATGGATCCCAAGAGTCACAAAGTGATAGTAATCAAAAGGGTGGGGCCCCACACAAGGATGCACACATGGACCCATGGAACTGAACTGGAGTCCAGACATGCACCTGCACATGTGATACTTTTGATAAGGGAGACAAGGTCACCCAGAGGGGAAAGAATAGTCTCTCCTACAAATAATGCTAGGATAACCCAATTTCTACACACCAAACAATGAATTTAACCCCCATCTTACAAAATCTGCAAAAATGAACTCAAAGTGGCTTAAAGACAGAAAAGGGCTCAAACTATAAAGCTATTTGTAGAAAACATAGATGCATTTCTTTGTGACTGTGAACCAGGCAATGGTTTCTTAGACATGTCACCAAAGCACAGGAAAAAATATAGATAAAATAAACTACCTAAAATTAAAAAGTTTTATGCTTTAAAAGATGCCATCAAAAAAATGCAAAGGCCATCCACAGAATGGGAAACATTTTTGTAAATCACGTATTTGTGAAGGAACTTGAATCCAGAATATATAAATCTGACAACTCCATTATAATAAGACAAATAATCCAAATAATAATGGGCATAGGAGCTGAATATTTCTCCAAAGAAGATGTCCTAACGGCGAAAGAGCACACAGAAAGGCGTTCAGAATCACTCACCAGTAGGGAAATGAAATCAAAACCACAGTGCGGTACCACTCAAGCCCCCTGGAGTGGACAGAGGGAAAAGGACACAGTTCCAAAGCTTGATGAAGATGCAGAGAAACTGGAACCTCGCACGCTGCTGGGGAAGGGAGAACAGGCTGGAGGGTCCTAAAAAGGCTGAACACAGAGTCACCAAAAGCCCCAGTGAGTCTACTCCGAGGTGCACATCCAAGAGAAATGAAAACACATCCAGGCAAAAGCCTGTGTAAGAATGCTTACAGCGACATCATTCATAGTTGCCAAAAAGTGGAGACGACCTCAATGCTGCCCGACGGATGAATGGACAAACATGGGGGCTGTACCGCACAATGGAAATGTTTTCAGCAATTAAAACCAATTAAGCCCAGAAACGTGCTGCACCAGGGAAGGGCCTTCAAAACCTTATGCCATGGGAAAGAAGCCAGTCACAAAAGACCACCAATGTACAATTTCATTCATATGAAGTGTGCAGAACAGGCAGATCTCAAAATGGAAAACAGATTGTTGATTCCCAGCATCAGGGTAGGTGAGAGGGCAGGCGGCTGCTAAGGCACAGGGTTGCTTTTTGGGGTGAAGATGTTTTAAATTGATTAGAGCGATGGTTGCACATACCTGTAAATCTACTGAATGCTACCGAATTGTACATCCTAAAGCGTGACTTTTATGGTGTGTGACTTATATCCCCATAAAGCTCGAATAAAATAAATACACGCATGTGATGAAGGAAGACATACACAGAAACTCAAAATTGAATATAGACACACTTCACTTAAAATTTTTCTTCACTTGCTTTAGAACTCAGGAAAAGATCTGTTTCATAACATTTAGGAAAGCAGTTATGTTTATTTTTTGCTTCTAAATCTCCTCCTTCTCCACAGAACAAAGAATGTGGCTGAAGCTGTTTCCTGTGTTGCTCTGATCACTATATGGCTCAGAGAAACATCTGAGGCTCTTAAATCAATAATCAAAGGTCCTGTGACAGTCATATACATCTCTTTTCTTTGCCTTCATTCTCACTTAACGTTCCGTGACCATGATTGTGGAGTCAGTAGACATTCCATCATTCCATTGTACACGTTTCTGTTCTCGCTTCAGTTCCTCATGAAAAGAAGCAAGGTATAAATTAGTAAATCTGTTAACTGACCCGATAATGTGAGTTTGAGTTACACACAAATGGCTGATGGTTACTTAATCCACCATCCAGATAACTGCTGAGGAAAGCTTAAGGGAAATCCTTAGATCTCGTCTGGGTGAGCTGGCAGAGGTTCTAGAACCCAGTGGGCTCTGCTGGTTCCCAGTCGTGGGATCCAAGATCTGGTCCTGGGACAGCTCACTGAGATCTTGCATTTCCTTATCTGTTTGAGGTTTGCCTTTATTTTTCCATAGTTCAAAGGGCTTTAAACCGAGGCTATACCTCAGCATCACCCAGGAAGTGTGTAAAGGACAAATTTCTGGACATCATCCCAGGCACAGTAAGACCATACCTCTGGGGTGCAGCTCAGGATATTTACTGATATCAGTAAATATCAGCAGCTACCAGGTTTATGCTCTGCCTTGTCTTACATTAGTTTTTATGTTTGATATTGTGTCTCCAACGGCCATTTTAATCTGAGTCATGCTGTATACTTAGCAGAATGTCTTAAACTACCAACAGAGGTCTCAATGAATGTTTGATAATGGAATGAATAAATAAATGTATTAAACAAATAAATGGATTAAACACAAAGAGGAAGTGTGCATTAGGGGCTCAGTGGAGGTAAGAATTTGGGTGAAGCTCTCCCCTAGGTTAGTTGGCAAAGTTTACATCCTCCGCAAATTTCCAAGGCTGGAATTGCTCCGAATAACACATGGTTAATATTCTCAAGTACTCTGATGCTCTTGAGAGGAAGGGCTCCGTAGAAAATCCTGGGCTCTGTAGAAAATCCTGTGCTGGTTACCAAACTGTGGATCCCTGGGCCGAATTCTGTGGAAACGATTCTGCTGCTGTGCTCACAGGAGCCGCTTTGTACTTTCTTATTTAAATGTTTTGTAAGAAAAATTCTACTGTTTCTAAAATCTTAGCCCCAAATAGATGAGACCTGGATGTTTGTGTGGTTTCAAACCATTTTCAAAGGTGGAACTGTATTATCCAGAAATGGTTGTATGGTTGCCATATTTCATATTTCCAGAAGGTACAGGCAGCTTCTGAGAGGAAGCACTGCTGGTCACGGCCGCCCACGCTGGGCTCTGTCCGCAGTGATGCCCCCTCCGTGGGGTAAGACACCAGCATGCGTCCAGCTCCCGGCAGCTCCCTGGAGTGGTCTGCAAGGCAGCAGAGCTGTGCAGCCACACCCGACTCCAGCGCCCAGCCCGGCAGGAAGTTTGCTACATTATGGTCACTAGGTGGGTGTTTTTTTTTCTTTTCTCATGAGGTCATAGAATTACAGAATTGGAGAGGTTTTAGATAGATCTTCTGTGGTATGAGTTTTAAAAGTGTTTTCCTGCCTTCCTTTCCCTCTCTTTCATTAATGACTCAACCCAGCCATTCAAACAAAATTTACAAAGCACCTGCTGCAAACAAGGTACCGTGGTAGACAGTGAGTGAAACAGCCCCTGCTCCAAAGCCTTCAGTTGGGTGGTGGTACCGGCAATAAACAGATAAACAGGCAAACGTCAGACAGTGACAAACACTCTAAAAAACGCGGGGCAAGGGGCTCATCACCCCATGTTTCGGGCCTTTACCCGCTGGGACAAGTGTGGTGGGGAGGGCTTGACCAGGGCAGAGACCTAAGGAAGTAGGACGTATCTCTGAGGGTCCTGGGTGGAGGGTTCCAGGCACGGTGCGTCCACAGCTCTGAGTTGGTGCCTGTGGCGGCACTGCCAGGGAGGAGGACCACAGGGAGAGCAGGCAAGAGGAGGCCCTGTCTGGGTCCTGAAGGGTGGGGCTGGCAATAATAACAGGACTTTGCTGGGCTTCTGAGTCTGGAGGCCATAGGAGCAGAGAAGAGATGGGAAGCCACTGATGCTTGAGGGGGTCTCCCTGGCTGTTGAGGATGGACTGAGGGGCTTGGGGGGCACAGGAAGAAGGCAGGGAAGGGAGGCCCTACAAGGACACGGGCCGTGGTGCTCATGGCACAGCTGTGTCCCACCTGCTGGCTCTGAGGTGTGTCACACATCCACACAGAAGGTCTTCTATATCAAGCACAGCTAGACATGCAAAGCGATGCAATGTGGGCAGGTCTCGCTGTCGGCATCCTCCAAACAGGAAAGTGGAGTCTGGAGAGGGAGAAGGTGGCCCCTTCACAGCTCCTGGTGAGGGCGGGCATCCTTCAAACAGGAAAGTGGGGCCTGGAGAGGGAGAAGGTGGCCCCATCACAGCTCCCGGTGAGGGTGCGGGACCCTGGCAAGGCTCAGTGCACCCCAGTCCACTCTGCGTCGCGCTTCTGGCTCCAGGCACAAGTTAAATTCTCACTCAACTCGTGGGGATGGGCTTGTTATCTCCCAGTGCACCGAGATTAGAGCCGTCCATCATAGGAACAGTCGCCAGTGTTGTAATGGTGTGGCTAACCACGTGGTAACCTGTTTTCCTCTTCGGAGTCCTCACCCAGATGGACTTGACAACTTGTCTGTGGATTGCATCTCAATGTGGAAGGCATCCGGCCAACAGCAGCGATTAAGTCCCAGAGAATATGTGCTGCCTGAGCTCTCTCAGAGTCTGTTGGTGGACATGCTGTTAGTTATGAAAACAAACGAAAAAAGATGAGTGACAGGCCAGGTGCCGTGGCTCATGCCTGGAATCCCAGCACTTTAGGAGGCTGAGGCAGGTGGATCACTTGAGGTTGAGAGTTCAAGATCAGCCTGGCCAACACGGTGAAACCCCATCTCTACTAAAAATACAAAAATTAGTCAGGCGTGGTGGTGTGCACCTGTAATCCCAGCTACTCAGGAGGCCGAGCCATGAGAACCACTGAAGCCTGGGAGGTGGAGGTTGCAGTGAGTGGAGATCGCACCATTGCATTCCAGCCTAGGCAAAAGCAAGACTCTGTCTCAAAAAAAAAAAAAAAAAAAAGATGAGTGACAGCTGTCATGACACGAGGGGCTGTGCCTCAGGGTGGGGATCTGAGGGTGCTGTGCTGATGATTCACACACATGTCCACCCGGGGCGTGACTCTCTGGAGTTCTGAGTGGCTGTGGCCACGCTGCGGGGAGGGCTGCACCCTGGGGCTTTGCCTCTGATAAGAGAGGTTGGAATGACAATGGTACAATCCAATTCCTAGAAAAGAGGGCCAGGGCATTCTAGACACTCGCAACAGAAAGCAAGCGGTGAGCATGGGAGCGGGGGAGGAGGGACGGAGACATAAGCCCCTCCCTATCTGTTCTGTACCTGCACAGAATGCGCCCTGCACGGAGCAGCTTTCATCTTTTCACAAAATGGTTATCTTATCATGCAGTCTGAGCCCTGAGCCTGAAAGAAATCAGCCCGGGGATCTAAGAGGAAGTTAATATGTTCTTCATTTCCTCTCCATTCAATTCTGCTTAGGTGCTCAGGGAATTCTGTGTTTGTGGAGAGAACATGTTTTAAAATGTGCCCAGCCTTTTGGGGGCATAATGAAATTGGGGGAACGGACAGCCTGGAGCTCAAGGGAGTACTGCAGGTGAGAAATAACTTTTGAACACACTATAGAGATTTTAATTAGTTAAGTGTATTTGGGTGGATGCAGATAGTGATAAAAAGAAGAGAGAATTGAGAATGAATGGGAGAGAAAACAGGAAGGAAAAGGAAGAAAAGGCAGGGAATGCAGGGAGGACTGAGGCCATGCTGCATGGGACATGAGTGCCTCGGCAGCCCCAGCAGCATCAGCAGCCCCGAGCCCTGCAGGTGCCCCAGGCCAGCTTCTCATCCTCAAATGCAGGCACTTTGCATGAGGCTACAGCTGCCCTTACCATGGACAGCAGCTCTCTGTTCCCCCCGCAGTATCTTCCTCTGATTCACCTCCTTACTTATGGCCACTCCATCCATCTTTAAGACCCATTGTAAGAGCTTTCTTCTCCTATGAGCATCTTCTTAAACTCTCCCACCTAAATTTAGCTCTCTTTTCTCTGAATATTAGAATTTTATCTGCACTTTTCCTATGACATTTACTCCATCCATCCATTTATCCATTTGTCCTTCCTTCCTTCCTTCCTTCCTTCCTTCCTTCCTTCCTTCCTTCCTTCCTTCCTTCCATCCTTTCATCCATCCATCCATCCTTCCATCTATCCTTCCATCCTTGCATCCATGAAGCCACAGGCATCACGAGTTCCAGGCTCCACAGTAGATGTTGGGGATAGAGAGATGAGCAGGATGGTCCCTGTCCTACGGAAGCAAGATCTGGTGTTCAAAGTCTAATAGCAGAAAAGGGTGAGTAAGCCAGTCCTTGGAATGGGGTTTTTCCTGCAGACAGAGAGAGGTACACGGGGTGCAGCTGAGAGACTGGGGCAGGGTGGTGGTGGCAGGCATGGGAGAATCAGGGAAGGGTTTGGCAGATATCATTTGGAACTCAAGGATAGGTAATCATTTTAATGACATAAAAACTGTCATGGCCTCCCCATTTTCCTGCCTTGTTCACCTCCACCCCAACACACACTCACCACACACACAGGCACACACAACTATGTGCACATGTGTAACCACACATGCATGATTATGCACATGCACAAACTTGCACGCACACGCAAACACACAGATGCACATGCTTTTGTACACACATATGCATGCATGCACACCCATTAGGTCGTAAGCTCCAGGAGAACCCAGAGGCTTGACAGCCAGGCTGCAGAGCTGCAGGGGTCTACCACATACCACACACCACACACCACACACCACATACCACATACCACATACCACATACCAGTGGTGCTGCCTTGGGAGACTTCCTGACTACTTCTCCGAGGTGTGAAGGGCCCGTAATCATTGTACCGGCCTTGGAGGGTCGTGGTGAGCATTAAATGAGCCAACAGAGGTAAACATCCTAGACCATGCCAGGCCCGCAGCAAGCAGATGACATATTAGCGACTGTGAGCACTGAATGCCCTCATGTCGCCTCCTGGGCCTGGCCAGCGCCTCCTACAGGGAGGAATTAGTTCAATGGTGTCAAAGTGAAATATTTGAATGGAAATAAAAATAAAGAGGTGGGAAAACTTGGGAGAGAAGTGGCAGAAAAGGAATGGGATGCTTTGGGCAAAAGGGAGACAAAATGAATATGAGACCAAACGCGGGTTCAGATTCAGAGTCTGCTGACTGCACCTGAGGACAGGGCTGGCCTTGACATCTTTCTCTAGAGAGCCCTCGGGGACAGTCAGGATGCAGGGCTGGCCCCATGGAATTTATACTACACTTTCGCAGAAGCACAAAGTCCATCACGCCAGGCTCAAAATGCTTTCAGATCAAGGTGGTGCTCTGGTTTACCGAATGGAAAAAGGAAGATCTTTTCGTTCACTTGAAAATTCAGAATTTTAATGCACCTGCCTCTGTATGGCTAATCTGACCCCATGGATGTTAGATAATCCTTTTTTAGGAATGAATAAGATATTGGTTCTCGGGTATGAAATGAGAGGCAGTTTTCATGGTCGTCGGCATGGTGCTGATTTCATGTGGTTCTGCTAACAATCCCGGGAAGTCGTCAGTCACTACCCATGACTGGCAGATGACAACATTACTGCTCCAAGAAGGTGACTTTCCCAAGTTCAGATGGCTTGTAGGTGCCCAAGTTCCAGCCAGAACCACGGTGCCCTGGCTTCTGTCTCTTCCACTCCATCAACCAACAGTTCTCCTGAATACTCAGGGTGCCCCCACCTGCCCTAGGTGCTTGTCCTGCTACACCGAGTTGACTGTCACAAACGGTTTAATTCCTTTAATGGAGAAACTGGGGCTAATGCTACTCACGTGTCATGACTGTTACATTATAGCCGACACACTAGACTCTCAGGTGAGCCTCGGAGAGGATGGCAACGTGTCTGCCACGCAAGGGATGTCAGAGCAGTGCTTGTGGTGCTTGTGCTGGCTGACCACCAACACCATCCATCCACAGCACCGTCCATGCCCTAGTCATCCAGGCTTGGGACCTGAGAGCCGGCACAGGGCAGCCCACTGTCTGCCTTCAATGCCCTGCAAGTCTCTGGCACACATCGATGCTCAACAATGTGTCCTAAGTGGAGATATGTGAGAATTCTGCTCAGAGCTCACCTCCTCTTGCAACACCAGGGCCGTTGCACCAAGGTGGACGAAAACAACACTGTGTGATAAAACCACATCAAGAAATAGCACACGAAGTATGCCTTAAAAATAACTCCACATTTGCCATTTTTGGTAAAACCAAATCCATCACACATCTTACCAACAATGCAAGAGTTCACAACAACGTGTGTGCCAGGCATGCCCATCTGACCGCTTGAACACGTCTGTGCTAGGCATGCCCATCTGACAGCATGAACAACATGTGTGTCGACACACTCAGCCCCGTAAAATCCTGCCCTCTTGGCCATCGTTCCTGACCCATCGTGGGGTGAGGCCAGGCAAGCGCATTTCATGTTTGTGGGTGATTGAGAGGATAAATCACATCCTCTTTCTCAGGGCGTGTGAAATCCAGACACTGAGGGCAGGAGTTTGTCAGTGGGCTCACAGCAACATGGAGAACAATTCAGCTGCCAGGCTCAATTCAGCTGTCCAGGGCTGAGGCTGTGATGACCAGGGCTACAGCCCAGCCCTCTGAGTGTCTTCACAGAGGCGGCCACTACCCCTGGGGGGACTTCTGGGCATCTGTCGGGGAGCGGCCAGCACTTGCTGAGACAGGGCCTGCCTCCCTCGATTCCTCCCGTGGCTCCACAGGACCTTGCCCTACAGAAGGTGGCTCCGGGTGCCTGCCCTTTGCAACCAGAAAGAGCTTAATGAAATGAACGCTTGGGACACGAAAACAGTGCGCTCTGGCAAATGGAGTCAAAAGGCCACCTTGGAAATGGAGCTGGCCAAGAAGATTTCATCCATTCAACACAATCTCAGCTAATATTTAGGATTTCATTAACTCTTATAATGTGTTCCAGAGTGGGTCGTGCAAAGTCTGATTTCACACACACGCAAGCACACGTGCGCACACGCACACACATCACGCGCACACACACTTACACTCACACACGTACACGTGCACTCACACACATGCACACACAAACACACACAGCCTTGTGATTAATCTTTGACCAGCAGGTTCTCAGACCAGCAGGTTCAATAGCGAGATGGACAAAAAATCCATCTTTAAGAAACATCTTTAAAAAAAATCCCCACTGATTCCACATATATCAAAGTTCTAATTTTAAAGAAAAACTGCTCATAGATGTCTTTTGATTGGTACAAGGTGAACATAAGGAGTTTTGTGATTCTAAACTCAGGTGTTCAACTCTTCAACTCTTTCAGAATTTCATTACATTTTCGATTAAGCATTATGGTGAGCACATTTGCAACTTAATTGCCCTTGATTACCAAATGACATCTTATTTATAGGCAAAATAAGTAGCTTTAAAACAGATCTTTATTGTAACATTAGAAAACAATGACTTCCAAAGCACAAAAGAAAGCTGCTATCAGTTGTAAACCTAATCTCATTATTCCTGAAGCCAAAAGGTCATACCTTACTTTCTGTGCTAGAAAATTTGCCTTGTGACACACACTTTTCGCTTCACAAAAGTAATTATAATTGTTTCCCAAATATCTTCCTGAGTTTCCTTTGAAACAAGATCAGGGGCTCCTTAATTTAAACCAACCAATCAATCTTTCTCTTTTACCTTTTATACGGTTTTGGGTGATTATATTTTTGCTTTGACACAAATTTATAACCTGCTGACAATTTCCAAATGTATATATCAGAATACAGCAAAAGAAGAATGCTTGTTTTAAAACATTTGACTTTTAATAATTATTTCATAAGCAAATGTAATTTTGAAATATGTATTCATAGTATTTTATTTTTTTAGATAAAGTCTTGCTCTGCTGCCCAGTCTGGAGTGCAGTGGTGTGATGATAGCTCACTGTCGCCTCAAACTCCCGCTCAAGCAATCCTCCCACCTCAGCCTCCTGAGGAGCTGGGACAACAGGCTCAGGCCGCTGTGCCAGGCTATTTTTTAATTTTTTTGTAGAGACAGGGTCTCTCCACATTGCCTGGGCTGATTGACAGTATTTTTAAGGTACTATTGATGACCTTCTCAGTTTATCAACTTGAAGTTTTATGAAAATTAAGTTAATTTTAAGTTTTAAGATGACAGAAACTCAGAACCTTTGGTATAAACATTGCAAGTTAAAATCCAAATTTTAATTAAAATTTAAAATTTAAATTTAAATCCTGAAAATAGTCAGACAGTATTTATTTATTGCCATCAGTGCACACAGCATTTTTAGGAAAAACACATTCTTTTTTTTTTTGGAGACAGAGTCTCACTCTTTCGCCCAGGCTGGAATGCAGTGGCGCGATCTCGGCTCACTGCAAACTCTGCCTCCCAGGTTCACACCATTCTCCTGCCTCAGCCTGCCGAGTAGCTCGGACTACAGGTGCCCGCCACAACGCCCGGCTAATTTTTTTTTTGTTTGTATTTTTAGTAGAGACGGGGTTTCACCATGTTAGCCAGGATGATCTTGATCTCCTGACCTCATGATCTGCCCACCTCGGCCTCCCAAAGTGCTGGAATTACAGGCATGAGCCACTGCGCCCGGTTGAAAAACATATTCTAAAAATCAAATGATAAATAGGCAACATCAATATGGATTTATGCCGTTAATCTTTTTTTTTTTTTTTTCCCTAGAATCAGTGACTAACAACTGCACATTTTTTAACATGACAAATTTCTTCGGGGGAGAATATCTCATTTGGGAATCTATAAATCAGGCCTATGATTTTGAAAGAATCATCTGGAAATAATTTATATGCAAGGAGAGTAGACAGAAGTGCAGGTGAATGCATCTCAGAGCCCAACAAAGGTGTGATTTCACCGTGGGGCATACGTGGTGCTCGGCAGGTGGAAAGGCAGCCACGCTCATGAGGACTTTAAAAAGTTAGGCTGGACTTGTATTCCTCTCCTAGGAAGAGCCTTTTTGTGAGTTCAATTCCTTAAAATTGTTTCAAAACATTTGACTATAACCGAACCTCCTAACTGACGTCAGTAGAAAGCAGAGAAAGAGTATTTTCACAAACCCGATCTTTCCTTTCTACCTATTTTAAAAAGTAACTCTATTGTAAATTAAATTAAAAGTTTTTGCACATTTCTTTGAATCAAATACATACATTAAAAATTAAAATATACTGTTATGATTAGGATGCAGTAAAGCAAGAATTGATTATTTGAGGGCATTTATCAGTTAGTGTGACCTTCTGAGAAATAAATTGACCCAAATCTTAAGAGCCATAAAAATGTTTCCATCCTTTGGGTAGGTAATTATAGTATTCCATATGAAAATACTCTTAAACAAAGACACTGCAGAAGGATGTTTCTGTATCAGAAAACCAATCTCGTATTGCTTATTTACTTACTCCCTGACACATTCTAAAAAGGAGCTAATTTGATTTGCAAATACAAATGAGAAAGTCAGGTAAATTTATAAAGCATTTAGATATGAAGCAAGAGAGAGAAGGATCGGAATGGCAGTGGCATGGGAAGGAGGTTTCCACAAAGAGTGCGTTCCAGGACCTCCCCCATGTTATGTGAGAGGAAAACCTTTGGGCCCCAATATCACTAAGCTAAAGGGAAAAATCAGGCTGGGAACTGCTCAGGGCAAACCTGCCTCCCACTCTATTCAAAGTCATCCCTCTGCTCACTGAGACAGATGCATATGCTGACTGTCTCCTTCAAAGGGCTTATCAGAAACTCAAAAGAATGCAACCATGTGTCTCTCACCTTCCTATGACCTGGAACCCCCTCTGGACGGAACCAGTGTACTTCTTACGTATATTAATGTCTCATGTCTCCCTAAAATGTGTAAAACCAAGCTGCGCCCCAACCACCTTGGGCACATGTCCTCAGGACCTCTTGAGGCTGTGTCACGGGTGTGCGTGACAACCTTGGCAAAATAAACTTTCTAAATAAACTGAGACCTGTCTCAAATGTTCAGGGTTCACAGTTAGCTATGGGCATGATTTACATGTAGCTCTAACTTTCTGCCAGTCAATGCAAGGAGAGAAACAAAATTTAGTTATGCACACACCAAGACCACACGAGTTGGTCAGAAAAATACATTTCAAAATCAAAAGAGAATTTTCCTCTTAGAGAATATTAAAATATAAAAAAGGAAATATACATCCTAAACACTAATATATCTACTTTATTTTGAGACAGAGTTTCATTCTTGTTGCCCAGGCTGGAGTGCAATAACATACTTAATATTTAAAAGATTCCTGTAAATAAGAAAACATTTCCTTCAAAAAATTATCAGTATGAAATAATTTCATAGACATGAAAATACAAATTAATACCAAATAGCTGAAAAAAATTCTAACCTCACTAACAGTCAAACCACTGAACTAAATGAAGAAAACAGCTTTTGAAATACAGGTCCTTTTAGCAAGTAATTTGACCTGGAAACTTATTCTAGGAGAATACAGAAAGAAGCTTTTCCTTATCTCATTATTATCTCTTATGAAATTTGTCCCAGGTTAAGAACCTGAACACACACACACACACACACACACACACACACGCACACGCTCTCTAATAATATCTTACTATTTAATTAATGCACCATACTTAACCAGTTGCCTGCTTTTTTAGCGGGGAGGGGAGGAACTTAAGTTGCTTCAAAAATAAACTTAAAAAAGAAACAAAGTTTCAGCACTTTCAAGGGAATGTGGAATACATTTGGAAACTTTATGGTTTCTCAATATTTATTAAACAGAAAACATTGGAATGAACTTTCAAAGTGAGGAATGTTAGAAAACAAATTTTTGTACCTAACCATTTATATATGGAATCCAAAAATGTTCTTTACAGTTGGAATTTCAGCCTACTGAATTCCTGATAGACCAGATCACACCACTGGCTGATATTCACACATAGGAAACAGTCTCTTCTGACCCCAAGTCTTCACCTACCTCTGCTGGAAGTGGGGAAGGTATGCACGTGGAATTGTTATAATCACCACAACAATTTGAGTGTCTGTTGCAGGAAGTCAGGGACCCCAGACGGAGGGACTGGCTGAAGCCATGGCAGAAGAACGTGGATTGTGAAGATTTCATGGACATTTATTAGTTCCCCAAATTAATACTTTTGTAATTTCTTATGCCTGTCTTTACTGCAGTCTCTAAACATAAACTGTAAAGATTTCATGGACACTTATCACTTCCCCATTCAGTACCCTTGTGATTTCCTATGCCTGTCTTTACTTTAATCTCTTAATCCTGTCAGCTGAGGAGAATGTATGTCGCCTCAGGACCCTGTAATAATTGCATTAACTGCACAAATTGTACAGCATGTGTGTTTGAGCAATATGAAATGTGGGCACCCTGAAAAAAGAACAGGATAACAGCAATTGTTCAGGGAATAAGAGAGATAACCTTAAACTCTGACCACCGGTGAGCTGGGCAGAACAGAGCCATATTTCTCTTCTTTCAAAAGCAAATGGGAGAAATATCGCTGAATTCTTTTTCTCAGCATGGAACATCCCTGGGAAAGAGAATACGTGCCTGGAGGTATAGGCTTATAAACAGCCCCCCCAGGTGCACCTGTCTCCTGTGGTTGAGACTGTAGGGGTGAAATAGACCCCAGTCTCCCATAGTGCTCCCAGGCTTATTAGGAAGAGGAAATTCCTGCCAAATAAATTTTGATCAGACCGGTTGATCTCAAAACCCTGTCTCCTGATAAGATGTTATCAATGACAGTGGTGCCCGAAACTTCATTAGCAATTTTAATTTCGCTCCCGTCCTGTGGTCCTGTGATCTCACCCTGCCTCCACTTGCCTTGTGGTATTCTATTACCTTGTAAAGTACTTGATGTCTGTGACCCACACCTATTCGCACACTCCCTCCCCTTTTGAAACTCCCTAATAAAAACGTGCTGGTTTTTGTGGCTTGTGGGGCATCATGGAACGTACCGACATGTGATGTCTCCCCGGATGCCCAGCTTTAAAATTTCTCTCTTTTGTAGTCTGTCCCTTTATTTCTCAAGCTGGCCAACGCTTAAGGAAAATAGAAAAGAACCTACGTGAATATCGGGGCAGGTTCCCTGATAAGTGTCTGTTCAAAGAGTAATTATTTGCCATTTTTTCACATTGTTCAAGCTTAACTTCTGTAATTTTTTAATGTTCACCATATCAGCAGTTGTCTGGAATTTTTGGCAACTCGAGTCCCTGCCTTGGGTTTGACAGCACCTGGTGACTCACTCTCTTTGGGTAATTAATATTTTTGGTGCTTTCTATAAACATGAATTTTTCTCAGCATATGATGAACACTCCAACCCTCAGCTCTCCTGTTGCTTCTGAAGTCTTCGGTCCATCTTGTTGGCCACCACTGAGATAATCTGTGGCATGAAAGACATCATAAGAAGGTGATATGGCCAGGCTTTGTGTCTCCATCTAAATCTCATCTTCAATGACAATCCCTATAATCCCCATGTTTCAAGGGAGAGACCAAGTGGAGGTCATTGAATCCTGGGGGCTGTATCCCCCATGCTGTTCTCATGATAGTGAGTGAGATCTCACAAGATCTGATGGTTTTACAAGGGGCTCTTCCCCTTCTCCTTCCTGCTACCTTGTGAAGTAGGTGCCTTGCTTCCCCTTCACCTTCCGCCACGATTGTAAGTTTCCTGAGGCCTCACCAGCCATGCTGAACTGTGAGTCAATTAAACCTCTTTCCTTTATAAATTACCCAGTCTCAGGCAGCTCTTTATATAAAGCAGTAGGACAACAGACTAATACAGAAGGATTTTTAGCCACTATAATTTTATAAACATGAGGAAGGTTAAATATCACGTGAACATTTTAGGAAATGCTAGGAATCAATAAGTGAGGAAAGAACTGATTTTTAAAAATTGCAGAAAGGCTTTTACTGTTTCCTGAGCATCACTATTTTCTGCCTGGAAGCACCTAGGAAATCAAGCATTTGTTTGCTTTCTGTAAAAGGGGAGCTCCCAGTCCTTCCTTAAGATGGCAGGACATTCCTTTCCTGTGTCTCCTCCTTGGCTCATCCTCCTGTTTCCAAACAGGAAGGCCAGGCTCCTTACTGCCAGGGCCTGTTTCAGCTCGGTCATCTGGTCACCCACTCACCTGTCCCTACAGCTGCAATGGCAAAGCCATGTTGACTGAGGACAAGAGGCTCCAGGCGGAAGGTGGTGACAGGAGACAGAGCCAGCATCACATTTATTCTCAGCATGAGAATCACCTGGGGTATCGCAGGCCAGCCCCCGGGTGGGCCCTGAGAATCTACATTTCTGTCAAGTTCCTAGCTGCTGCTGCTCCTGGTGGAGGCACCGCCCTTTGAGAAGTTTTCATAGATGTGAGATCTCCCAGTGCTCTGGGCTTAGGAGTTTATGACGTCTTCTGTTTTGCTTTACTTTCTTCCTCTGCCCTCATCCCTGGCACTGGGGTGGGAACAATGCCCTGTTCACTCCAGGCCTGGGCAGTGAGCCAGGAGTGTTCGTGGGCTCAGGTCCTCCTGGGATACTTGTCCTCCTGCCTGGGGTGGGCTCCTGCTTGGGCCTAGACCTGGCCAGTGGCCTGAGGAGGAAAGCTAGAAAGCCTCGGGGCAGCTGTTCCAGCAGTGGAACCCAGTAACCCAGGAGGAGGTGCTGTTTTCAAAGGTATCGCTGCGTCCGACGGGGTGGAGGCCTGGACCGCACAGCAGTCACTGCCGTGCAGTGGCTGGAAGCCACGTTATTGATGGTTCCTCCAGGAGAGGCAAAGCTTTCTGTATTTTAAGCCTCTTTCAGTAAGGACTTTTTTCTTTTAGCTGAAGTGTCATAACTGTACAAAAAATGTCCATGAAAATTGTATGTAATACAATCAGTTGAATGAACTTTTTTTTTTTTGCAGATACTTAAAAGCATAGTTGAACATAAAGATGAGCTGTGTATTTTTTTTTTCAAACAGAAAATATTAAAAATGGGTGGACTTTCCCTTGGGCTTCAGGTAGCACATGTCCTGGGAGATGCTAAACGCGTGCACTGTGTCCCCCTGAGGGGGGTGGCAGGTAGAGTCCTGCTTGTCCTTGACCCCTCGTGCCAGCCCCAGTTACGCCGTGCATGCTGCATAGACACAGGCAGGAGTGTTTTACATTCTGAATATTTCCGTTCCGTTCCCACATAGATAGGTTATAAAAGGAAGCGTATTTCAGTTCTCTTCTTTCCTTAGGAAAAATAGAAACTTTTCTCACTCTCAGAAATGCACTGGAATTTACCCATTTTACTTCCCTCTCCATGGCAATGAATCTGTGCTGATCCCAATTAAAGTCTGACAAAGACCAGAGCTGCTGTGTGAGACACTAATTTCATGTTTGAACTTATTATGGCTTTCCACTGACATCCTCTTCCTGGCGCCATCTGTCCTGCACGTGAGAAGCGGGAGCTTGCCTGTGACGGTGACTTGACTCAGAGATGTGCCAGGTGGCCCCTCCCGGAGGGGATCAGTGGGCAAGGGCCTCTGGCTGGAGCCGGGTGGATGGTGGTGTCACTCAGGCATGGGGCAGCAAAGGCTCTGGTGAGACTTGAAAGCTGGGGTGGGACATTTTGTTTGTGAGAAGCCTGGACAAGAGGACGAGGTGCACACCATGTCAGTCACGGATTTGTGAACTCACAGGAGAGGGTTGGATAGGGCGTGTGAACGTGAGCCCGCGGTGTAGACGATGTGAAGCTGTGGTAACGGGTGGGCTTGTGATGGCACCCGCTGCTCGCAGGAGAGGGTTGGATAGGGCATGTGAACGTGAGCCTGCAATGTAGACGATGCGAAGTCGTGGTAACGGGTGGGCTTGTGACGGCACCCGCTGCTTGCAGCCTAACTCGAGGCCACACCACGTTTCCTTTGCTCTTGCCCTGCCCTCTCCTCTCCAAGGTGGCAAAGCCACCGCCCCCTTTCCAGGCTCTGCTGCAGGAGGGCTGCCCAGAGAGAACCCTGGGCCTGAGAGGTAAATGGAAGTCACGTAGGGGAGTCTCTGGGAAGCTCTGGGTTTCCAATAACAGGGATAGACGTAGCTCACACCACTGCAGCTCCCTCCTTCCTCTCTTGATGTGGAGTTAGTGGCTGGATACCTGGCAACCTCCTTGCAACCAAGAGGACTTAAAGTCAACCCAATAAGGATGGCAGAGTGAAAAGATGAAGAAAGCCTTTGTCTTCAGTGGCAGAACTCAGCGGTCAGCCAGGACTCACCACCGTCCTCCTCGGGAAGTCTCGCTATGAGAACAAACCAGCTTTGCTTGTTCAAATGATTGTAATTCAGGTGTTTCATCATCTGCTTCCAAAATAAAGAGGCAGCACTGCCCATGATTATGGTCCTGGGCTCCGGAGTCTAAGTTGAATGAGTCTAAATCCAGCTCCACCACTGACTGCCCTTGGACCCACATGCATTCCCACCCTCTGAGCCCCCAATTCCTCCCCTGTGAGTGGGGGAGACTCTCAGCCCTGCCGGTAGGCGTGCAGGTAAGAGGTAGGAAGGTTAACGCAGGTGAGGCGCTGTCACAGAGCAGGGCTATGGACCCGTGAGTGTAAAAACACAATCGCCACCGCAACGTCCACCTGGGGAGTCAATGCAGGAGGCTCCAGCAGAGGAGGGAACAGCGTTCAGGAACTGAAGCCCGTTGGGAACACCATGGGAACTGAGAAGCGCTCACAGCATTGTCATTACATTGTTACTCCCAAATCTGAAACTTACTGGCTGCCACGGTGACGCTCAGAGGAAATGCTCACTGGAGCGCTTTGGAGTTCAGAGTTTTGGATTAGGGATGTTCACTTGGCAAGTATGTAATGCAAATGTCCCCCATTCCAAAAAAATTCCAAATCTGAAACACGTCTAATGCCAAGCATTTCAGAAGAGGGATACTTAGCCTGCAGCATAAATCCACTTTACAGACAAAGCCAAGACACACCAAGGTCCCATCACCGCCCAACGTCACACAGGAGATGAGGCCAAGACATGCTGAGGTCCCGTCACTACCCAATGTCACACAAGAGATGAGGCCAAGATACACCTAGGCTCCATCACTGCCCAACACCACACAGGTGATTTGGGGCATTTTGCTAAGAGGCTGGGAGTGAGGATACACTGTATAAGCAGAGGTGAGATCAGGAAGAACCTCCCAGCATTAGAATCTCAAGGTGACTTTTTAAATCTACTATTCTTTCTGCGATTCGCACATGGTTGGATCTGGGAATTCACTAAATCTTTAGAAGTGTGGAGCTTCTGCTGTGTAAGTCCTGAGTTCTTCCATTTTCTGAGGACCGCAGCTTTGGGGTCTGCCCACCTCCCTGTTCTGCCATCGCCAGGATTGTACACTGGGACTCTGATGGTCACCATCAATAACTGCGCAGCTCAGAAAAAATGGATGGAAAATGCTCCTGTAATTCCACCAGCTAACAGCAATCAATTTCATTCAGAAAAATCCAACTAAAATAAAAAGCCATTAACCAAAAACTAAACATTAGATAATACATAGTGGTAGTAACTTGTCAGAAGCCTGGTTTGAATTTTGAACTCATGACTTTAAGGTAAGTTTGCTCCCCAAAAGTTTCAACAATGTCATATATCAAAAAAAAAAAAAAAAAAAAAAGACATCAGAGTCCTAGAGACACACCGGTGAATTGCTTTGAAGTTGTTGCCTCAGGAGACCTAACAACAGCTGAAAATCCAGAAGCTGTACAAAAAGGACCAAGGAATTTGAGCACACTCAGCACTTCTGAACAGAAAGAAAACAATGGAAGCAAAGTAAAGGCAAATGAAAGCCAGGGAAAGGATTGGCTGCTCCGCCATCCACAAAAGGACAATCTCCCCGCAAAACCACCAAGAAGTCAAGAAGAAAAATACCAACAAATAACCGGGGACAAATGGCCAAGGGTGTGCAGGAGGGTTAGCAGAACACAGCGCTAAAAGGTCCCAGGATCATGTGGGAAGATGATGAACCCACGGGTGGTAAGAGTGATGCAGACGGAAGGACCTGAGATGTTCACAGAAAGCCCAGGTCTGTGGCAAGGCGGTGGGAAGACTGTAAGCTGGTCCGATGACTGTGTCCCTCTCACTGTGTGACGTCACTTGTACCCTTGGAAAGGCAATGAGAAGGTTTTTTATGTGATTATATGGAAAGAGCTCCAGGATCTATTTTTTTGAGAAGATGATATGGGGACACAAAAACGCACGGAGGGATGACGCTGTGAGGACACAAGGAGAAGATGGGGTTTGCATGCCAGGGAGAGGGGCCTCAGCAGGATTCAGCTCTGCCATACCTTGGTCTTGAACTGCAGCCTCCAGGACATGGGAGAATCAACGTCCGTTGTTTAAGCCGCCCAGTCTGGGCTCCTTAGTTAGGGCTGCCCAAGCTGACTCTACAGGGAGCATTTCAGTTCTGCAAACAACGCTAAATGTGACTCACACTGCTTGGAAGCACAGCTGGGGGTAGCCAGGCTCCTTCCTCCCAGTCAGCACCGGTGAGGGTCTGTGTTGTCCCCTAAAGAGACAACCTTCTAAGGAGATTGGTGGACAACAGACAGCAAGGAACAGGGTCCCTTCCTCCCTGCCGGCCTCTCAGATGGGCTCTGGGAACATGAGGCTGACCCCGACGCACACCCTGAAGATGTTCCCCTTTAAAAGCCCACTCTGGTCTCTGCTTGAAAGACAAGGCCAGCCCCGTCTGGGGATCAGTTCTGCCGTCCAGAGTGGAGGCACCGCTGAACTCTTACACGGGACGACGTCCCTGCAGATCAGAAACGTCTTTGGAAGCACACACAGCACAGCTGATCTGATGCCGAATCCGGACTTGCGGCGGAGTCTCCAAACGAATTCTGGACCTCAGATGTTTGTTTTCCCCACAGATCCAGCAGCTTAAGATTATCTCAGGCCCTGAACTTTTCAATTCACAAGTGAAATTCTATGCGGTTACTGAATTGAAGCTGAACTGTTTTATTCACTGGATTTCTTTTAAATGCTGTGACGTGCAGGAACTGCTGGGAGGCCACCATGGATGGCCCTCGGGAGCTTGTCTTTTAGGGATGTAACGAAGGAGCACAGACACTGCGGGATCTCTAGTAAAAGGACATGATTAGTGCCATAATTGACAAAAATAAAATGCAGACGGCTCCACGAGTGTTCCTCGGGGTATGTTTATGGACCACCAAAGCCCTGCCCTGCAGATCCAGAGGCCCCCAGATGTGGGAGCAGCTGTCCTCCAAACAGGACTCAATTTTCTACCCAGGGACTGTGCGGTGCCGGCCTGGGGCAGGGAGTCCTTCCCCCCCGTCTAAGGCACAGCTCCACAGCCCCATCCGGCCCTGAGATCTGGCCCGCCTTGGGGCTCCGTGTGTCTGCGTGGGGGCATGGCTGGGGCTGCGTGAAGTCAGCAGTGGCTCGGCCGGCGTGAGGCCGGCAAATCCCCCGTCTGTGCTGTGAGGCGCGGGGTGGGAAGTGGGACGGTGACCCCGTGACGCTGTTCTCTGTCGTGTGTCTTGGTCCTTCCATCCCCACATCCTGCGCCCCAGCAGAAGCCAGACAAGCAAATCCAAATTCAACGTGTGTGTGAGGGAGCTACATCTTCATGCTGTGGGCCCCTGGCAGGACCATGGGCCCGGACCACCAGAGGGGGGCCTTTTCCTCACTCCCGCCCCCCAGAACTTATCATACGCGTGGCGTGAAAGCTCCCAGGTCCCAGGAGATGCCGCACGGGCAGTGCCGTCTGCAGGTTCCCAGCCTGGGTGTGACCCCAGTGCTGCTGGTTCTGACCAGTGAGTCTCCAGCTGCCCCTGGTCCTTAGTTTATGTGGCTGACGTGAAGAGCAAAGGGTAATGCATTTAAGTTACTTTAAAACATATACATCTGTCACCCAGGTAAAAAGCTGCATCCCTTTAGCAATGTAGAGCTACTCCCTAATTTTCATGCCAAAATGCATGATATCATATCATATAATAGCCTCTTGATATCCCATGAGGCTATTAAAGAGAATAAATGGCTGTTGTTTGCTAATTAACCTGATTCATTTATTTAGAACCACTTGGCGCGTGTAATTTGAAAGTTTACACAGCAGGTCACTGCCGTCTCCTGATCCTGAAAACTCATTCTCCCTCTTTCTGCTGAAAAAGAAGCTCCTCCACTCAGCTCCCAGGTTCTGCTGGTGACTTTACAGGCGTCCCCTTAAATCCTTGCAATGGCCACATGAGGAAACCTGTGCGTCCTGCTTCACTGAGGAGAAAACCAAGACGTAAGGAAGTAAAGGATCTGCTGATGGCCGGGGGCCCAGCTTCCCGGGCATGGTGATGACCCAGCACCCGTGCGTGAGGCTCTGACTGGCCTTGGCCCCAGCACTGTGGATCCCGTGCTCTGAGCAAAAGGAGGTCCCCCAGGCCCCTGTGGGTGTGATGCCCTGGGCCCCGGCTGCTGCACACCTGCCAGCTTCCCCATGCACTCAGCTGTTTCGGCTTTCAGCAAAACTACCACAAGGCATATTTCAACACAGAAGACACAGCTTGAAGAAACAGAACAAGCATCAGAACCAGACTGTTATACGGCAGGATGCTGGTGCATCAAACCCAACTGGGAAAAATGGGCGAAAGGTCTGAGTGGACCCCACCGAAGAGGACACTCAGATGCCAAGCGTGGAAACCAAAGATGCTCCACACCACGTGCCACCCGAGGATTCCAAATTAAAACAAGTGTGCAAACCAGAGACACCCCAAATCACCTGCCCCCGAGTATTCCAAATTAAAACAAGTGTGCAAACCAGAGACGCCCCAAATCACCTGCCCCCGAGTATTCCAAATTAAAACAAGTGTGCAAACCAGAGACGCCCCATATCAGCTGCCGAGTATTCCAAATTAAAACAAGTGTGCAAACCAGATGCCCCATATCACCTGCCACCCGAGTATTCCAAATTAAAACAAGTGTGCAAACCAGAGACGCCCCAAATCACCTGCCCCCGAGTATTCCAAATTAAAACAAGTGTGCAAACCAGATGCCCCATATCACCTGCCGCCCGAGTATTCCAAATTAAAACAAGTGTGCAAACCAGAGACGCCCCATATCAGCTGCCCCCGAGTATTCCAAATTAAAACAAGTGTGCAAACCAGATGCCCCATATCACCTGCCGCCCGAGTATTCCAAATTAAAACAAGTGTGCAAACCAGATGCCCCATATCACCTGCCGCCCGAGTATTCCAAATTAAAACAAGTGTGCAAACCAGAGACGCCCCATATCAGCTGCCCCCGAGTATTCCAAATTAAAACAAGTGTGCAAACCAGATGCCCCATATCACCTGCCGCCCGAGTATTCCAAATTAAAACAAGTGTGCAAACCAGAGATGCCCCATATCACCTGCCGCCCGAGTATTCCAAATTAAAACAAGTGTGCAAACCAGAGACGCTCCATATCACCTGCCCCCGAGTATTCCAAATTAAAACAAGTGTGCAAACCAGATGCCCCATATCACCTGCCGCCCGAGTATTCCAAATTAAAACAAGTGTGCAAACCAGAGATGCCCCATATCACCTGCCCCCAAGTATTCCAAATTAAAACAAGTGTGCAAACCAGAGATGCCCCATATCACCTGCCCCCGAGTATTCCAAATTAAAACAAGTGTGCAAACCAGATGCCCCATATCACCTGCCGCCCAAGTATTCCAAATTAAAACAAGTGTGCAAACCAGACGCCCCATATCACCTCCCGCCCGAGTATTCCAAATTAAAACAACAACAAGACACCACCACACCCCGAATAGAACGGCCAGAATCCAGACCCCAACAGTACCACACGCCGGCCAGGACGCGGAGCCTCAGGAACTCTTTCATTACCCGTGGGAGTGCAAAGCGGTGCAGCCACTTTGGAAGACAGTTTCGTGGTTTCTTACAAAACTAGGCACTCACCATGCAGTCCAGCAATCACGCCCCCAGGTATTCACCCAAAGAAGCTCAAAACTTACATCCACACATCAACCCGCACACAGATGTGTATAGCAACATTATTCACAATTGCCCAAACTTGGAAGATGTCCTTCAGGAGGTGAGTAAACCGTTACATCAGGCAGTGGAATATTATTCAGTGCTAAAATGAAATGAGCTCCCAAGCCATGAAAAAGCCTTCACACTCTTTGAATCCATGGGTCATTCTGGAAAAGGCAGAACTACAAAGGTAGCGAAAGAGTCAGTGTTTGCCAGGGGTTGGGGGCA
This sequence comes from Homo sapiens, assembly GCF_000001405.40. Classification (NCBI taxonomy): domain Eukaryota; kingdom Metazoa; phylum Chordata; class Mammalia; order Primates; family Hominidae; genus Homo; species Homo sapiens. Next base: position 1,520,596 of record NC_000008.11, on the reverse strand, counting down.
GGGAGGGATGAATAGGGGGAGCACGCAGGATTTTTAGGGCAAGGAAACTGCTCTGTGTGAGGTGGCAGTGGGGAGTCCACACCATTAAACACTCGTCCAAACCCACAGGGTGGACCATGCCAAGCGTGACCCCTGACGTGAAGGATGAAGGATGGCTTTAGTCACTAACACATCAATCCTGGCTCATCAATTGTGACAGATGCACCACGCCAGTGCGAGGGGTGAAGAACACGGGAAACCACTCGGAGTGAACCTCCTCCTGCTCCCCAAATACTTTCTGGGTTCCCCGATTGCATCGCTCCCCTCCGTGTGCCCCAGCGTTTTCCCATCTTCTTCCCTCTGTGAACCATGAGCTCCGGGGTGGGGGCCTGCAGCTGTTCTTCTCCTCAGCCATTGTGGACACCCCATCGATAGCTGATGAACCATTGATCTCGTCAGATAATCACTAACATGTTCATCAGGTGTATAGCCCATGGTATGTTGGGAAGCAGAGATGGGGACAGCGTGCCCAGCACTCCAGGGGCAGAGAGAGCTCTCAGTGGAGAAGGCCCCTCCTTCACATGCAGCCAACAGCGATGGCCCACACCTCCTGCTCCTGCGAAGCAGCTGGGAGCTCCTCCTCCTCCTGCAGACTGGAAACCGAGGCTCCCAGGGCAGGTGTGGGAGGATAGACCCAAACCCAGCCACGCCCCTTTGGTCTAGGATCCCCACCCCACCCATGCTCCCCTGCTCTGTGCCCCCAAAGGAAGCCATGGGCGGCCCTGCCGGGGCCATCACCTGCTGAGCACAAAACCCACTGTGACAGGCAGCACAGGGCCAGGTCCCCAGGATGCTGACATCCCAGCTGGGCCAGGCCCGCAGGCTGGCTTCTTACAGGCAGGCAAGTGCATACGGATCCCAGGCCCACAATGAGTTCTGGACTTTTCTTCTGGGGTCTGGAACATTTAATCTAGTTTAGGCAAGAGGTGGTGTCCATGGGGAAGGTGCATGGGGAGAGCCAGGCTCAGGGTCGTCAGAACCGTTAAACAAGGGGATCAGGGTCAGAGAATGCAGCTTGTGCCTCTCTAACGAAAGTCTCTTCCTGGAGAGGAAATAAAGTATTGACTTGAAAAGAGAGCTTTATCAGTTTCATATTCTATTTTCTGATGGATCCAACCTTGAATTGCAAAGGCCCTTTCAGCAGCAGGTTAATGAACTTGTCGTGCAAAACACTGAATTTCGGGCAGTCAGTGAACCTGGAGCTACTGTTTGGCACACAAAGCACATGTTTAGATTTTTTTTTTAAGATTTCCAAGTAGACAAGGGTTCTATGCTTTTTGGTTTTCAGGCGTAGGATGGGACATGCCGCTGCGTAAAGCTGAGCTAACTTTGGTGTTCTTCACTTTCCAGGACAGCGTTGCTCATTTTCCAGAAGCCCCTTCTGTTTCTTCCCAATTGCAGCTGAAATATTCTTCCCTTCTGACACCTTAGCACATCACATGTGAAAGCCAAGCCTTCGTATCCCTTCCTGGACTGCCAGCTCCTTCACGGCAGGGACCACAGGCTCCTATCTGTGGCTCGTTGTTGAGATCCTGGCACTCAAAATTTCGGAATTAGCTGGAGGACACACGGTCGGGAGGGCCTGGGATGGACAGGACCCTCCAAGCAGAGTTGGTCTCATCTTAGCCACGCAGAGGGAGAAGCACGGGCACTGGCGTGAGAATGTGTTTTACTAAATATCCAGATGCCGCTCAGTATCCACTGAATGCTGATGTGCACACACATACAATCATTTCCAGTAGCCAAAGACAGTGACTAGAATGCAAATATCTAACATGGGTTCGATATGGTTTGCAGAATCACTGTACAATTTATATATTATCACAATATTTGGAGCCTGAGAAAAACAAATCTCAAAGACTCCATAATTTACTCAAGAACCATTGTCCATGGCAGGGAGAACCAAATTTATATGACTTGAGCTCAAGTCTACTAGGAACATAAGGGTGTCTGGGCCGAAATCACCACGTGGTCATTTATTAGCTGATCAAGGTTGGATGAGACTCAATTTCTTCATCTAAAAACTGGACAGTCACCACAGCCATGCTCTTATGAAACTCAAACGTTATATAAATGTCAGCTTTGTTCTATGTGCCTTGTAAATGCACAAGCATACATGAAGTGACTTGCTTTTTCCCTTCATAATTTGTATTTAAAAGTCCATCTTAAACCTCCACTCGGTTTGCCACAGCCACAGAACCGACAATCTGAAGACAAAAACAAACAACAAAACCCATAAGAGCTAATGTGCTGTGTCCTGGCAGATGAGGATGAAGCAGACAGATTTCATTAGGGCCAGAATGCAATTTGGGAGCAGTCGCCATTCCAGTTAGGGCTGAACGCTAGCAAACTCGATTCCGTGTCCAATTGGGAGGCTAAATGGTACGGACAAGTCACATAACACAGAAGCGTAACACTCAATAACCTAGACATGCCCACAGACTGTTCCAAATAAGGGCTGTCTGAGATGCACCAGACTCCATCATCCGGCAGCAGCCATCAGTTTTAATCACTTTTAAATTTTTCTACAGATGTCATTTCAACAAAATAGTCCACAAATCTGCCTTGAGTGAAATTCAGTTAGTGTGTGTTACTGACGATGAGCACTTGCTCCAGAAAGTTCCCAGGTCCAAACAACATACCGTGGGGGATGGTTATTTTGTGCAAGGCTCCCCAGTCTCTGTCTTATTCCATGACCCTGCCCCCAGGGCCACACTATCATGCCAATGTCTTGTTTTTGGAAAATAAACACACATTTGTGATCCCTAATCCAACAAGCAGCTGGACATCGACTTCTTGCCTATTTCCACCACACCAAAACTCCAAGCGTAACTGCAGAGAGGCTTGCAAATGCTGCTGCCTGCCACAGGCAGGGCTCTCCTAGCCAGAAACGGGAGGCCCTTCTGCTGTGTGGTGCATTTTAGCAGGTGTGTGCCTGCATTCGGATGGAGGGGCCCCTTGCTGGTGGATGGGGAGAGCACTGACTCGGAGGAGAGCTTCTCAGTTTTCCAAAGAGGAGCGGCTCTTCTGCTCTCTCTCCCTGAGGATGCACAGCTCGGTGGAGGAAACGAGGCCAGGGTGGGAGGCTCTCAGTGGAGCAGGGGGTGGGGAAACGCCCTGAGACGTAAGGTGTTGCAGGACCAAGCACTGGGCGCCCAGGGGTGCCCCTCACCACGGCCCCTCCCTCATGGCGTGCTCTCTGCTCCTCCTGGGCTCCACATCCGTTCTTCCATCCCTGCCTAGGTCTGGCCACTCCAGGTCTAACTCTTCAGGGTCCTTTTTCCAAGCTCCTGACCCCACAGAGGGCTTGACTTCTTCCTCCCCACAGCTGCCAGAACTCACTTTCTAACATCACCCCTTTCAAAAGACAGAATGAAGCACTACGTCCAGGACTCGCCCTCCACCCACAGCCATGGGGGTCCCCAGCTCATGTCTTCAACCTGGGGAATGAAGACTTGGACCTTGAGGCTGCGGCCTTCAAGATGGGGTGATTCTACTGAACCTCGATTCCTGGTGACCGCGGAGGTGAGAAAGCCTTCCTCACCTCTGCACCCTGGGGCTGTTGGGGACTGGCAGGCTCTCGCTGCCTGAGACAGTGGATGAGGTGCTTCATTTTTTATGTATTTTATTGTTTCAAGCAAACAGAACAAAACATATCTCCTCATCCTCTTGAAGCTGTAGGGAGTTTCACCTGCTTAAAACTAATTTCAGCACAAAAAAAGGCACAAGCCTGATTGTGCCTTTCACTCATTCATGCACTCACTCACTCACTGATTCACTCACTCATTCGTGTACTCTTTCACTCAGTCACCCACTCATTTTCTCAGTCACTCACTCTTTCACTCAGTCACCCACTCATTCACTCAGTCACTCACTCTTTCACTCAGTCACCCACTCATTCACTCAGTCACTCACTCACTCATTCACTCCTTCCCTCCCTGATTCACTCACTCATTCATGCACTCATTCACTCACTCATTCACGCCCTCCCTCCCTCATTCACTCACTCATTCATGCACTCACTCACTCACTGACTGATTCATGAACTCATTCACTCACTCATTCATGTACTCTTTCACTCAGTCACCCACTCATTCACTCAGTCACTCTTTCCCTCAGTCACCCACTCATTCAGTCACTCACTCTTTCACTCAGTCACCCACTCATTCACTCAGTCACTCACTCACTCATTCACTCCCTCCCTTATTCACTCACTCATTCATGAACTCATTCACTCCCTCCCTCCCTCATTCACTCACTCATTCATGCACTCATTCAGTCACTCATTTGTGTGCTCTTTCACTCACTCATTTACTCAGTAACTCACTCATTCACTCACTCATTCATGCACACATTCACTCATTCTCACTCAGTAACTCACTTGGTCACTCATCCAATCACTCACTCACTCATTCCCTCCCTCTTTCCTTTCCTCACTCAGTCACTCATTCACTCAGTCACTCATTCATGCACTCATTCATGTACTTTTTTACTCACCCACTCACTCATTCACTCAGTTACTCATTCACTCACTCATTCATGCACTCACTCACTCATTCTCACTCAGTAACTCAGTCACTCATCCAGTCATTCACTCACTCGATCATTCCCTCCTGCACTCATTCACTCACTCATCCATTAAGGGAACTGCACATTGTAATAAGCCCATCCCTCTGTGAGATGTGGAGGAAAAGGGAAAGGAATTAAAGAGTCCATAGCACAGTACAGAGGGAATGGGAGCAGGGAACAGACTGGAGGGGCAGACAGGTCAGGTGTGTTGTATGTGTTGTATGTTTGTGCATGTGTGTGCATACAAGTGTGTGAGTGTGCCTATCTGTGCATGTGTTTGTGTGTCTGCATATTTGTGCATGTTGTGTGTGTCAACATGTGTATGTGTATATTTCATGTCTGCATGTGTGTGTGCTTGTGTCTGCATGTGTGTGTGCATGCACGTGTGTCTGCATATTTTTGCATGTCTGCAATTGTATTTTCATGTCTGCTCGTGTTTGTGTGCATCTGCATGTGTGTCTGCATGTGCATGCACCTGTGTGTGTGTGTGCACATTTCTGTCTGCATATTTTTGCATGTCTACAATTGTTTTCATGTCTGCACGTGTGTGTGCATGTGTCTGCGTGTGTGTGTGCACATCTGTGTGCATGCCTGTGTGTTCATGTATGTGCATGTGTATGCTGACTGCCCTGTCTGTCTTAAGGGAAGGGAGAGGACTCCTTTTCTCTGTGCCCCTCCCAGGATGCCTCCATGATGGTTTCTCTGGCCCAGGTCCTTTTTCCCTTCAAAAGAAAGAAAGACACCTTGGCCCTGAAACTCAAGTGCAGGGTGGGTGTGCTCATCGGCTGCAAAAGAATCAATGCAACAACTCTCCGTGATTTCCAAGGCTGCCTTCCATGTCTCCTCCTTCCTTGTTTTCTCTTTGGTTGGATGCATCCATCCCATTTCAGGCCAAACATGCGTTTTCTGCATGTTGGTCTCCCTGCAGGGATCGGTATCCCTGCACGTTGGTCTCCCTGCACGTCGGTCTCCCTCCATGTCGGTCTCCCTCCACGTCAGTCTCTCTACACGTTGGTGTCCCTGCACGTCGGTCTCCCTGCGTGCTCCTGCCCGCTGGCTGTGCTCTTGTAGGGGCTCTTCCCCTCGTGGGGCTGGCTTTCATCTCCCCGGGGTCCTGCCATGCAGCTCTGTCAGACTCTGGGTGGCATCACGCTGAGCGCCACCCTCCGGACTCAGGCCGGCCTTCCTTTCCTGTCCTGCTGAGAGATGCAGCAGCTACATGGACTAGGAGCTTGGGCCTCCACCTGCAGCGTGTGCCCATCCTCACTGACTGTGGGACTCGTTCTGTCACGTGCTGTCCCCTCCTTTAGAATGGGGTGACAGCAGAGAGGCCACACAGCTGTGAAGGGATGAGTGACATAGGTGAGTATAAGCAAAGTTCTCTAGCGGCGCCTGGAGGTGAGAAACACCCATAAATGGCTGATAGAAGTTTCACACTCCTGACCACATGTGTAGCTCTTACTGAAATATTAACGCTATTCATATTATTTCCTTTTATATTCTCCAACACAATATTTTCTCGCTGTTCCTTGATACAGTAGCTGAATTTTATACAATTTCATTAAGTTTTAAAAGTGGAGCTTAAAACGTGCTCTGGGGTTCTGTGTTATGTGAAACAGAAAGCAGGAACCATGTGTGCCATTGAAAACACCTGGGCTGTTGGGGGTTACCCTTCGCTTCGCAGGATGCGGGAAGCCTTCTGGGAATAGTCGCATAAGAAAAAATGAGAGTTGCATTTAAATTCAGGCAGAAAGAGGACATTTGTACTGGAGAGAAAACATATCTCTAATTATGTACAATTCCTCTTTCCCGTCACTGTGAATTCCTAGATGTCTAATTGGGTGCAGGCTTTGCTTCACCTGGGGCTGCTCGTGTGGCCACAAGACGCCACCCAATGCCTGCCTAGCTCTTCTCCAGAGTGGTGGGCGCTCAGAAGTAAATTATTTAAAGCAAATCTGTGCCCCATATCACGTAAGATAACCCGGGAAGGGGAGGGGATGTGTGAGCTCCTGGTACCTTTCAGTTCAACATCTCAATCACATTGCGTAGGCAGCAGGGTTTCAGTAAATGCTGAAATGGATGGATGAATGAAGGAGGGAAGGAAGGCAAGGATGGGTCTGAGGTTCGACCGCCATTGTCTGGAAGAAGGATGTTTCGTGTTGGACCTTGGACTGTACGAACGTGACCATGGGTGAAACTGGGGGAAGGGTGCCCAGGATTTCTCTGTATTATTTTTGTAACTTACACATCTATAATTGTTTATTAAAAAGTGTACTTTTAGGGAATTGCATATGATTAGGAAGCTTTTACTGAGAAAAGCTGCAGTTCCCAACGAGCTTACATACACGACCAGGAGGGCTTAGCAAGGTCTCACCTCAATTTTTAGGTTAGAAATTCAATGCTGCAATTTTCCAGGCAGTATTGTCTCTGGGAGATGGGCAGGTGCTATGCCACAGAGGCAAACCACTTGCCACTGATGGGGGTGACGGCCCCTCTGAGCTGGGCTGTGCTTGCACCGCTCCCACCAGCTGTTCCCAGGGAAAGGCGGACGTGTATCCCACCGAGCCTCCGTGGGGCTGGCCTGTGGCCTCTCCCTTCCTCCTCTGCACTGGGAAAGGCAGTAGCGTATCCCACCGAGCCTCCCTGGAGCTGGCCTGTGGCCTCTCCCGTCCTCCCTTGCACTGGGAAAGGCAGACGCTTATCCCACCGAGCCTCCCTGGAGCTGGCCTGTGGCCTCTCTCGTCTTGCCCTGCACTGGGAAAGGCAGATGCTTATCCCACTGAGCCTCCCTGGAGCTGGCCTGTGGCCTCTTCCGTCCTCCCTTGCACTGGGAAAGGCAGACGCTTATCCCACCGAGCCTCCCTGGAGCTGGCCTGTGGCCTCTCCCGTCTTGCCCTGCACTGGGAAAGGCAGATGCTTATCCCACTGAGCCTCCCTGGAGCTGGCCTGTGGCCTCTTCCATCCTCCTCTGCACTGGGAAAGGCAGATGCTTATCCCACTGATCCTCCCAGGGCCTGGCCTGTGGCCTCTCCCATCTTTCTCCGCTGTGGCCTGGGACACCAACGTGCACACACAGATGGCACAGGGTGGCGGTGCGACCATGACCCGGGGCCTCACTTTCCAGGATCAGGGTCATTCGGAAGACAAATTAGAAACCTAGAGTGTGACCTGTCTTTAGAAAATGTTGGCAGTAGTCACCCAGTTTGTCTAATTAACCTTTAGATTGATAAGTCAAAGCTGCGAAGTCTGAGATCTCTACTCCATGGACACAGCGAGCTGGGGTACTCACGCATTTGCTGTCAGCTGAACCTCCTAGAATTCTCAGCAAGAAGCGTGCTTGGCTAAAACAACTGCCATGTTGTTTGCTTTTAACAGACAGCCTCAGTGCAGGCATTTCGCTGCTGCGGCAGGCTGCTGTGAGGTGTTGGCCTCTCTCGGGGGAGTGCGTCAGTCACACGTGCAACCCGAGGGTCTTCTGGGCTGTGATTTTCCCATGCTAGACTCCAGAGCAGGAATGCACCGAGGTCAGTGCGGAACTGCCACACCCACGGCTGACACCCACGCTGGCCCCGTCCCTATGCCGCCGACGATTTCCACCATTTGTCTGAACCGTGATCACTAGCTGGCGATTTCTGCTTATGAAACCGTGTGAAATAAACAACTTTGATCATGTTGTCAAGGTAAGTGTAATAACATTCATGGGTTATTTTTAAGTTTATGGGACATTTGTTTCTTTGAAATTTATGGGGAGGAGCACACATTCTTCTACAATGGACATCTGTTTGCTAGCAACAGGCTTTCTGCAACGTGAGTGCACTCTAACCCAGCTGTTCCCAGCAGGGCTTCTCCCACTGAACTGTGGACCAGACGCGTTAGGGAGGCCGTCGGCCCTCAGCCCTGCCTACCTGGGCTGATGCGTCACAGGGCTGAGGAACACCGTTCTCAGGGAGACTTCTGAAGATTGTTAGTCAGATGTGTAATTACTGCTAACTGCAGCTAGTATTCATCCAATACCAAACCCGAGTGGTGGTAGAAAGTGCACATAAAACACGCACGCTTTTTGTCAGGCTCTGATAAGACTTGGAGCCTAATGTTTCTCTTTCCAATTCCTAAACAGATTTTGGGGTTCACCTTTGCTCATGTGACCTACTGATTGTCTTACACTAGACAGCCCTTACGTCTATGGAAGATGGTCATCTACTGATTGTCCTACACTAGACAGACCTTACGTCCATGGAAGATGGTCATCTATTGATTGTCTTACACTAGACAGCACTTACGTCCATGGAAGATGGTCATCTATTGATTGTCCTACACTAGACAGCCCTTACGTCCATGGAAGATGGTCATCTACTGATTGTCCTACACTAGACAGACCTTACGTCCATGGAAGATGGTCATCTATTGACTGTCTTACACTAGACAGCACTTACGTCCATGGAAGATGGTCATCTATTGACTGTCTTACACTAGACAGCACTTACGCCCATGGAAGATGGTCATCTATTGATTGTCCTACACTAGACAGCCCTTACGTCCATGGAAGATGGTCATCTACTGATTGTCCTACACTAGACAGCCCTTACGACCATGGAAGATGGTCATCTACTGATTGTCCTACACTAGACAGCCCTTACGTCCATGGAAGATGGTCATCTACTGATTGTCCTACACTAGACAGCCCTTACGTCCATGGTAGATGGTCATCTACTGATTGTCCTACACTAGACAGCCCTTACGTCCATGGAAGATGGTCATCTATTGACTGTCTTACACTAGACAGCACTTACGTCCATGGAAGATGGTCATCTATTGATTGTCCTACACTAGACAGCCCTTACATCCATGGAGGATGGTCACCCACTAGGGAAATTTATTTTCGGTTCCACAGTGTGGTGAAAATGACGATGCTTGTATTATAAGAAAGGTTTCAAGCTGAACTAACTGATGCCCTGGGGAGAACAAATACTGTTTGAGAAAATGGAACATTCTCACAGATTTATCTGGAGAAGCCTAACTCATTAGCAAAGGGAGATGTGCCAGATTGATTGAGCAAATTATCTTATGTGCAAGTTCCTTCTAGGTTTACTCCAAACACAATTCCTTATTAATTATGTAACACCGACCTCAGTTTCAGGTGTCAAATGCAAGGTTTGCCTTTTATTTGTTGAGTGGACCTCCTGGACTTGGACATATAATATTTTAGTTTCCTTGGGGAAGCAGTGTGGATACTCAAAAGGTCCTACAGGGTTTGGCTTGGTTCAGACCTAGACTGGCCACTCATTCACTAATGACCTTGGAGAAGTCACCACTCTCTCTGTGCCTCAGTTTCCTCACCTGCAGAATGAGAATGCGCGTCCTGTGACCTTCATGTTTGCTGTGGCGTTAAGCATATTGACCAAGGCACCAGAACGCAGGGAGCCCACGCAGAGTGACAGGTGGGAGGCAGTTCCTTTCCTTGTCCCTCCTTCGTCGTGTTCAACCCTTGGACCTGCCACAAAACTGGACCTTCCCATCCTTGACAGCACTTTCACGGAGTGGCCCAGGCATCACAAACTGATGACGTTTCTCAGCTCTTCAGAGGATGCAACAATACGTTCGTCACGCACTGCAGAGTTCCTCTGGAAGCCTGACATCTGGGGCAACGAGGCTGGCAAGGTCCCGACAGCGGACCTTCACTTCCTATGAGCCTGGAAGCCACACTTCACAGCCACAGGCTGACCTCCAAACACATCAGCAAGTTATCGCTGTTGTCCAGGGAAAGCCAGCCTGTTTCTATTTAATTTTCCATCTAAATCACAAATACCTCCCAGGGACAAATTCCGACTCCTTTTCGAATGCCCATTTGCACGGGAGCGTGCTTGTAATTTACAGGCAGTTAAAGGGGCAAATCCTTACAAAAAACTCTTCAGAATCTAAAATTACAGAAGTCTGTGTTTTCAGTTACTGCAATATGCAAATAAATTAGTTGTCATGGAAATCATGTTCGGGAAACACATGAAGTTAACGTGGACATCTGTCTGGAGTATTACACCGACTCCTCTCCGCGGCCGCGTCCTCCAGAGCTGCACTCCTGAAACCTCCTGAATGCACCTTTAAACCTGGACAGGTGATGCTGGGTTACCTGGTCACAGCGTATGAGCAATGATGACAATGATACTAATCATGGTAAAAACTGACATTGAACACTTGCTGTGAGCCACACCTTGCTCTAAGGTCTTATATTACCATATTTAATTATCTTAAAATTCCAACGAGGTAGGAAGGTTACGATCCCTTCTCTTTTTGTTAACAAACAAAGAATGAGAAGAACAGGAGAGGTGGGTGAATTGCTCAAGTTCCAGTGTATGTGCGGAGGCTTTGCCTGCAGAACCTGCCTCTGAGAACCCACGACACGCACTGCTTCCTGTTTCAAACACCGAGACAGCACAAAAGCGACTTCCTTTCTCTGCACCACCCTGATGGCTGCAAGGTATTGCTCCTGCCAAGGGCTTTCAAACTTTTTGGATTATATTCCACAATAAGACGTATATTTTACATCAGAACCTAACACACACACCCACACGCACACACCCAAAAAATGTTTCATTAGACATGTGCTCTTATTATCCAGAGTGTACTTTGGTATTTTCTAGTCTATACGGTTTTTTTTTTTTTTTTGGACGGAGTCTTGCTCTGTTGCCAGGCCGGAGCACAGAGGCGTAATATCAGCTCACTGCAATCTCTGCCTCCGGGGTTCAAGCAATTCTTCCGCCTCAGCCTCTCGAGTAGCTGGGATTACAGGCGCCCGCCACCATGCCCGGCTAATATTTTGTATTTTAGTAGAGACGGGGTTTTACAGCTTTAGGCAGGATGGTCTCGATCTCCTGACCTCGTGATCCGCCCGCCTCGGCCTCCCAAAGTGCTGAGATTACAGGCGTGAGCCACCGTGCCCGGCCTAGTCTATACTTCTCTGTTGTATTTTTGTTTCCATTTAAAAATTTGCTGGCAGTGACCAGTAACTTGAATTCACGGGTCATTAATGAGTTGCAGCCCATGGTTTAAAACTCAGTGCTCTAAAGAACTGCAGAACAGAAAACCATTGAGAATGTGGCAATATTAGATCCTTAACTACAAATGATCCCCTCTGGAGATCCTACGAATCCCCGGAGCCCGAGCCTGGCCCCGTCTTCCCCGTCTTCCCCGGGCGCTTAGTCCGCACTCATTTGCCTGCTCGGTGTTTTTAGGGAACGCCGTCAGCGCCTCCTGCGGGCACTGGGTTCATTTCCCTCCTGTGCGCAGCAGTTGTGGATTCCATTTTTCCTTCCAACTCCCCCGCCACGTTGAGCCTGCTACGTATGTCTGGGAGCTTCCAGGTCATTCTTACTGGCACATCCCACAGAGGAGAAAACACCAGCAATTGCTGTTTGAATGGATGTCGGCGCGCGTGGAGGCAGCAATGATCAACAGCGATGTGCGCGTGGTGGCGGGGGTTTGCAGGGGGTGGTGAGGGGTGGGGGGTGGTGGGCGTTTGCAGGGGGTGGCGGGGGTTTGCAGAGGGTGGCGGGGGTTTGCGGGGGGGGGTGGGGGTTTGCAGGGGGTGGTGAGGGGTGGGGGGGTGGGGGGTGGTGGGCGTTTGCAGGGGGTGGCGGGGGTTTGCGGGGGTTTGCGGGGGGTGGTGAGGGGTGGGGGGTGGTGGGCGTTTGCAGGGGGTGGCGGGGGTTTGCGGGGTATGGCAGGGGGCAGCCCGGGAGCAGGCACCGCCCTTCAGGAGGCCAGAATGGGACGCGTGATGTTTAGGAGAAAAGCTGTAAATGCACCCCAGAAATTCAGATGAAAAGCCCTGGCATCCTAAGTTCCACAAATGTTAGATGTGTCTAACTTTAAAGGTATCTGATGTGTTTGTGTGGAAATAAAATTTAAAAACGGGGTTGTTAAAATGCAGTGTGCCCTGGTGAGCTTTCATGTGATTAACTGACAATGACCCTCCCCTGCACCTCAGGGCCCCTTTCCTGTGCCACAGACTAGGCCTTTCATGTGACCACGTGTTTGATGTCACAGTGGGGAAGGAGCCTTCTCCTAAAATGTGTGGTCACGATGCTCCCATTGGGCAGTGCAGGAAGGTCAAGGCTGAAGCCTGAACCTCCCAGGAAGTGTGGTGGTGGAGGCTACAGGATGCCTGGGAGGGAGGGTGGTGGGTGGAGGGAGGGTGGTGGGTGAAGGAGGGTCGTGGGTGAAGGAGGAAGACTCGGTGGCTGAGGACCTGGGTGAACGAATGCCTGGGAGACAGGAGGGTGGACTGCTACCTTCTTTCTAGACAGAAGCTCAGCACATCACTGCTTCTGAGAGGTGACAGCATGCTGGCAGCCCTCACTCACTCCCGGCGCCTCCTCCGCCTCGGCGCCCACTCCGGCCGCACTTGAGGAGCCCTTCAGCCAGCCACTGCCCTGGGGGCTGGCCGAGGCCGGAGCCGGCTCCCTCTGCTTGCGGGGAGGCGTGGAGGGAGAGGTGTGGGCTCATGGGCCAGCGCGAGTTCTGGGTGGGCGCGGGCTCCGCGGCCCCGCACTTGGAGCGGCCGGCCAGCGCCAGCGGGGCAGTGAAGGGCTCAGCACCTGGGCCAGCAGCTGCGGAGGATGTGCTGGGTCCCCCAGCAGTGCTGGCCCACCGGCGCTGCACGCCAAATCTCCCCGGGCCTCAGCTGCCTCCCCGTGGGACAGGGCTCGGGACCTGCAGCCCGCCATGCCTGAGCCTCCCCCTCGCGGTGGGCTCCCGCGCGGCCCAAGCCTCCCTGATGGACGCTGCCCCCTGCTCCGCGGCGCCCGGTCCCATTGACCCTCCAAGGGCTGAGGAGTGCAGGCGCCTGGCAGGCAGCTCTGCCCGTGGCCCCAGCGCAGGATCCGCTAGGTGAAGCCAGCTGGGCTCCTGAGTCCGGTGGGGACTTGGAGAACTTTTATGTGTAGCTAGGAGATTGTAAATGCACCAATGAGAACTCTGTGTCTAGCAAAAGGTTTGTAGATGCACCAATCAGCACCCTGTATCTAGCTAATCTGGTGGGGACTTGGAGAACTTTTATGTCTAGCTAGAGGATTGTAAATGCACCAATCAGCACTCTGTGTCTAGCTCAAGGTTTGTAAATGCACCAATCTATGCTCTGTGTCTAGCTCATCTAGTGGGGACTTGGAAAACTTTTATGTCTAGATAGAGGATTGTAAATGCACCAATCAGCACTCTTTGTCTAGCTCAGGGATTGTAAATGCACCAATCAGCACCCTGTCAAAACAGACCAATCAGCTCTTTGTAAAACAGACCAATCAGCTCTCTGTAAAATGGACCAATCAGCAGGATGTGGGTGGGGCCAGATAAGGGAATAAAAGCAGTCTGCCTGAGCCGGCACTGGCAACCTGCTGAGATCGTCTTGGGCAGTGTGGATGCTTAATTTTTACGCTGTATGCACTAAATCTTGCTGTTGCTCACTCTTTGGGTCCGCACTCCTTTTATGAGCTGCAACACTCACCGCGAAGATCTGCAGCTTCACTCCTGAGGCCATTGAGACCACAAACCGACCAGAAGGAAGAAACTCCAAAAACGTCTGAACATTAAAAGGAACAAACTCCGGACACTCACCCAAAAGGTCCACAGCTTCATTCTTGACGTCAGTGAGACCAAGAACCTACAATGTAATACACTTCCGCTATTTCTATAAATTTCCCTGAAGAAAATAAGTATGGACGATAAAATGACAAGTATAGGTAGAGCTGGGTTTTTGTTTTTTGAAAGAACACACAAAAATAAACATCCCAAGGGGAATTCCTGTGAGACAAGATATGTATTAACATTAGAATGAGACATTGGTGCACTTAAATGCTGTGGAGATGATTAAAGCTATGCTAGCTGATGTTCTATTATATAAAAACATGTTCACAATCTATGTGCCTGCCAGGTGGAAGGCTCTAAGTATTATTTTAATATTCAGGTATTTCAAAATTACACAGTGTGTACATTTTCTCAGTGTTGTGCTGCATATATAATATGTGCTTAATATACTTTGATAATTTAATCTGCCAACTTTTTAAAATTTCATTTTGCATTCATTTATCAATGCAAAATTTGGGTCAATATAGCACTCTTCATAGATGCAAATAAATCACCAACTCTTTACAGCTGATTTAAATATAACATTCGGGAAAATGAAAAAATGCCATTCTTAGAAGTAACGTCATAATGAGCCAATGTTACAAAAGTTATTAAGAGAGCAATTTAATTCTAGTGTGTCTGAAGGTCTTCCCTAGAAACATTTCTTCTGGAAAAAGTGAGGTTTTTCTCTTTCAAGGTATTCGTTTTGAATGTGCTACATTAATTCATTTTATCAGTGACTTTAATTTTATGGAAAACTTCCTTATCCTCCTATATTTCACAGCCATTTTCCCCATCATAAAATTACTTTTCATACATTACACTCTATGAGCTTCAGAGAACGCAAATGCTCTTAAGAGGTAATGGCTAATAACACAAGTGTGGGCGGTTTTATTAATTCATCTGGCACTAATGGTATCTTAAGCTCTTCAGCCAATGCTACTCAGCTTTCCTTGGAGCTTTTGAAGACTGAGGGGAGTTGGAAAAAAAAGATTGATGCTTTGAAATAGGACCAGAAGCAAATGTCACTTCATTGCTTTATGACTTTAACCTATACTGTGCTGTAAAATGTCCCACAGCATTTTGGAAATGATAGTTACTCATTCACTATAATAGCATCAAGATCATTATGAAGTGTTTTTAATTTTAATTTGACCCAGTAGAATTATAGATCCATAAATTCGTGACTGGGAAGATCCCTTAAAAATCATCATTTAACCCTCTCAATTTAAAGATGAGGAGATTGGAACACTCAATTTGGAAAAACAAATGTCTAAAATAATGCTATTTGCTCCCAATGTTGTTATGATAGTGTTGGGAACATAACTCAGATATCCTTCCCTCCCTCTTTCCTTCCTTCTTCCTTCCTTTCTTTTTGTGTTTTTTGCTTTTTCTCTTAATTATCCTTTCATATGTTTTATATCAGGATTCTCAATCCTAGGGGTACATTAGAATGATAAAGGAATAATCCAGGAATCCCACTTCTGGGTATTTTTCTGAAGGGAATAAAATGGATGTGTGGAAGGGGTATCTGCTCTCTCGTGTTCGTTAAGATGCTGTTCACCACAGCCAACACGCAGAACCAACCTCAAGCCCATCAGCAGAGGCACAGACAAAGAAAATGTGGAATACCTACTCAGTCTTAAAAAGTGAGAAATCCTAGCATTTGCAACAACATAGATGAGCCTGGAGGACATCATGCTAAGTGGAACAAGCCAGGCACAGAAAGACAGGTGCCGCGTGACCTCACTTACACGTGGAATCTGAAAGCATAGAACTCAGAAGCAGAGGGTAGAACAGTGGTCAACAGAGAGAGGGTTGGGGGGAACTGGGAGGATGTTGGCGGAAGGGTGCAGCATTTCAGTTAGACAAGAGGAGTAAGTGACGAGGTCTATGGTACCACGTGGTGGCCACAGTTAAATGGTTTGTTTACTTGAAAACTGCTAAGAGATGAGATCTTAAATGTTCTTAAAAGCACAAGGTGATGATAAGGATGTGAGGTGGCAAGATGTTAACTAGCTTTGTTGACTTATCTCACAACGTATACCTGTATCAAAACATCACGTTGTATACTATACACACAATTTATATCCGTGAATATAACTTAATAAAGCTAGAAAAAATATTTTTAAAGTAAAACAAGAAGCGTTTCTTCCATTAAAAAAAAAAGCATCAGGTAAAGAACTTTTAAAGACGACAATGGCCAAGTCCTTTCTCAGACAAATACATCAGGTGGGGCCTGGGCACTGGTATGTTTTTAAACTTTCCCCAAGTGATCCTGACTGACATAGAACCAGGGTCAAGACCTAATATTTGCACGAATGGGCTAAAAGGCCTCCCTGGAACCAATGCGTCCACCTTCCTCACGAGGTGCACTTCTGCACAAATCTTGTGACTCCAGGTCACCGTGTGCCTGCACCTGGCTGCTTCAGGTCCCTGGGCTCACCAGATGGCTACAGCAGTTCCTCCCTCTCCCTCCAGAGTCCTCCACCCACGTACCACCCCAAGAGGGGAAAGCCAGGCACGTGTTTGAGGGTCCTCTCAGCCAACCGTCACCAAATTCTCTCATTTCCTTCTTTCCAGAGCTTCTAACATCTGACCCTTCTCATTCTTACAATGGCCAACCCCCACCCCATGGCAAGACTGTAGAGGCAGCTCGCAAAGCACACCCTGTCCCTAAGCAGTGTGGAGGTTCCTCAAAACGAGGAAGCATCGCTTCACCATGGGATCCACCAATTCCACTTCTGGACATTTACCCAAATGAACCGAAAACAGTGACGTGGAGAGAGAGCTGCACTCCGTGTTCACAGCAGTACCATTCACACTGGCCAAGGAGAAGCGACCCGGGGTCTGTCCACGGAGGAATGGAAACCAGTGTGGTCCATCCACAAAGTGCAGTGTGGCTCAGCCTTCAACAGAAAGGGCGTGTGACACATTGATACATGCAGTAACAAGAAGACATTACCCCATGTGAAATGAGCAGTCACAAAACAACAAATCCTGTGTGGTTCCACTTCTAGGAGGGCCCTGGAGGAGTCAGTTTCAGAGACAGAAAGCAGAATGGGGGTTCCAGGGCTGGGGAGGGGAAAGGGACTGAGTGTTTCATGGGGACAGAGTTTTACTTGCAGAAGAGGAAAAAGTTCTAGAGACAGAGGTGCTGACGGCTATACAGCAACATGAATGCATTTAATGCTGTTGAACTTACTTACAAAGGGCTAAGATGAAAAAATGCTTTCTGTCCCTACAATCCAGCCTTCACCAAGCCACCCATGTGACATTCTGCCTCCTTCGCCCCCCAGCCTCATCCCTCGATGCTCACTTGTGTGGCTGCAGAACAAACAAACTCTCAACCACGGAGTCCAGGGTCAGAATCCAGGCAAAGCTGGCCTCCCCAGAGTGACTCCTGCACTCTTGTTTCAGTTCTGTGCCCCCTGCTCCAGCCTCCAGGTTCTTTTCACTGTGCCTGAGCCCAAGCAGAACCACCCCAGGTACCTCCTGCTGCCCCAGAGAAGGCCCCTGGGGCACGTGGGCGCCGCTGCTATGGAGAAGAACTGGAATAGACACAACTATGACATTAACATTGTCCAGAGACAGTGCAAAGGCAGCTGAGCTACCTCCAAAGCCTCAAGAAAACAAACGTCAAATGAGTCCCGTGCATTTGGAAGCCTCCCCAGGCAGGCTGAGTAGTGAAGATTCATCGCGATGGAGTATTGCCAGACTGAGGTTTAAAAAAACAGATGCATAATTATTCAAACATGATAGCCACTGTTCCTTCCTAATGAGAAGTCGAAATACTTTCACTCGTCTATTTCCGAGTGAAGAAAGGCTGTGTAGAACGTCAGTTAGCAACAAATCTAGGACTCAGTTGCAGTGGATAATGGACGGTCATCCTTTAGAACTCTACCCATTTCCATCATCTTATATTGAAAAGCAAACACTTTTTGGCTGTAGTTTTCTTTAACAAAAATCACAGCTTTATACAAAGTGGACTCCTTCAATTTTCGATATTATTCTTTAGGCAAATCAAACCAGCAATAGATGCACTGGCTAAAAGTCTGAAATACGTTTTTAAAAATGTACATTTAAATATAAATTGAACTTATGATCCGAGACCCAGCCCTGAGTGCTGTCACTGCAGACAGCTGTCAGTGGCTTGAGAAAGAGGCTGACAATCTTTTAGGTTAGAGAATAACCACAGACAGCAACAAACCTCTTTTAGGTTAGAGAATAACCACAGACAGAGCCACTGATGGGGCTTCCGTCTTCAGCTGTGGTTTGACGTTGATTTTATTCAACAGTTTGATGTCAGATGTATTCAACATTTCACATCTTTAACAGAAGCATTGGGCCTTGTTCTTGTAAGCATAGCTCCATGTCAAAAGACTGATGGCAAATATGGCACCAGCTTTGCTGTGCTGGTGGCAGCTCAGAAATGAAATTTCCACGTGATTTGAACCAGCATCGGGGAAAGTGTGTCGTGGCAGCCTCTCGCAGGGCCCTTGGAAGGAAGCGCACAGTCATACTCAGCATCCAGACCCCAGTGTGTGGGGCCAGCTGGAGAGATGAGCTGCTTCCTGCCAAGGAAGGTCTACATGAAAAATGCAAATGCGGGAACACCCTGCTTCCTGAGTTTGCTTAGAATATGTTTAGACACAGAGGAGCAAGGGAAGGAGGGGTCCTTCACCTCTGGAGACATGCATCGTTTATGTGAACGGCTGCCTCAGTTCCTGAGGGCCAGGAGCAGCCCTTCCTCACCTAGCACTTCCGTAATGCTTAAAAACTATTATTTTTGGAAAAAAGTGCCGCATTGTACTTAGTTCTTCTTAGCTCCCTTTCTAAACATGCTAACGTGTGTTTGTGGGACGGTCCGCATGATGGGAGGTGCCCGGAGCATGCCCGGTTCTGTCCGGGCCCCGCCAGAGCGGGGCTGACGTCTGTACTCTACCTAGATCCTCCTCTGCCGGCCCCGGAAAGCTGATGCCCGGCTGGACCAAGTCTCCAGCTTCTTCCTCTGCAAAGACAGAAACAAAGTCACTCTTTAATGCGTTTCTGGTGTAGACTGCAGTCATTCCCTGCACATCTTCAAAACCCTCCACACTCAACAGTTCAAACATGACAGACACCTTTGTATTTCTTCAAACGTCACCGCTCAGAGCCCAGCATTTTGTGCCAATAACCTCAGGAACAACCAGTGTTTTCTGTAAAGCAGCATTGTGACCACAGATGCACGTATTTCTCCCACCTAGACACGGACATAGGCAGTGAGTCCCAATGATTCTCAGCTTTAACTCTGGCCTAACTTCAAATTTATTAGGCCTTATTTGCATTGGAACAGACTTGAGTAAAATCAGTCCACTCTAATTTTCCCCGGTTCCTTCCAGCTGGGTGAGTCCCATGAGGGCCCTGCATCGCCCATGAGAAAGACTTTCCTTCCGGTCTAGAAAGCTTCATGCCATTCGAAGCCTCATTTTGCAATGTTCAAAGCCTGCATTTGTGATCTTAGTGCTTAATATTAGTTCATATTAGGTCCACTTTGACCAAAACGCTGATTTAATTTCCCTCTGTTGGGAGATCACCCAGGTCACTGGCATTGATTTTCCATTGTTCGATCTGTGCTAACACAAAAGCAGACATCACTTTCTTAGAATGACATCAGCATGTGGCTGTAAAAGGTCTTGGGGTCACTGAGCACTGTCTTCCCTCCATGTGTGGGGCAACAGGGAACTGGGGAGACAGACAAGCTTGTCACTTGATTTAACTGGTCCCTGAGGAGCTGGACTGAGCATCATCCCGTAGCTCTCCTCCCAGTGGGCTCTGCCCAGGAAACCAGGTGCCGACTCTCCAGGCTGCCTTGGTTTCTACCAGGCTGCAGAGGCAGTGCAGACACAGCTGGATCTCAGGGAGGCTCTGCCCAGGAAACCAGGTGCCGACTCTCCAGGCTGCCTTGGTTTCTACCTGGCTGCAGAGGCAGTGCAGACACAGCTGGATCTCAGGGAGGCTCTGCCCAGGAAACCAGGTGCCGACTCTCCAGGCTGCCTTGGTTTCTACCTGGCTGCAGAGGCAGTGTAGACACAGCTGGATCTCAGGGAGGCTCTGCCCGACACCAGCCACAGTGAGTGGTGTGGGGAGTGGCCTGAGGAGGGGGGCAGGGAGCATCAGATAAGGGAGAATTTGGCACCACGTTACATGTGCATGTAAACATGTTATTTATGGGGTATCAGAATGATGACACATGTGCGTACACACATCTTTGTCACCATTTTGGCATATATGCCCCAAATATAAATATGATTGCATGTTCAGACTCTAGGCATGTATTCACACACATATGTGGGTTTCCAATATTCATGGACAGGCTTTGAGGCACATCTCACATTTGCCCCCACCCCCCCCACCCAAGTGTTAGATGCAGTTAGCCAGGCTGTAGTCTGCAAACGGATTTATTTCAGAGTGTGATGCTGGAGCCACTTACACTGCAATCACCATCTCTGATTCAACAAATCGGCATCTGCCATTTTCAATAAGTTCGTAGAGGTTTGGGAAAGGAAGATGACAGATTTGGAATGTGAGATGCTGATGAAGAGGATACGGTCGCCTCTCAGGTAAATGTGAACTAAGAGTTCATTTCATGGGATCTCCCAGTTACAGCTTTTAAAAAAACACACATGTATAAGAAATAGCTATCTGAATTAAGTTAAGTATCTTACAAGACAGCTCAAATGATTTAACATAACCCCATTTCTTCAAGGCTAACAGCACTTTTTGCATAGTTTAAGCTGCGTTTTTCAGCTAATGAAATACATCTGCCAAATGTCCACATTAAGTATAACATAAAACCACAGACTGGAATGGTCTCATTCATGTAGAAATATGATGGACAGCTCTAATTAACTACAGTTTCCATGGAGACCATCGTCATATGTGTGAGTAATGTGAGAACAGAGCGTCCAGCTGTGTGAGAAAGGAATTTGGGGATGAACTAAAACAATGGGCCCTTCAACCTCAGCCCTCCTTACACCAGACTTTCAGCACACATGCACACAGAGACAAGGCAGGGGCTCTCACAGGGCGGACTTGAAGGATGGGCCAACATCACCCAGTTGCAATGACAAGCATGAGCACTCCGCTAACAACACCAGCAGCAACAGGCATGGAGTTTAGCAAAGCCACGTGCTTCACACAGAGCACAAGCTTGGTATCGGAAGCCTGCGATTTGCTGGAGGAACACACCTAATTATCTTGAGAACAGCACTCCAAGAATGAGGAGTGGGGACGTTTGAAGGTCAGCCTTGAATTGCAGGAGTACAAACGCTTCCTTGCCTGATCTCCTCCCACCCGCCCTTGCTGTTTATCAGATGAGAGAACAGGAGGTCTGGAAGCTGTGTGGCTCAGGTGACACCGTTCAAAGTTAACAATCCAGCATGGGCTGAGGGTACATGCATGGAAGGTTTCCGAGTGCGGTGTGGCCTTCTAGCTGGGAGAGCTTAATGCAGCATGTGTGTCAGTATAACTGTGGGTACCATCCTTCCTTATCTAACGAGGCTTTGTATTTTCAGCCTACATTTTGTACAGGGCAGCACCCCCTTCTTGGAGGTTCTCTTCCTGTGGCTTCAGTCACTGAGGTATGAAATAAGCTGCTTTGAGAGAGAAACAGAGACCACATTCACATACGTTTTATTAAAGTAGATTGTTATAAATGCCGATTTCATTACAGTTATTCAGGTTACTCTCTTACTGTGCTTAACGTATGTGCTGAGCTTTATCACGGCTGCACAGACACAGTGAGCTCTGCACTCTGGCTTTCTTCTGCTCTTGCCCAAATTCCCATCCAAGGGGCCTGGGGAGTCATGCCCTACAAACCACGGAGTCTCATTAGAGGGGTTTTCTTTACCCTACATAACATGGCTCACTTTCCAACCTGACTCGGGCACATCACGTGACAGATAAAGAACAAAATAAAAATATTTCCATCCCGAATGTGTAATTTTTTTTTTTTTATTTATTTTGCCGTATCTTGAAATAGTGCAGGAAAATCTACATTCTGAAGAGAATTCCCTTCTTTTTCCTTCCTTTTCCCAGATCCAGGAGAGAATTGACTCTGATAAGAAACACTTACCATCCATCCTCTTTGCAGCCTGCTGCCTGGAGGCTTCCTCTGCACGGTGGGAACTGCATCTCCACAACCCCTTATCTTCACCCAGACATCGCTTTCTATGAATTCTAGGTCTTCAGACAATAATTTAACTCTTTCAACCAATGGCCAATCGGAAAATGTTTGACTCCATAATGACTTGGGAGGCCTCACTTCCAGTTGTCCTGCCTTTCCAGACCCAACCAAGGTACATCTACAGGTAGTGACCAATGGCTTATGTCTCCCTAAAGTGTATAAAACCAAAAGCTGTATCTTGACCACACTGGACACATGTTCTCAGGATCTCCTGAGGGCTGTGCCACGGGCTGTGGGTCATTCATCTTTGGCTCAGAATAAACCCCTTCAAAATACTTTACAGAGTTCAACTCTTTTTGTCGACAACAGGAAAAATCTACCTACAAGTGTTGGTACTGGCTGAGGTTTCAGGCATCTGCTAGGGGTCTTGGAACATGTCCCCGTGGACAGCGGGGACTACCGTACTTCTACCACGTTCCCACCCCCAGTTCAGAACCCTCACTAGGCAAGAACCCTGTTCGCCTGGACAGGCCATAGGTAGAGCCATGTTCTTCCTTACATCTTCCGCATCTGGGACAGCATGGGAGAAATGCTAATTACCATCTCAGCGACCTCAGAAATGCCCTTATCTATGCTTAAAGAGACAAGGAAATCCTCCTTCTTCTGGTAGATCTCTCTCTCCTGGCCTCCTCGTATAAGGGAGGAGAACCATTTGCTCCACCAGTCATTGGAAAGATGGGCCGCCTGGCCTAGGAAGCCAACGTTGGCTGCTGTCATACAACTACAGCTCTCTCTGCGCTCTGAGACGTTCTGAAATCACGTGACCGTAAGCTTCCTCCACCTAGCCTCTTTACTTCCCATGGTCCAAACTGAATACCTCCCAGGGAGAGGCTGGACGCTATCCCATCCCATGTGTGAGGCTGATCGGTGCTGTGAAACTGACAGCGCCGACCTCTGACCTCACATTTCCATCGCCAAAACAAAACGTGCCTTTGACTGAGAAGTCTTGGGAATCATCCATTCACGCGTGGGAATGCACATCTGTCTTCACTGGAGAAACAGTCTTTCACCGCGGCAACTCCGGGTGGGGCTTCCTCACTCAGACCCCTTGCTTAGGGTCCCTCTGGCAGAACGTACTTTAGGAGTCACCTTTCTCATCTGCTGGAGCTTGATGAAGGCAGTGCTCCATAACGTGTGACCTGGAGACCCCGTAAACCATATTCCATAACGTGTGACTGGAGACCATGTAAACCATACTCCACAACGTGTGACTGGAGACCCCGTAAACCATCTTGGGGGAGCTGTAGCAAGGTCGTCTGGCTATTCTGTGCCCTGGTGCTTCCTTGGAGTCAACACCCAACCCTCCTCCAGCAACGCACACCTCTGGGCACAGCAGCGAACGTGCGGATGGCGTGTGCGGTGCCTCGGGTGCCGCCTGGAGAGCGTGGACCTGTCCCGAGTGAACACACAACACAGGCGCACTTTCTAACATCTCTGATCACCCTTGAGCTTCAGAGAAATGGCTGTCCTGCTCCCCTGTGGCCCAGAGGGGTCTGGGTGGATCTGAGAGGGTCTGTGATGGCCCTTAATCAAACATAGGGCGCCGTGATCACTGTGCTGGGTGCGCCACGTTTGCCTTCCTTTGCTCAGTGATGAGTCGTCTCAATGTCACAAGCTGCTCACACTTCCTGGAAGGGAGACTCGGGCAGTGCGCCTTGAGAAGGGAAGGAAGCAGGATGCTTCCCAGAACCGGTCCTCAGAGGCCCGGGCCCAGGTGGCTGCATCATCAACACCTTCCAGAAAGTGAGGAAATCAGCACCAGAGAGGCAGAGCGCATACTCAGAGGACAGAGGCGCAGACAGACCTGCAGGTTCCGACCCCCATGCACTCCTCTCGGCGCCCCCACGAGGCCCTGTGATGCTTCCACCGACACCGCAATGTCTCATGTAGAGATTCTGCACTGACCTGCAACAGGGCTCTCCTGAGTGATGATGGAGGGAGGCAGAACACTCTGCCAATGAAGAGGCAGAAGAGAGGAAAGAAATGATTGTGGGCAGGTGAGTGACCGATGGACCATATAGCCTTAGGGTAGACTTACTTGCAAGAAGAAACCTGACTTTCAGGGAAGCCAGTGGGCGTTTTACATTCTCTATGTATCAGGCAGGCTTGTGTTTCTGGGCACTCGAAGGAGAACCGTGCCGGGGGCCCCACGTCACTGCCTGGGAATACTCACAGTCTTGTTTCATCCATCAGCCACACCTGGGCCAATCCTTGGCTGTCAGAGGCTCTCGGGACAGGCTGGGCGCCGGCACCCAGTGGCCGCAGGGGCTGTCGTGTGCTTTGCAGATGGACACGCGCTATTTAACATAGAGATGCGCTGAGTCCGGGTGATTAGTGAATCGCACGTCATCGCAGACACTAGAAAGCGAAAGCATACGGGGGAAGGCCCCGGGCACAGACCCAGCACGGCCACCACTCGAGCTGGAGCTGCCTGCGAGACGATGAGCGTCTGCAATCTGCATCCTGCGAGGCAAAGATGTCCACGTCAGCACAACCACAGATCAAAGCCAGGGTCCTCCAGGAAGAGGCTTCCCAGTAGGTGCAGAGGCAAACGTTTCAATCACCACTGTGACCCGAGCACACTGTGGTCTCAGCACACCGACCTCGCCGGGCCAGCGCAGTCCTGGCTCACCCACCACATTCTGACCCCTCATGATGGCGGCCCCTCAGCAGCGCCACTCTTGGCCTCGGCTGCCCTGGCCGGCTCAGTCTCCGGCTCAGAGCAGCACAGCAGAAGGGGAAGAGAAAGGGCCCTGGGGTGTGTGGCCGGGTAACACGGGACAGTAAACGTCCTCGGCTGCCTCTCCTTGTCCTGGAAGTGGAGACAATGCTTCCCCCACAGCTGCCGGGCATCTGAGCCAGCCCTGGCACGCTGGCACTGGCTGTCTGGTGTCGCTTCTCCTGCAATGGGAAGGCCACAGGTTCAGACCCAGCACGGCCACCACACGAGCAGGCAACTTGCCTGGAAGACGACACGATGAACCCACAGGACTCCATTGACCTTGACGCTGGCCCCCGTCTGATCTTGGCAGGGAAGGGAGGGCACCAAGACCGCCAGGGGCTGAGCTGCCACCTGGTGTCGGTCCTGGCAATGCCTCATTATGGAGAATTGATGAAGAAAAATGGCACGTATGAGGATTTAAAGGTACATTTGCCAACAGGCATATCTCGGGACCTCACTCTAACACCCTACCACTCTGTCATTACGCCAGGAGTGATCATCTCTAGTTCTGTGGATGCAGAAATTGACGCCTGGGGAAGTTAAGTTTGTTCTCTGCCGCCACAGAAGAGTTAGATCTCCGTGAAGCTGAGCCTCAACCCCGTGGCTGGAGCTCTGTGTGCTCTGTGGTGTGGTGGTGTCTGTTTGGGGGAGGCTGCATTGAGTGGCACCTCGTTTCTTTTCTTTTCTTTCCTTTTTTTTTTAGATGGAGTCTGGGTCTGTTGCCCAGGCTGGAGTGCAATGGCACAATCTCAGCTCACTGTAACCTCCACCTCCCGGGATCAAGCAATTCTCCTGCCTCAGACGCCCAATAGGTGAGACTACAGGCGCCTGACACCACGCTCGGCTAATTTTTGTATTTTTAGTAGAGACGGGGTTTCATCATGTTGGCCAGGCTTGTCTCAAACTCCTGACCTCGTGATCCACCCACCTTGGCCTCCCAAAGTGCTGGGATTAAGGCGTGAGGCACCGCACCTGCCCAAGTGGCCCCTCATTTCTTAAAGACCTGCCCCGTGAATGCCAACTGCAAGGTTTGGGAAGAAAGAGGAGGAAATGCACACTTTAAATTGACAGGTTTTTAAACTCAAAGCACAATTGCGTCTTCTCAGGGGGAAGTTGTCTCCAAATCATGCTAATGCGGAAGCAAAAGGAAGCAGTTAAGCCTTCAAAGTATTAGAAGGAAAAACCAGGTTCACACATGAGAAGGGAAATTGCTCATAAGAAAAGACTGGATTTCTTGATGGAAAAGGAAACAATAGTATTATCACCTCATAAACACCAAGAGAAGGACATGACCCACTTTCGTCCACTGTGTGTGGGCCCTGCAGCCTTTCCTGCCCTGCAGAGTGTTTGTTATGTGTTTATGGGTTCATCCTACTGCCCCCCCCGATGCAGAATGGGAGGGCAGGGGCCCTGCGTCCTCCTGGCATGGCAGGCCAGCCCCTCCGTGGTCAGGAGATACAACACGTTCCCACCAGTCTTGTGAGTCCACACTGCACTTTTTATAGTACAGGCCTTTTTCGAAATGAAATGGACACAAAACCCCAAACCATAAAACAGATGCTGTCAGCACTGCCTAGGAAGAATCAGGGTAAGAAGCAGGGTCGTGCCGCGTCCACCCCTTCCGCATCTACCCCTGACGTGCCCACCGCCCGCCCCAGCTTCTCTACAGGAGCCAGCCGCTGCCCAGGGAGATGGCAGCAGGCAGTGGGCTTGCTTCCCTTCCATTTCTGAAAAGCACACTTACTTCTTTTCATTGCCGATAGGACGTTTTCCTAGCTGATGGACACCTTTGCTTACAGGAGGATTAGAATGTGAAGCCTTCACCATTAAACCAACGTTCAGAATCTGGGAAACTTCACCAGGACCCTCGCGGCTCCCACACACGTTCAGGTGTGTCTCTGGGTCTTCCCTGGGGTCCGTCCCTCTAACTGTCCCATTCCGTTGCTTCATTCTCATCCAGGGATGCACTGGGCTCGCAGAGGCGTGTCTGAAAGCCAGGGAGATGGAGGCAGCGGTCTATGCGCTCGGTCCACAGAGGCACGTCTCAGAGCTGCGGAGATGGAGGCAGATGTCTACACGCTGGGTCCACAGAGGCGTGTCTGAAAGCCACGGAGATGGAGGCAGCCGTCTGTGCCCTCCGTCCACAGAGGCGTGTCTCAGAGCTGCGGAGATGAAAGCAGCCCTCTATGCGCTCCATCCATGGAGGCGCGTCTCAGAGCTGCGGAGATGAAGGCAGCCATCTGGGTTCCTAGGGCACTGCCTCTTCTCCCCGAGTTCTTGCTACACGGATCCGCCTGGTTCTACCTGCACAGCTTGAGCTCGTTGTCACCTTGTGCCCTGCCCAGATCCTCCTGGACTTCCCTTGAGGCTGAATCTCTGTGCAGCCTGCCCCTGAGATCCTGGCATTTTCTCTCGCCTGGGTGAGAACTCGGTTTCCATCCTCCCCAAGGAATGCTACCTGTTCCCTATGCGTAGGTGGGATGGCAGTGGAGGGTGGAGGGCGGGTTGACATGTACCTCTGAAGATGTGTGGAAAGGTGTGGAGGTGCCTGTCTTTCAGTTCTTCCTGTTTTTCTCCGGCCTACTGTCCCGCAGCTCTCCGTGGTCGTACACAGCCCTTCTCCTTATTGGCCTCCCATGGGTAGCACACAGGTCTTCACGCAAAATCGGCTGCGTCGCCATGAGCATGGAGCCGGGGAAGGTGCCTGGTTGGAAGTCAGGGAGGCGGGGGGTCCATCCCGGCCCCTCTGCCTCCGGCTGTGAGGAGGGGTCAGGTCACGTGCTCCACGGCACCTCTTCGTGGGGGGAGGGGACAGGCGTGGGCCTCGGCTCTTGGAGTCACCGCGCAGGCGCAGTGACAATGTTTGCGGAGCGAAGCGCGGTCCCCATCGGGTGTCGCCCACAGGAGCTGCTTCCGGAACGCACAGGGAACGCTCAGCAGAAGCAGCCCTCTGAGAGTCAGTGCAGAGTTCAGCCATCTGAGCTTGCCCCATTTCTAGATTCTTCTAACTCTTGAAAAGTTTACTTTTACAGAAAGCACGCTCGAGCCTACATTTGAGCCGCTTCCCTAATGACAGGATTTGAAGGCTGTTTAAATTAGGGATTCATTTCTGCTCCGTTAGGACAATGACATTGATTGGTTTTAATGCTGGCTTCCTCCTCCATTTCACTCGCAGCTGTGCACCAGCCGCGCTCAGCCACTGCCGTAATGATTACTAATGGCTTTTCTTTGAAAACCATAGAAATGATCGTAATTTTATTTTGGACCGAGGATCAAGTCTCCACAGAAGCTGCCCCTAAAGTCTGCAGAATTTTTACCAGTGGTTAAATGTCACTTAAATCAGGCCAAGAGAAAGTCTCAAAGTCACTAATGAAGCAACCCCACTCAACTAAGAATGACAATCAGTGCCTCTGTCAGAACAGATGGCTGCAAAGGCGCACGACAGCGGAGCCCGGCTCCAGTCACCAGGTGCACTCGTCACCCCCTCGCGTCCCGCTCCGGAGCTCCGCAGGCCTTACCAGCTTAAACACCACCATGCCTTCCGATAAACTACGACATCATCTTCCGAAGGAATTCAGTTATGACTAACAGCAACGTACACTTAACTTTGCATTTTTTCTGGACTCGGAAAAAAAATTAAAAAGTGCTGAAGTAGAAAGGCACACTATTTCTTATTTAAATATCTGCTAACTTCAAGAGGAAATCGTATCTGCCTGTGGTGAAACTTGAACATTGTTCGCATGAAAAGTGACACCTACTTATATTTTCTACAACCTGTTTCAGATCTAAATTCCAAATACATGCGGCGTTAGGTCCCCTGCACTACCATCTATACTTAATAAAGTTTTATACTAAAGACACCTTAAAGATATGTCCACCATGCTTACCCAGGAAACACTACTTTAAAGACAGAGTGAAGGGCATTTTACAAAGCTTAGAAAAATGTGGCCTTCAAATCTCAGGCTATTGCTCCTCGTGCTCACTTTCTGAAACAGCCTCTGAGATCAGGGGGAGCAGCCGGAAGCCTCCGAGGTCAGGGGGAGCAGCCCGAAGCCTCCGGGGTCAGGGGGAGCGGCCCGAAGCCTCCGGGGTCAGGAGCAGCGGCCTGAAAGCAGCCTTACTGTTTCTCTTGCTCACAGCATCGGCAGTTCCTGGGCAGGGCTGCCAGGCAACCTGGGACGCCAGTTACATGTGAATTTCAGAGAAACAGCGAGCATTTTTGTCACATATTTCATGCAACATCAAATGTTTTTGTGAAATGCAAACCTAACTGGGCGTCCTGGATTTTTTTTTTTTTCTTTTGCTCTGTTCATGAAAAGTGATTTTATTTTTGGGTTTTTTTTTTTTTTTGGTTTCCAGTTTATTTTTATTTATTTTATTTTATTTTTTTAAATTTTATTATTATTATACTTTAAGTTTTAGGGTACATGTGCACAATGTGCAGGTTTGTTACATATGTATACATGTGCCATGTTGGTGTGCTGCACCCATTAACTCATCATTTAGCATTAGATATATCTCCTAATGCTATCCCTCCCCCGTCCCCCCACCCCACAACCGTCCCCGGTGTGTGATGTTCCCCTTCCTGTGTCCATGTGTTCTCAATTTCATTGGCTAAATCTTGCCTCCCTAACCCTGGGGACCTTTTAGGAGGACACAGGCCTCATGCCCCAGCCCAGAGATTCTGCTCATTTGTTCTGGTGTGGGGCCCAGGTCAGTTCATTTGACAGTGCCACAGGTGAATCAATCCACAGCCAGGGCTGAGGCCACCAATAAGGGAGGAAGAACAAAAGTGATTAACCGAGGGCCCATTTCACCTTTACCTACTGAGCCGACTGTGGCCCAGGGCTGCGCCACCTCTGTGGACCTCTCTGGAATCACTGTCTTTCCACACGAACACAGAACAGGACTCTCCCATCACCCTCTCTCAGTGTCTTTGTCACACAACATGCTTTCTGGATAGAACTTTTTCAGGCATTTTAACATAAAAAAATATTCACTTTGAAACGCTCTTAACTTCTTTAGCTGACGTATTGTCTGAATTTTCTGCACCTGATGGATGCCTGAGATTGGCTTCTGTTCCTTCTCCACAGGCGCCTTTTCAACCCCGCACGTAAGGTGCTTCGATGTGGCAGGAGCAATCACAGCTCTAATTATTGCTGACACTTGTTCTGGGTATTGTGCAAATGACTTCAGGGTAAGTTGTGATGCCCATTTATTTTACTTCAAAAAAAATGAAGCCGGGCGCAGTGGCTCATGCCTGTAATCTCAGCACTTTGGGAGGCTGAGGCAGGTGGATCACAAGGTCAGGAGTTCAAGACCAGCCTGGCCAACATAGTGAAACCCTGTCTACTAAAAATGCAAAAAAAATAGCCGGGTGCGGTGGCAGGTGCCTGTAATCCCAGCTACTCGGGAGGCTGAGGCAGGAGAACTGCTTGAACCTGAGAGGTGGAGGTTGCAGTGAGCCAAGATTGTGCCACTGCACTCCAGCCTGGGAGACAGAGTGAGACTCCATCTTAAAAAAAAAAATTGATATGCCTTAATCTTGGAATGCCCAATTAAAGCAGAAAGCTTAAGTAAATTATGGTGCAATTATCATGTAGAATGTTAGAAAGCTTCTAAGTGTTATTGAAATTCCCATCGTAACGTTACGTGAGAATTGGTATACTCAAACTCGATGCGGTTTGTGATCTGAGTTTGCTTTGGAAAATGTCTGCTGGCAATTAACCAAGATGCTCACAGCGATGGGCTCTGATGAGCGGAATTATGGCCGTGTTTTATTTTCTCTTTAAATTTTTTGTGCTTTCCAAATTTTCTCCCACCAACCTGTATGCCTAAGTATAAAACATTATAAAAAGTACTTGGCATCCAACAGTCTTTGGAAAAGACAGTATCTGAATTGTCTTCCTTTTTGGAATGAGATGGCCTGGAATGAAAAGGGTGGTGGTAAAGACGTACAGCTTCCTTCCTTCTTCCTCTAACGTGGGTCAGCCCCGAGTGACTGCTGTTCCCTCACACAGATAATGGCACCACTGCGATCTAGAAAGACACCCACAGAACAACAGTCCCTCGCTCATCCACTCCGCCAGTCACCGGTGCCATCCACGCATGGTGCCTCTTGCAGGAGACTCACAGACAGTGAGGAAGACATGCTGCCCTCAGAGCTGACGGTCCCATTTTTTCCACGAACTCCAACTCCACGCATCAGAAGCACACTAGTCGCATTCTCGAGCAGCTCAAACTTCAGCATGGAATGTTGTTTCCCAGGCTTTTACAGTCCACAGGTAACACAGAGGAGGACATATTTTCTTGGGCATCTAGAAAAGCAACTCTGGAGGAAGAATCTGAACAGGGTGACACCTTGCTTCCTTAAAGAAGTTGGACCATGTGCAGAAGGTAACAGTGCGGATTATTTAAGCTGAATGCGAGTTGAGTCTGTGGGGTTCTATCCAGTGTCTTCCTGTAATCAGTTTCTGAAAAAAGATCTGAAATGGTAGCTGTGGGGATGACATGCCTGCATTTGCTTACCCACCCTGAATCCAGGTCCCCTTTGATGCCCCCTGCATGCCCCACTATCTGCAGGACAAGAGTCAGCCTGGGGTGATCTCTGGACATCATAGTCACTGACTGCAGCTGCCTGAGAGGAGGGAACACACAGCATCTGAATGCAGAAGATAAAACGTCGTCATGCCCATCGTGCAGAGGAGGAGCTTTGGAGATGTTGTAGAATTAAAATCCCACAACTACTCCGTGGCAGCATGGATGAGAACCTGCATCCTCAATTTCTCTCTGGCTCCAAACCCCTGTTTTCTCCTGTGTGGCGTGTCAGCATTTACTGCTCACCTCTTGGCCTGGGCAGCTGCAGCCCACCTCGGGCTACCTGTGGAGCTGCTTAGGACCAGGCTTTGCAAAAATAAAGGGAAGATGAAACGTGGGCCAGGCACCGTTCCGACTGGCCTCTCAATGCCTCTTTTGGGTGCTCAACTGCCCATTCCCAATTCTCTTTCTCTTTAAGCCACTCCTTTTCTGGCATCAAAATCTGAGCTTGGAAAAGAGACCTGCCAAGCTCACCAAGACTGAGTACGAGTGGATTCCAGTGGCCTCCATGGAAGAGCCACCCCGCTGCGTCCTCCTGCTGTGGCCAAATCCCAGACGGGCGTCTGTGTTTGGGAGATGAGGCCTCTCTGTGAACTGCCGGGTGGGAGTTTGCAGGGGGGTGGAGGACTGTGTGGAGGACAGTGTGGGGAGGACTGTGTGGAAGAAGGACTCCCAGCCTCCCACCTGGCTGTTCAACGGAGGCTCTGCCCTGAGTGGGCTTGTCAAGAAATCCTGAAGAATATGCCACAGCTTGAAACTGCTGAGGAACTCAACACCTCTGCCCTCCTCAACGAAGACTCTCAGCGATGATGGAAACTCCTTTCAAAGCGATCATTTCAACAATGATTTCCACAGGTATGATTTCACCTCACAGTGAATGTCCCGGGAAAGATGTTTAGAGGGATAATCTGAGGACGTGGCAGAGCAGCTCCAGCAACTGTGGTGACCGCTGTCCTCCCAGTTACGGGTAAAGGGGCCACCACGTACCTGCTGGCAGGTAGTGAGGACGTGAAGCTTCACCGACTACTCGTACTCGACCAGCCCTTGAGGATGAGGACCTGAGAATCGGTGCTGTGTGGTGCATGCTTGGGACGCAGCAGTGCACAGGTGGGACCTGGCCTGCGGGCTCATAGCCAGGCAGGAGAATCACATATGAACAGACGATTCCTACACCATGAAATCAGTTCAGTCACAGACACATGTACAGGGAGAGTGACTCGTGTTATCTGGGTTAGACGGACAACCTCACAGGGCAAACCAGCTTACAAAGCACATCCTTCACTTCAGTAGCACTGTTTTAAACCTGCATTCAGTTGTCCTACAGAATGGAATCAACTCAATCAATTACAGGTAGAATTTATTACATAAATCTATATACCAGAATATTTCATAGCCAATATACTATTTTTATTCTCATTTTCTAAATGAAAGCAACTTCAAAAATCTGATTTGTGGTTGGTTGTTTTCTTCCCTGAATCTCTGTAATACCCACTTTCAGTACTACTTAGCCATAGAACTGAATTTTGATCTATATCCCCAGGCCTAGCCATTATTCATTTATTCCACTCTGGGTATTAATAACAGTGAATGGCATTTGTTAAAAAATGACAGATGAAACTGGTTTCCTATTATTCACGGACCAATCATGCCTAAGGCATCATTCTTCTTGTTTTAAATACATCACATGTCAAGTTTACTCGCAGAAAACCAAATAAGTACAAGGTTTTAGCACAGCACTTACATTGCAATTCATTTTTAAAGCCTCGGATTCTAGATCGATTGTGCTTTAACAGGTTACAGAGCTCCTGACCTGAAACTTCACCAAGAAATGACTGTGCCAGGCTGTGGCAGCTTGGCGGGCCCCAATATTGTTTCAACCTCCCCACGTGGCTGGTCTCCCTGGGTTGCCCAGCAGTATTGGGAACGTGGAGACAAACGTTCCAGGCAGAGGCTGTTCCAGTTTTCCCATCTGTTGGTGCTTCTTGAGATTAGCAGCTGCATAAATGCATGTGTTTTACTACTTGTTTGTGACTCAAATGCATGATTCTCATGTTGCCAGCTCCACTGGCAGTATATTTGCCTTCAGCAATTTATGTTTTCTGTAATGAAAAACCCTGGCAATTTCATCCCATTTGGCATGAAACGCTAAGATATTATTTAGAGTTGGAAGAGCAAGAGGAGACAAATGCAGTTCTGTTAGTGTTGTGGCTCTCTGCAAGGCTCAGGAGCCGCCGCCGCATCTCCGCTGATGCTGAACTGTTCCTAAGGAAACCGAGAAATTCCCCCTTTGATTGGAATGTGCTCAGCAGACAGCCTTCCATAGGGGGTCTTTCCCCTCTCCAAGGCAAACTACTTTCAGAGCCTGTGGAACATGACAGGCTTCGCACGTGCCACCACATGGCAGTCCTTTATAAACAACACAGATCCAGAGAGGACACAGCCCTAACAGCCTCCAGGAGCCGAGATTTCACATTCTTCTGAACAGACTTCCGGCCCCACCTGTCTTGGCTGCCTTTTGCAAATGCTCTTTGAACACGCAGACTGCACAGCTTTCCATCTGCCGTAATATGCAGGCTTGACTTGCTCAAGTCCAGGCTCTGGCTCTTATGATCTGGGGCAAGTAATGAAAGCCTTGGTTTCCTTATCTGTAGGATGGTCATCATGCTGTTTGTGCCAAGGGTGGTTCTGAAGATGAGGTGAGAAACATGTCCATGCAGCATCTTGGCAGAGCACGGGACGCGAGCAGAGATCTTGAAGACCATGCTGATGACTGATCTTCCTTTTTAAAATTATTATAATTTTTTGAGATGGAGTCTCTTTCTGTCACCCAGGCTGGAGTGCAGTGGCGCGATCTCGGCTCACTGCAGCCTCCACCTCCGGGGTTCAAGCGATCCTCCTGCCTCAGCCTCCTCCTGAGTAGCTGGGACGACAGGTGCCAACCACCACACCCAGCTAATTTTTGTATTTTAGTAGAGATGGGGTTTCGCCATGTTGGCCAGGCTGTTCTCAAACTCCTAACTTCAAGTGATCCATCTGCCTCAGCCTCCCAAAGTGCTGGGATTACAAGCATGAGCCACCATGCTCAGCCTGATGACTGACCTTCTATGACCTCCCTGGGCCCTTTCAAAGGTTCCCTTTTCCTCCCTCTGTCAAGTAGGGGCAGCGCTTCAGACCACACCTGTCTTCCCACAGTGGGAGCTGGGAGGGGGAACTGAAGCGTTCTCCTTCAGTGAACCAAGAACGGGGATAAACCAGCGTCGCCATCTTCACATGGACGCAACGTGGGACACACGGCCTCTCCAAATTTCCTTAACCGCGTCTGCTATAAAAATCTGCATCCAGCGAGTCCATTACTTACATACATGCTTTCCCTGCTTCCTTTCTTATGTGAAGCCTCATGGCACTTGTGCCTCTCAACTGGTTTTCCTTGAATCCTGCATCTGCATGAACGCTCTTAAAAACATTTTCTGCATTTGAATCATAGATAAGTCCTGCCTATGCTCTAGGTGGAAAAATGATATGAAAAAATCTGCAATTCATTAGCTGCATTTTACAGCGTAGAGTGGGTCTGGCTAATCAACCTAATCAAAATTATACAAAAAAAGCGTATCATAATTATCTGGCAAGATGAGAGGAAAGGAAGATAAAAATAATTTTATGGAAAATGACAGGGCAGCTGCATTAACATCGTCCCAATTTCCAAGCTTGTTTCTGAAACTTCCTGTCAAGGCATATTTGTAAGTGTCCACATCATTCTCTATAGTTCTTTAAGAGAGGCCGTGGCAATGCCTGATGGTAATGTAAAATTTTCATCCTCATTGCAGTTATTATTAGCGGAATTTAAGATAATGCCTTCTTATTGACATTGCAGCCACTGTGGCAAAATGAAGGTCCTAGGGGGCAGACAGCAAAGGAGACGGCAGAGCAGGAAGGGGAGGGGGCTGAAAGGCTGAGAGACCAGGTCTGCTCTCTGCTGCCAGGAAATATTGTGATACAGCCGATGACTCAGGGTGGGAGGACATGAAGCCATCTCAGAAGCCACAGAAGGCTCTGCTACCACCTCTGTCCCTCAGATATGATGCCCAACTATGGTTGGTTTAATTTTTCATGGATCTCCCATAAGAGTTTACGGACTAACAACATGAATATCTTTCTATCAAATGCCTCAGCCACTTTCACCAGAAATTCCTGTCCAGCTTGTAAGTTGGGTCTGAATTGGTTTTACCCTGATGACTCTGAATCAGCGTGAACCTCCTTCGAGTGTCTGGATGGCTGTTCTGGGCTCTCACCAAAGGCCTCAGCCGTCGTGATCAAAACATCACAGACCATGGAGGACCCTGGGTCGGCGGGCACCGCTCTGGGGCAGAGCCGTCCAGTCGCAGGCCTAAGCCAGAAGGTTTCCAATTTCCCTTTTTCTTTTGAAGTGTCCCTGCGCAATGAGGATCTAAGGAACTCATGTCCGTGTCTTAAAATAATCATGGATGTTTTCTTTTTTAAATCAGAAATGATGAATTCTGGAAATCAAGGCCATTGACTCTGTTGGACCAGGCAGTGATACGGGTCTGACTGCTGACAAGAAGCCCTGCAAAGCTGAGAGCTGTGGCTGAGCCAGCTCACTGTTCATTCAGAAGCTCATGGAGCTCAGAGCCCAGGAGGCTGTGGCCTTGGCACCTGGAGGGCCTGCCCTGGCTGCTCTCTGGCACCTCACCAGCTCCTCAGCCCACGCTGGCTCCCAGGAAGGAAGCCGGCTTTGTCTTTCTTCCTTCCAGCTGCCTCCACATGGACTGCTGTGGTCCTCTTCCTAGAACAGTGTTTGAAATGGGGCAAAACATCCCAGTTTCCATATCACGCTAAACCCATGGGCAAGAACACTGTTGCCCACCTTTTTAAGACTCTTTTTAAAAGGAGTTTCATTCTCATTACTATATTGTGTTGCTATGTTTGAAACTAACAGGCACTAATCAATGAACAATTGTGAGCAAACCACAGCTCCCAGACCCTTACAAAAGCCCTGTGGTCTGTGGCTGCTCCTGGCAGCCCTGCCTGCCTCCCTGGTCCCCATGTCCTGCACATGCCTCCCTGGTCCCCACATTCTGCACCTGCCTTCCTGGTCCCCACGTCCTGCACCTGCCTCCCTGGTCCCCACCTCCTGCACCTGCCTCCCTGCTCTGTGTAGACGCCCTCAGGTCCTGCTCCCTGAGCCTCCTGCACAGCAGTTCAGCCTTCCCTTGTCCTCACGTTCTGCGCCTGCCTCCCTGCTCTGTGTAGACGCCCTCAGGTCCTGCTTCCTGAGCCTCTTGCACAGCAGTTCAGCCTTCCCTTGTCCTCACGTTCTGCGCCTGCCTCCCTGCCCTGTGGAGACGCCCTCAGGTCCTGCTCCCTGAGCCTCTTACACAGCAGTTCAGCTTCTGGGTCCGTCAAGCCAACAGCAGGTGTGCTCATCTCCACGTGGCGCCTGGAGACTCTGGAAACACACCGCGGCCTCACGCACGTCCAGCCCAGTCTCTGCCCGCCACGCTCACTTCCTCACGCGTGGGGCAGAGTCTAGAGGGACGCATTTTAAAGCCTGGGCTGGGTCACTTCCTCATGAAAACCTTCTGAGTTTCCCCACAAAGTACGGACTCCCTGGACCCCTCAGGGCCTCTCATCAGCCACAGATCACTCCCTGCAAACGCCCAGCAGCAGCTCGGTGCACCGCTGCCCTTCCTGCCGGCACCGAGCGTGGTTTATCTCCCAGGCTGCCGCGGGGCTCCCTTGCGCCTCTCCGGCCGCGCGCGCCGGAGGCTCACTCAAGCCAGCTCCAAGGAGGAGGCAGTGCCGGAGGGAAGAACAGGTGCGCCAGGGCCCGAGCACGGGACGTGAGGATGGCCGGGCTGTGGGAGGGCTAAATGCTCCAAGACCATCCGCCCTCTTCTCCTGGGTCCCTGTCCTCGCTCGTGTCTTTGCTTCTTTCTCTCTTTGTCATCTCTTCCTGCGTCTCCCTCCTCTTCTGGTCCAGCCTGATGCCCCGAACGAGGGTCCCACGCCCATCCCCACATCCACGCACGGCTGCCTGCAGCTCCTACTCTGTGTTTGGGGCGGGGAGACGCCGAGGGCTACAGCTGTGGAAGGAAGCGCATCCCAGGTCAGGTGAGGCTGGCCGGGGCGGCCGTGGGAACCACCGCGCAGGGACTCCCGGAAACCGTGGGGAGGGGGCGGGAGAAGCCAGCCGAGCAAGCCGCCCACCCCGTGGCCCACGAGAGCGAGCCATGCCAGTGAGCTGGGCTTGTTGAGCCTTTTTTGTTAACTACAAGGTCCTCTGCAGGACTACCGTGTAAAAAATTAAAAATGCATATAAATTACTCAGAGCAGACGTTCCATACATTCTGTGATTATTTTTAATACATTCTTTAAAAAGAAATGCAATGATTTTCAGCAAATGCTAGGCTATGTTTCTAGTGTAAAGACACATGAACTGACCACAACAGACAGAGGGTGGAGATTAGAACTCTGAGGAAGGCAAGCCTCGTGCAGCGTTGACCACGGTGCTGTCCTGCCCAGCTATCAAGAAGCAGATCAAACGGCTTTCCACGTTTCTTTTAAAAGAGAAACAGTGACTTGAAAAGCAAGTGTTCTGAATCTCAAAATATCCTTAAAACCCACACGTTCTCAAGCACATCACATTTGACATAACTGTGTGATTCCTCCCAGACCGTCATGTGAGCATGACACGGGGTGACAGATGTCACACAGCCACTTGGATGCTTTCATTTCTTGTGAGCATGGTGATTTTCCAGCCCTGCTGTGAAGACATCACCAACTTTCCCCCGAGGAACACAGACCTGGTTCCACAGGAGGGCTGAGAGCAGTCATTGGGGCCCCTCCTACCTGGCCCTTCTCCACGGGGGGACCCTGGCATCAGAAGGATAATCGGGTCGGGCTGGAAGCTTGAGCCTGAGACATGATCAACCCACTGGGTGCCCTGACATGAGTTTAGTTTTCTGGGCCAGCCAAGGAGTCAGAGATTTTTTAAATTCCCCTTCTGGGAGTCTCATGTCTTAGAAAATAAAATCTGGCCTGGTGCGGTGACTCATGCCTGTAATCCCAGAACTTTGGGAGGCTGAGGCGGGTGGATCACCTGATGTCAGGAGTTCGAGACAAGCCTGGCCAACAAGGTGAAACCCCGTCTTTACTAAAAATACAAAATTAGCCGGGCGTGGTGGTTCATGCCTGTAATCCCAGCCATTCAGGAGGCTGAGGCAGTAGAATCACTTCAACCTGGGAGCTGGAGGTTGCAGTGATCCAAGATCATACCACTGCACTCCAGCCTGGGCGACAAAAGCAAAACTCCATCTCAAAAAAAAAAAAAAAAAAAAAAAAGAAAAAGAAAAAGAAAAAGAAAATCCAATAAAGTATCATCTCACTTTGACCCTTCCTCTTAAGATTTTTCTGGAAAAGGCTTTGCCATTGGAAAGAAAAGTGTAAATCTTTCTATCTCCACCTCCAGGCTGGTCTCTGAACGGTCACGCTCATCAGTTATCACACTATTTTGTTTGTTTTAATGGCCTTGTACATGGATCATGTAGGAAAACGTAAAACTAGGCTCCAGGAGGTTTTAAAAATGCCTCCTTCAACCTTCTTTCATTTTTGATGGTTTTTAAAATTTTTTTTTTATTTTTTGAGATGGGGTCTCGCTCTGTCACCAAGGCTGGAGTTCAGTGGTGTGATCTTGGCTCACTGCAAGCTCCGCCTCCCAGGTTCACGCCATTCTCCTGCCTCAGCCTCCCAAGTAGCTGGGACTACAGGCACCCGCCACCACGCCCAGCTAATTTTTTGTATTTTTAGTAGAGATGGGGTTTCACCATGTTAGCCAGGATGGTCTCGATCTCCTGACCTCGTGATCTGCCCGCCTCGGCCTCCCAAAGTGCTGGGATTACAGGCGTAAGCCACCCTTCCCAGCCTTTTCTTTTCTTTTCTTTTTTTTTTATATGGAGTTTCGTTCTTGTTTCCCAGGCTGGAGTGCAATGGCGTGATCTCAGCTCACTGCAACCTCTGCCTCCCGGGTTCAAGCGATTCTCCTGCCTCAGCCTCCCAAGCAGCTGGGATTATAGGCATACACCACCATGCCTGGCTAGTTTTGTAGGTTTTTTTTTTTATTATTATTAGTAGAGATGGGGTTTCACCACATTGGTCAGGCTGGTCTAGAACTCCTGACCTCAGGTGATCCGCCCGCCTCGGCCTCCCAAAGTGCTGGGATTACAGGTGTGAGCCACTGCGTCCAGCCTGTTCTTTTATCTTGTTAACATAACTCTTTATTTGGCAAATCACTGATGAGTGATGGACTAGGCCAGGTCAGGGCTCAGCCAGCCGTGCGTTTGCTTCAATGCTGTATTTCTGGGTTTAAGCAAAATATGTGTGTGGGAACGTGCCCTGCCATGGGTGCAGAGAGCTTCTGCCAGTGAAACATGACCCTGAGTATTAGGAAGAAAGACAGAGTCAGCACTGAGATGCCCCCATCACCCATCCTCTTCCTCTTCCAAGACAATCTGGAGACAAATCCATTTAAATCACATGTGGACTCCAAAGAGACATAAAAACAAGACCCGGCTTTTGGAGACTGAAAACCTACATCTAGCCCCACGTTTCCTGTGTTCTGAAAAGCTCAGCAGGCGGAGGGGGGATGTTCGGTACAGTGGTGGTTAAAGGCTCTCTGCCTGTAGCCAGACAGCCGGGGTTCGGCTCTGCACTGCGCGGGGCGTCCCTGGGACTCACTGCCAACCCTTGGCATCCGTGCCTCTCTCTGCAAGAGAGATACTAATTGCACCTGTCTTACAGGGGCTGGTGAGGACTAATCTATGTAAAACATTTATCACAGGGACTGGAGCTCTCATGAAAAACAAAAGTCACGCCAGCACTACCCAATTTACATACGCAGCTGAGATACTTTCACAATGAATCCCACCGGGGTAAATAATCATAGCATTCACATTTTCCATCCCAACAAAGTCTTCCAGGCCAAAATTCTGTTGGCTATTCATATTACTTTATCGCAACGCAGAGACACCAAAAATTAACAGCCAGCTTGGACCGCAGGGGGCTTCTGATGAGGCACAAGGAAAAGACTACCTTGAAATCAACTATTTTCTTCATCTTACGGTTGGCCAACCCCTTTGCATAATAGGAATGATAAAGGACACAGAAATGAATGACTCACCGAAATGAAAGAGCAAACTCTACCATTTATTGCTTTCAAGAATCGATAAGCAGGGGAAATGAAACGCACAGCCTTCCCCTCTGCTTATGAATTAGGTCCTCCATCAAGTAAACACCACTTTCCCCACCCCCTTTCAGGATGGATCCAATTTTCAGATGTCCATTTGCAATTAATTAGTGGCTAAATGTGCCGCTGTGTTTTCTCACCTTGGCAGTAAATCCTGCCAGCTTCCCAGGACAATGCTTCCTATGCAAAAACAAACAGAGGTCACTTTCGTCCCCAGAGTGCCTGAGGGATGAAAGCTTGAGAGGCGGCTAATCATCCCTGCGCCCAGCATCTTATTCTGTCCCCACCGCCCCCAATCCCCGCCTGGTTTGGCAGCGGAGTAAAGGTCAGGAAGTCCTGCAGTTTTTGAAAAGGAGCATCGTGTTAGACCTGACTGACTCCAGACTCACAGCCTCTCTCCTTTCAAGGCCGCTGAAGAAACACTGGCCTGCTGGCTGCTGTCCCAGCGTTGCCCCCCTGCCTGGGCTCACCCTGCTCCACCCTCAGAGGCCTTTGTGCTCTCAGCTGGTGCTATGCAACTGGAAGCAGGTGCTCCTTTCGATTGTTTCAGCATCATTTGTGAAATGCTAATAAATTAACATGTTCCCAGAGGTTATTTTCTGTAAGTTGCATGTGGCTAACGCTGCAGCCTGACCTTCAGTCTCCAGGATGCGCCGTCATCTCCCTCAACCTCCAGCTTCGTGACTCATTCCAAGCTACTTTCTTGTTCCTTTGTACCTGGCTAATGACTGATCTTCATCAAGGAGGGGGCTAGAATAATGACCCTCCATTCACAAGCCTTCCGGCATTCCCAGCAACATGCACCTCTCATACTGAGGAGCCGACTGGTGGGTGGGGGTGGCTGCCATCCAAATGCCATGTCCCGGACCAGGTCTATTCCATTGGTTTGACCATTGCCCTGGGCATCTCCGGTGTCAATGGAGAGAGGAATAGAGAAAGGAGGGCCTTGTGGGGTGGGGGTGGCTGCCATCCAGGTGCCGCGTCCCGGACCAGATCTATTCTGTTGGTTTGACCATTGCCCTGGGCATCTATGGTGTCGATGGAGAGAGGAATAGAGAAAGGAGGGCCTTGTGGAGCAAGAGTGGCCAGAATCACGGATGCTGTTGGCCACCTGAGGAAAGCCAGGGCTGAAAGCATGCTCTTCACACCGCGAGGAGCTCCTGAAAATGTCATGGAAACTCTGAGAAAATATGCTATGTCTACACACACCACGTCTCACATGAGCTGAGGGGTGCTCATGTTCCTTCATGCCTGTATGTGTCCTCCTGGCTGCAAATTCCTGAAGGAAAGGGAAGGAGGGCTGGCACCCATACCCCAGACAGTTCAGAGAAAGCCACCAGTGTCCCAGTCTGAAGGAGGAGTAAACAAAGATGGCTACAGGCTCATGGGTAAGATGAATGGAAGAGAGTGGACAGACACCCAGATTTAAAAAACAGAGGGCATTTCATTAATTAGCAGCAGTTAAGTTCCCATGAGCAAGACGGCAAATGGGGAAAAGAAATGCTGTGATTTCTGAAGGTCACATTTACCCCTTACGTAGGGGGAATGAAAGTAAATTAAACCCTACGAACAGAGAGTGACAGGCAGCGCTAAACCAGCAGATAATCCCCTGCCTCCCACCACTGAAAATGCATTTTCCACCAGACTGACAGGTGCTCTGCCTGGGGCAAAATGACTCAGGGTCACTCTGCCATCCCGACACCGGCATCTGGAATCAGGTCTATTCATTCCATGGTTGGGACTATCATTTCATTAGGCACCTTTTTTTTTTTCTTTCTCACCTTTCAATTATTCTAGGCCACATAATCTGGTTTCTTGTGGGCTCTGAGTCTATGAACCGATAATAATCCATATGTTTAAACATGAGAAAATAAATGTCAGGGAAGTAAATAAGCGAGCTACTTTGGATGCACATTCCTGGGTGCAGATGGGCAGAAGGAGGCTGTTTATCATGGCCACAGACAGGTGAGCTGTGAGGAATTAGGAACCACAGTAGACAGGCTCTGAAGATGACCACCGGGCTGCCGGCTCTCAGGCTGTGCAGCTGCGTTTCTGAGCCAGAATTTCAATAAAAGAGCAAGGTTCCTCAAAGTTAAGGCCAAATGGAGACAGTGAACTTGAATCGGCCCAGCAGGGACAGGCAAAGCGGAGATTCACAGGGGTGGGGAGAGAGGCTGGTTTCAGAAGGAAAGGACAGAGCCGGAGGGTGGGGAGGCAGCCTGTCCAGCTGGCCTTCCACAGCCCTGCCACCAACATGGCCTGGGACACTCCATGTCTGTCCAGTACCCTGTGTTATGGTCCAGTACCTTCCAGCCGTCATCTGAGACCTGACCTAGGCAAAGAGGGTGGGTGGGATCTCTCATCCTGGACAGGTGCGCATCCACCCCCGCAACTTCCTCTCCCATCTGACAGCCAGCTGGTGACATTCCCAGCAGGTGGGTCAAGCCCTCTTGAGATAAAAGGCTATGTGTGCAGTGCCTGCGGCAGTGACGTGATTAATTGTGTCTGCGGTGGAGGCTTTGCTCTGAAGGAATGACCTGAGAATAAACCTGTCTTCACAGGTGTTTAGGTTCCTGGAGGGTCACACAAAGCATACAGATCACAATGTCCGTCTGACTTGGCAGAACAGGCTGGTGGGTGGCTGACAGCACTCAGCCATCACGGGTGGGTCTGCAGAAGGGGCTGGTGGGTTGGCCGACAGCACTCGGCCATCACGGGTGGGTCTGCAGAAGGGGCTGGTGGGTGGCCGACAGCACTCAGCCATCACGGGTGGGTCTGCAGAAGGGGCTGGTGGGTGGCCGACAGCACTCGGCCATCAAGGGTGGGTCTGCAGAACGGGCTAGTGGGTGGCTGACAGCACTCAGCCATCAAGGGTGGGTCTGCATAACGGGCTGGTGGGTTGGCCAACAGCAGTCAGCCATCACGGGTGGGTCCGGCTCCAGGAGAGGGGGAGAGACTGGCTTCTGAGGAATGTCACCGATGGGGACAGCACTAACATTTGCCCTGGGAACTGAGGGGGGAACCATGAGGAGGTGTGTGATGAAAATACCCAAGCTGGTGTCAGCGGAAATCAGTTTGACTCAGCTCAAAATACCCACGCTGCGCTCAGCCGAACTATAAAAAACAGGAAGGAACAGGTGACGCCCTTGGAGTGTAGAGGGGAAGAAAGGAAGTCACAG
This sequence comes from Homo sapiens, assembly GCF_000001405.40. Lineage (NCBI taxonomy): Eukaryota > Metazoa > Chordata > Mammalia > Primates > Hominidae > Homo > Homo sapiens. The sequence continues at coordinate 1,476,392 of NC_000008.11, read as the reverse complement.
GCGCGATGGGAATAGATTTACTTTGTGATGCAGCCGAGAATGTGCTGCAGGATTATTATTAGGATTGTATTGCTCTCTCACGTAGATGTATGTGTAAATAAGACTTCAGAGGGATTAAAAAATATCATTCAGATGACACTTCAAAAACGTACAGAAATGGAACTAAAAGCTAAGAGATGTACCAGGACGAGCCACGCATCCATGAAAGCACCTTTGCTCATGAAGTCGGTGGGAGTCAAAGCAGGTCTTGAGTTTCACAGAGTGAACGGGCTCACTGTCTTGTTCTTCAGACACTGGTTACTGTACGCCCTATAATCCCAACAGAACAGTGATGCCCTCTTTTGAAGGATGCCCTGGGCTCCTCATATTTCCTTATTCAAAAGGAGTGTTGGCCAGCTCTGCCTCCAGCAAAATTAAACTTGAGAAGAGTAACTACAAAAACCATTTTTCTTTATAATGAAGAAGACATTTTAATGAAATCCTAGAAGAGCTACTTCTAAGATTTCCTAGGGGAGAGAAAAAAACAAGAAATGGGACCTGAAAATTGAACCTTTCCATTTGGTTACAAAGAGTAATGATCTCCTATAAATCACACACTAGAAGCATTATTGAATAGTTGGTGAACAGTAATTCTGTCTGACAAGCCTTTTGTTGAGCTCCCCAAGCCGGCAGGTGCCACTCGTGTTCTGCCGTGGACCACGCGAGGGTTCTGTCTTCCTCTCCGCTCGGCCTTGCGGTGGGTCCCGGGATGACAAGCAATGTTCCTGAATTATGGGGGTCAACGACTTTGTAGGGCTTTAGGGTGGTGACCTGACCCAGTATGGAAGACGTTTACTCCCAGCCGCTCATTGATCCTCACGAAACAGCCTGCAACAATCAGCGGGGCACCTCCAAAGCAAAACGCTGGGGTGCGGAGTGCTCTCATTTTGATGCCTGCTCACCATTATGGGCTCTGTTTTCCATACCTAGGGCACTTCAGGGGGATGAAAAGGTATCAGGCTGCTCCATGATTTCTCAGTAGATGCTGTTAGAGTTACAGCTAAAACCTGCTCCCCCGGCTTTTTTTTCTTTTTTAACGTTTATTTTAGAATTGAGGGTACACATGCAGGTGTGTTATGTAGGTTGATTGTGTGATGCTGAGGTTTGGGGTATGACGGATACTGTCACCCAGGTAGTGAGCACAGTAGTTCCCGGTGTCTTGTTCCCGTCTCTGTGTCCACGTGTGCCCAATGTTTAGCTCCCACTTATGAGTGAGAACGTGCAGTATTTGTGTTGATTCACTTAGGATAGTGACTCTGACTACACCCGTGTCTCTGCGAGGACATGATCTCATTCTTCCTGATGGCTGCGTAGTATTCCATGGTGTGTATGCACTATATTTTCTTTATTCAATCCCCCTTTGATGGGCATCTAGGTTGAGGCCATGTCTTTCCTGTTGCGAATAGTGCTGTGATGTCTGTATGGGGGCATGTGCCCTTTGGAAGAATGATTTATTTTTCTTTGGCTATATACCTAGTAATAGCATTATGGGGTCAAACGGTAGTTCAACTCTCAGTTCTTTGAGAAATCTACAAACTGCTTTCCACAGGGGCTGAACCAATGTACGCTCGCACTGGCAGTGTATAAGCATTCCCTTTCCCCATAGCCTTGCCAACCTGTTAAACAGGTTATTTTTAACCTTTTAACAAAAGCCATTTTTGACTGATGTGAGATCGTATCTTACTGTGGTTTTGATTTGCATTTCTCAGATGATTACTGATGATGAGCATTTTATCATGTTTTCTGCCCACTTGTATGTCTTCTTTCTTTTGAGAGGTGCCTACTCATTGGTCATAATCAAAGAATCAAAAAATAATGTTGGCGTGGACGTGATAAAAAGGAAACACTTCTGCACTGCTGGTGGGAATGTAAACCAGTACAACCACTATGGAAAACAGTGAGGAGATTCCTTGAAGAACTAAGAGTAGACCCACCGTTTGACCCAGCAACCCCACTCCTGAGTATCTACCCAGAGGGAAAGAAGTCGTATGAAAAAGACACTTGCACACACGTGTTTATAGCAGCACAATTCACAATCACAAAAACACGGAACCAGCCCAAATGCCCATCAATCAATAAGTGGATAAAGAAACTGTGGTATACATATACCATGGAATACAAATCAGCCAAAAAACGGAATAAAATAATATCATTCTCAACAACCTGGATGGAGTTGGAGACCATTATTCTAAGGGAAGTAACTCAGGAATGGAAAGCCAAATATTGAATGTTCTTGCTTGTAAGAGGGAGCTAAACGATGAGGATGCAAAGGCGTAAGAATGATACAATGGACTTTGGGGACTCGGGGGGAAGGGGTGAAGGATAAAAGACTACACATTGGGCAGAATGTACACTGCTCATGTATTAGTCTGTTTTCATGCTGCTGATGAAGACATATACAAGACTGGGTAATTTACACAGAAAAAGAGGTTTAATGGACTCACAGTTCCACATGGCTGGGGAGGCCTCACAATCATGGTGGAAGGTGAAAGGCAGGTCTTACATGGTGGCAGACAAGAGACAATGGAAGCCAAGCAAAATGGGAAACCCCTCAGAAAATCATCAGGTCTCATGAGATGTATTCACTACCATGAGAACAGTATGGAGGGACCCACCCCATGATTCAGTGATCTCCCACTGGGTCCCTCCCACAACAGTGGAGATTATGGGAGCTGCCATTCACAATGAGATTTGGGTGGGGACACAGCCAAACCATACCATAGCCTACACCGTATTCAAGACAGCGCATCCCATCACCCCAAAGCTCGCTTGAGCCCTGCTGCAGCTAAACCCCTCCCCAGTCTCCAGCCCCTGGAAACCACAGATGCAGCTTTTTCCCTTCAGTTCTGCCTTTTTGAGAATGTGATATGTGTAGAATCAAACTGCAAGCAGCCATTTTCTGGTTGTTTTACAACGTGGACCAACTGAACACCTTCGCCTCCAGCCCCGCAGTGGATCTGAGATTCTCCCTCACTGCAGGCTCCGTTCTCCGTTCCTCTCATCCCTGAGTGGCAGTCTGCTGGGCGGAGGAACCTTCTTCTGTTCATCTACTCAGCCCCTGAAGGGCATTGGGTGGTTACAGGTTTTTGGTGATTATGAATAAAGCCGATATAATCATTTGTGGGCTGGGCACGGTGGCTCACGACTGTAATCCCAGCTCTTTGGGAGGCCAAGACGGATGGATCATCTGAGGTCAGGGGTTTAAGACCAGCCTGGCCAACATGGTGAAATGCTGTCTCTACTAAAAATACCAAAATTAGCCAGGTGTGGTGGCAGGTGCCTGTAATCCCAGCTGCCTGGGAGACTGAGGCAGGAGAATCGCTTGAACCTGGGAGGCGGAGGTTGCAGTGAGCTGAGATCAAGCCACTGCACTCCAGCCTGGACAAAGCAAGAGTCCATGTCAAAAAAAAAATTGTGTGAATTATATTGTGAGGACATAAGTTTTCCCTCATTTTAGGGAAATATTTAGGAATGGAATGTATGGGCCATGTGAAAAGTATATGCTTAACTTTTTAAAAACTGCTAAACCAGTTTCTAAAGCAGTTACTCTGTTTTGCATTTTATGGGAGTTCAACTCACTGTGCATCCTTGTCACCCCAGCTAGGGTTTTTCTAATTTTAGTCATGATAGGGTTAACTTTCTGCAGAGACCACTGTGGCTGGCTGGCAGCTGCACCCCTTGCCTCATCTGTAGAAAATACCTGCTGAGCTTCGATTCTGAACCTGTATATCTTGAGGATTGTTTACATCATGTATTATTCCATCCTCCTCAATCTGACCTCAGCGTCTCCACTGCTGGCACTCGGGCCCGAGACCCTGACATTTCCTGCTTCATCTCCTTGCTTCTACCCTTGTCCTTGTTTAGTGATTTCAAAAGAAACAAAGTGGAAGCAATTCTGGAAATATGTATACCAGACCATGTCATTCTCACTAAAAAACAAAATGAAAATCACCAACATAACAAAACCAACTGCAAGGGCCACACCCGCTTTGGGATTTACCAGAAGGGCCTGAAGGGATGATGGCACCTGCGCCCCTGGCCTCCCTCCCAGCTGCGTCCTCTCCTGCTCCGGCCCTGCATCTGGTGCACAGCCGCTCTACCGCATGGCTCAACCCCCCTCCCCTCCCAACATGGCGGCAGGCATCCCTCCTGCTGCAAGGATTTCCTCCAGCATCACCTCCCCAGTGCGGCCCCGTCTGAGCTCTGCATGTCCTGCTCTGCGTTCTCACTGTGGAGGGGCACTTGTTTACGCCTCAGGCCCTCTGTCTCACTCCCACGCTCAATCGTGGCTGCTATGAGACCAGGGCTTGTTGGTGCTCACTGCTTTATCCTTAACGTAGTGCCTGGCACAGAGACCACCGCTAAATACAAGTTTATTTAATGAAGGATTAAAGAACGATTTAATGATGTTGTACTGGGCACAAGAAGTGGTTGCAATCACAACCGTTTACGGACCGCAGGCCTGCGCAGAGCCCCATTCAACTGTCACGGCACTTGTGAGCTCCTGGAAGAAAAGAAGACTTGGAGAGTTTGATGTGATTTCACCCAGCTTTAGCCACAAAGGTGGGATTTGAACCCAAGGATGGGAGTAGCAAGGGTGAATTCCTACACAGCATGGTCCGTCACCAGCTGCTGATGGATATGAACCCTTCTTGGTCTTGAAGAGGCATTTCCCATGCTCATAAAGGGAGGTGTGTGGGGTGGTTGTTTGAGGATCCCTTAATTCAGGGATGAGTGGGCTGTGGGCAGGAGGTGAGAGGAGGTTAGGAGGGAGGCTGGGGAGGGGAGGGCGTCGCAGAGGAGGTTAGGAGGAGGCTGGGAGGGGAGGGGAGGGCATCGCAGAGGCTGGGTTGGCCATGGTGCACAGGCCTCTGACAGAGGTGAGGAGGCTGGGGATGTCCTGCGTCACAGGCAGATGGAAGCCTTGTTTGGGAGCTGTGCTGGGGACAGAGTGTGGAGGTCAGCAGCTGGCGGGAAAGGCTGGAGGGGTCGGGAAAAGCTGGAGGGGTCGGGAAAGGCTGGAGGGGTCGGGAAAGGCTGGAGGGGTCGGGAAAAGCTGGAGGGGTCGGGAAAGGCTGGAGGGGTCGGGAAAGCCTGGAGGGGTCGGGAAAGGCTGGAGGGGTCGGGAAAGGCTGGAGGGGTCGGGAAAGGCTGGAGGGGTCGGGAAAGCCTGGAGGGGTCGGGAAAGGCTGGAGGGGTCGGGAAAGGCTGGAGGGGTCGGGAAAGCCTGGAGGGGTCGGGAAAGGCTGGAGGGGTCGGGAAAGGCTGGAGGGGTCGGGAAAGGCTGGAGGGGTCGGGAAAGGCTGGAGGGGTCGGGAAAGCCTGGAGGGGTCGGGAAAGGCTGGAGGGGTCGGGAAAGGCTGGAGGGGTCGGGAAAGCCTGGAGGGGTCGGGAAAGGCTGGAGGGGTCGGGAAAGGCTGGAGGGGTCGGGAAAGGCTGGAGGGGTCGGGAAAGGCTGGAGGGGTCGGGAAAGGATGGAGGGGTCGGGAAAGGCTGGAGGGGTCGGGAAAGCCTGGAGGGGTCGGGAAAGGCTGGAGGGGTCGGGAAAGGCTGGAGGGGTCGGGAAAGGCTGGGGGAGTCGGGAAAGGCTGGAGGAGTCGGGGAAGGAGTCGGGGAAGGGGAGGCCGTGGTCGGTGATGCCTTCATCATGGAATATCCACGTGGAGCTACAGGATCTTAAAATGGTAGGATTGTGCCGAGAGATTAGTCACTTTCACTTTTGTTCTGTTAAACTATTTATTCAGTGGCTTGGGATTTAGTCAAACATCAAATATTTAAGAGAGAATAGAATAGGATTCCAATATGTGCTTCTGCGTGTGACTGGCCCATGGATTTTGTTGTATTTAAACGATTCTGTGAAAGTATTCAGAAGAGAGCAGGTGGCGGGAGGGATTTCAGCAGGGATGATATTAAACATATCTATCAGCTGCCATGCCACTGCATCGGCCACTCAGAATGAATCCAGCTCCCACTGTGGTGGACTCAGGTTGTAAGGAACCAGCGGGGCTCACTTGGTGGCACCAGCTGAGGGATGAAGGATGGCATTGGGGGCTGAGAAGTGCTGGATGGAGCACCTGGCTGCCAGGACTTAACACAGGCGACAGTGTAGACGTCCAGCGAGACAGCGGAGTGAAGCATCCATGGTCTGGCATGATCCTGTCTTTCAGCAGCCACAACTGAGGCTTTTCTTTGGAGACAGGGTCTGGCCCTGTCACCCAGGCTGCAGTGCGGTGGCATGATCACAGCTCATTGCAGCCTTGACCTCCTGGGCTCAAGTGATCCTCCTGCCTCAACCTCATGAGCAGCTGGGATCGCAGGCACACACCACCAGGCTTGGCTAATTTTTTTTTCTTTTTTTTTTTTAGGGATGAGGTCTCCCTATGTTGCCCAGGCTGATCTTGAACTTCTGGGCTCAAGCAATCCTCCTGCCTCAGCCTCCCAAAGTGTGGGATTACAGGCATAAACCACCACGCTTGGCCCTCAAATGAGTTTTATAGGAGTCTGTATTTTGTGCATCTCCTGGAGAAATAATCGAGGGTCATACATGGACTTTTAAAGTTGGTTCCTCTCAAACAATGGCAGCACTTCAAGGAGGGCCCATTTCTGGGGTTGGTTTTATTTAGGGCAACAAATAATAAATTTAATACAAAAAAGAATTCTCAGGCACGTGCAGAGCAGGTGCTTCTGACGTGAGAATCATCTTGGGGTGAGGCAGATGCATTGGTGATTTCACGTTGCCCAAGAGCTGCCAGTGAAAATACGAATACGTGGGAGGTTCTTCTGAGGAAGCTCAGTAAGGCAGCGAAGGAGCAGGCAAGGTCCTCAGCAGCAGACGTCTCTCTCCAGGCTGCTTTCCAGTAGCTTCCGAAGAAACCTCTCCTGCACAGGAAATGGCAGAGAGGGATGTACTGCAGTTTGCTGCCCTTGGTGGCCACATGGAGGGTCTCCTGAGGAGATGGTGGCCACGCATTAACAGCCGGCTCCTAGGAGCCAGAATAAAGCCCGCTTCGCTCTCGTACGGGGCCTGCTGGGCAGGGAGCAGCTCAGAGCTGAATGCCGCAAGGTGTTGTCCTGGGAGCCAGGGTGGCTGCTGTCACGGCCACTGCTGCTGGCCACAGCCACCCTTCACTGTGCAGGAGCTGGGCGAGGGGAGGAAGCCCCAGGACTGGAGGATCTGCCACAGCTTTTAGGGCAGGCCTCTGCCTGGTGCTCACATCCCAGCTGGACACGGGGCGCCCAGCATGGATTTCTTTCATAGAATGAATGACAGGACATGTCATGCGTTGAACTGTGTCCCCTAGAAGGATGTGTTGACAGCCTCATCCCGGAGCCTGTGACTCTGACCTTGGTCTTTGCAGTGGCCCCAAGTTCAGATGAGGTCGTACAGAGGGAAGGTGGTCCTAATACCAGGACGATGTCTTTCTAAGGAGAGAGAGAGGCTGGAGTGAGCACAGCAGGATGGACACGGGAAGAGAGTCTGGGCCGGGCAGCGTGGCCCCAGGATGACGGTCACCACAAGCTGCTGGCATCCATGGAGAGTGGGAGGGAAGAGGAGGGTTTTCAGAGCCTGCAGTGGGAGTGCAGCTCTGCCCATGCCTCAGCTTTGGTCTTCTGGCATCCAGAATGGCGAGAAGATGCCTTTCTGTGGTTTACACTGCCCAGGCTGGAGTCACGTTTTACGGCAGCCCCAGTAAATAAAGCGAGGAATGCACTGGCCCCAAAGCACAGGCTTCCCAGGTTTCCTTCAAGGGTGGAGGGATGCCGGGGTCCTGACCTGGTGGCACCAGGAGCCTAAGGCTTGGGATCCATGTGTTGGAACAGGTGTGGTTCTCAGAACCCACCATGGCTGCTAAGGACTCAGGGCCAGCCCGGATCCATGCGATGTGAACCGGGGAGGTTCTCAGAAGAAACCATGGCTGTTGGGGACTCAGGACCAGCCCGGATCCACGCCGTGTGAACAGGCGAGGTTCTCAGAATGGACTGAGGCTGCTGGGGACTCAGGACCAGCCCAGATCCACGCCGTGTGAACAGGCGAGGTTCTCAGAATGGACCGAGGCTGCTGGGGACTCAGGACCAGCCCGGATCTACGCTGTGTGAACAGGGCACAATTCTCAGAACCGACCGAGGCTGCAGAGGACACAGGGCCAGCCCGGATCCACGCTGTGTGAACTGGGGAGGTTCTCAGAAGGGACCGAGGCTGCTGGGGACTCAGGGCCTGCCTGGACCTCCCTGCTCCTGTGACCCTGGGTCCACGTCTTTGGCAAGTGATTTCTGAAAGTGTCTCTGTACAGGGGTCAAGATGCAAGCCACAGCGCCCCCACTTTGCAGCACAAAGATTCTCTCTTAGAACAGGAGGCTGAAAGAATTAGCACGGTTCCAGCTGGGTAACACTTTTCAAAAATGTGTAGCCTCAGAACGTATTTATTTATTTATGTTTAGTGAAACAAAGCTGTATGATGTGGTGGCCTCCTGACCAGGGGGGATCTGGGATCTCAGAGCCAAGTCAGCTTCTCACCCTGGCGCCACCCCTGCAGCAGGGCGCAGGACCCCAAGGCACTGTGGGACACAGTTTGAGAACCACGGTGGTCTCTGCCACTCTGCCCCCCTTACTGGCAGCAGTGAGCTATGGAGAGCAGCCAGGCCACGCTCCCTTTAGTGATGGGACGTTGCCGTGGTTCTGTGCTGGGGGCTAAAATGTGCAGGCTTATGGGAAGGTGGGCAGGGCAGTCTGTCCACTTGACACGAACACTCCCTGAAACCCTCCCTCTGTGCACACCAAATGCCCGTGGTCTCCCATCCACTCAGCAAACGCCAGCTTGTGCTGGGCTCTGCCAAGGTAATGGGGGTCTGGAGCCGAGGTCACGGAGTCCCTGCCTTCAACGGGTCTAGTGAGGGGGCCTCTTGGTGAGTGGGGGTCCTGGGTCTCTCTGGAGCTCCTGGGAGGTGTCCTGAGGAGGTAGAAGGCAGAGCTCTGGGGGGCTGTGGGGGGCCGTGAATGGGAAGTACAGTCACATGGGGATGGGTCTGAGGAACAGGGACTGCAGGAGGACCATAAGGAGGGCTGGATGTGGATATGAGGGTGCAGTGGGGCTGGGGGGAGGGACCGTGGTGAAGGACACTCAGTGACATCCAACAGAGAAGCCATGCATGACGATGAGAGACCTCCTGGGCCCCTGCTGGACCCCTCCTCCCTCTGGCTGGATCTGGGACTGACCCTCCCAGGCCCCTGCCGGACCCTCCCTCCCTCTGGCTGGATCTGGGACTGACCATCCTGGTCCCGGGGCCGGGCATCCGTCTTCTTTATCACCCGGCAAAATCCCATCTGCCCACATCCCCCCCACTTTCTTGAAGCTTCAAAGTGTTCAGCCTTTCAGCCACTTTTTACAAAAATTTAAAATCACTTCTATAACTAGCTCTCTTTTAAACTAATTTCTAAAAGGTGTGTTTAGGCTGTAGTTAAGGGAAAAAAAAAGAAAAAGTAGAAAAAAGAAAGAAAAGAAGCAGCTTCTCCCTGGCCTGGTAGCTCCTAGGTTCTGGCCACTTCCTGGAAAACAGTAATTACCACACGTCTCACCAACCACATCACACCACTATCCACGCAATGGTGATCATTTCCTTCCTCTCACTGAGAGCTGCATGGCACACACAGCCTCTGTATCTAACAGAGAAATGCCACTGAGCAGAAATAGCAGCAGCTCTTTAATCCAAAATGTTACTACTATGAATTTAGGTAAGTTCTCGGCACCTGAGAGTTCTGGAAAGTACTGAAATTAAGGTTTTTATCACATATGGGCCAGACACACACACATACACACACACACACACACACAAATTGAGATGTCTGGAAAAGTTATACCCTGGTACCTGATACCCTGTGCCAAGAAAAAAAATTCCCTTTTGAGCCACCGTGTCTCCACAGGGTCACTGCACGCGTGGTTCCAGTGGGCAGATTTCCAGCCCAAAAGAGGAAAAGGGAGGGGGGAAATGTCTCCTGCGGCAGCCACGGCTGAGGATGAGGGTCGGCTGGGCCTCATCACTGCTCTGCTTGGCTCAGGTTGCCTGGCACCAAATTGTCAGTTAAGCCATTCAAGTCCAAATGATAAAAAAGCAAAGCCCACTCTGTGGATTAGTAAAGAGTCTAATATTTTATTTTACTGTCGGTTTGACCCCTCTGACTATTTCTCCATGTGGGTCAAGAGCACACTTGACTTCAACCTAAACGCTCCAACACGAATATGGTTAATTTATTACTCAAAATGCAAAGTATGTCAGACAGCACAAGCAGACGGCGCTGTCACGATGGATGCAACCGGCTTTCGCCCACGGTGCCCGCCTCATGACTCCCACGGCCTCTGCTGTAACGTTGGGAGTCTCTCTCTGACCTCCCACTCCGTTCACTGCTCCTTTCTCTCCCCAAGGCAGGGACCTTTCCCGGCCTTTCTGTCATGGCGTTGGCCATAAAGACATTCTCTGACCCACCTTTCTCATTGTGAGTCCCAAAACCCTCACCCCAGAGGGTCCTACCTCACGCCCCTGAGGAAGAAACGCGGCACAGAGGGGCCGGGAAGAGTCTGAACACATAGGCCTTGCTAGTTTCCACCCTTGGTCTGCTAGCAACACAGAGCGCAGCGACTTTCTCCAGTCCCATTTCCACACGGCTGTCTGAGCCTCAGTCACGCCCATCCAGTGGAGTCTCCACAAAACGCCCTAGCACTGGGATCGGGGTTTTTGTGGAGCTTCCAGACACCTGAACCCGTGGAGGTTCCTGGAGGGTGGTGCCCTGGGAGGCACAGAAACTCCATGCCCCTTCCCTTGCTCATCTCTTCACCTGTATCCTTTATAATAAACCACCAAACATGGGTGCTTCCCAGAGTTCTGGGAGCCACTCTAGCAAATTAATGGAACCCCACGCCCCTTCCCTCTGCTCATCTCTTCATCTGTCCCCTTCCCTCTGCTCATCTCTTCCCTTCGCTCTGCTCATCTCTTCATCTGTCCCCTTCCCTCTGCTCATCTCTTCCCTTCGCTCTGCTCATCTCTTCATCTGTATCCTTTATAATAAACCACCAAACATGGGTGCTTCCCAGAGTTTCGGGAGCCACTCCAGCAAATGAATGGAACCCACGTGTGGGGGGCTTGCAGGAGCCTCGGTTTACCACTGGCTGGTTAGAAGCTCCTGGAGCTTGTGATCAGCATCCAAAGTCGTGGGTGGTCTTGGGGACCCAGCCCTCCCCCTGTGGGACCTGAGGTTCCCGCCAGGTGAATGTGCTGAATTAGGGGATCCCTGGCTGGTGACCCCTGCAGAGCTGGTCACCTGCTGGGTGGTGGGGAGAAGCCCCCAACATTTGGTCATCGAAGTCTCCTGTGTTGGTTGCTGTTGAGTGAGAAAATAGAAAAACCACTGTGGTGTGTTTTCCCTCACATGGTTTGTGCTTTTTCTCTACTCAGATACTACTTTTTTTTTGTGAAGAGTGATTCTATGTCCTCCTCTGAAACTCTTGCATAGGAAGGTCAGCTTCTGATATGATAATGATCATCCTGCTGCAATCTGATGGCCTCTCTACGTCCCGGTGCTTCGCTGGAGGCCAGGACGGTGAGGCGTGAGGCAGTGAGCCCTTCTGGCCCCCAAGGTCACTTTCAGCATGGAGAATGAAAGGTGAGGGACGTGTCTCCAGCCCCTGACAGCTCTTCCTGGCCCTGTCTCCCCTCTATCTGCCTTCAGTCATTGGAGACAGTGACTAGCTGCCTGGGAGCTCAGCAGGAAGGGAGCTGTCCTGGAAGAGAGCCGTCCTGGAAGGGAGTCGTCCTGGAAGGGTATTGTCCTGGAAGGGTGCTTTCCTGGAAGGGTGCCGTCCTGGAAGGGAGCTGTCCTGGAAGGTGGCTTTGGGGATGGTGACTTACTGCCTGGGAGCTCAGCTGGAAGGAAGCCAGCCTGAAAGGGAGCTGTCCTGGAAGGATGCCATTCCGGAAGGGTGCCATCCTGGAAGGGCGTTGTCCTGGAAGGGTGCCGTCCTGGAAGGGTGCCGTCCTGGAAGGGCGTTGTCCTGGAAGGGTGCCATCCTGGAAGGGCGTTGTCCTGGAAGGGTGCCGTCCTGGAAGGGAGCCGTCCTGGAAGGGTGTCGTCCTGGAAGGGAGCCGTCCTGGAAGGGTGTTGTCCTGGAAGGGAGCTGTCCTGGACGGGTGCTGTCCTGGAAGGGAGCTGTCCTGGATGGGTGCTGTCCTGGAACGTGGCTTTGGGGACAGTGACTTGCCTGGGAGCTCAGCTGGAAGGAAGCTCTTCAGGAAGGCGGCTGTTGCGACATTCAGTGAATTCTGTTGATTTCCCTTTTTTTCCCATGATACTTTGGTCTTTTTCTTCCAGGTTTCAGCTCCTTCCTCAGTTGTTATGTGCCTGATATTTTTCCTCTTCCCTCAGGACAACTGTGAAAGCTCCACGTGTCCCAGGAGCGCGTGCAGCTCCCTGGAAGGCCCAGGTCACAAGATGGAAAGAAAACCCCAGCAGAGCTTGTGAATCAGCTCAAACCACACCATCGCCTCCACAGCTCCTGAAGCCCTCGTGGCTGCACCTGCTCGCCCACCCCGTGCTCCAGGCCCATCTGACGGAGGAGGGCCTGGGCCGCTCACACCATGTTCAACGTGGCCAGTGCCTGGTCAGCAAGTCTGTTTTCACGAATGCTTGCTGGGAAATGCAAGTGAGATTTGGGTATCCCGACCGCCTCCTGGATGGGATTGCTTTGTTTGACACATGTTCAGAACTCAGGCTTAAACCACTGGACCCCTCAACGCGAGGCCGGACCAGCTCGGGGCCACCCGGGGCAGGAGCGTCCTGGGAACAGGACCCTGAGCCAACCATACCCGAGGCTGCCTGACCCTGGCTTTGGACGGTGGGTTCGAAGGGAGTTCCTGGGGAGCATGGGTGGTCCCTGGACACACTACATAGCCATGCTGGGTTCTCTCTGAGTGGCTTTCTCTGTCAGTTCATCATATGTATTTTATGACACACGTAACGCAGTTGCTCCCACTATTTCATCAATAACCAAAACCAGCACAAACGCTGGGGCCGCTTGTCTCATCAGCACCTTCCCTGATCTTTTTCTTTTGTTTTTTTGAGACAGATTCTTGCCCTGTCACCCAGGCTGGAGTGCAATGGCATGATCTCAGCTCACTGCAGCCTCCATCTCCTGGATTCAAGCGATTCTCCTGCCTCAGCCTCCCGAGTAGCGGGGATTACGGGCACACACCACCACGCCAGGCTAATTTTTGTATTTTTAGTAGAGATGGGGGCTCACCATTTTGGCCCAGCTGGTCTTGAACTCCTGACCTCAAATGATCCACCCGCCTCAGACTCCCAAAGTGCTGGGATTACAGGCGTGAGCCACTACGCCTGGCCCACTTGAACTTTAATTTTACTTCCAACTTCTCATGGAATGGGATGAGGGCAACATGTGTTTGAGCCATTTGCTGGGAAGTAACATTTCCTTCTTGAACTAATCGTTTCAGATAAAATAGATCCTAGAAATCAGAAGCCGCCGCCGTGTGGGGGCCTGAGGGCTGCTGTATCTCACGGAGATGAGGCTTGTTCAGGAGGCATCCCTGGCCTCTGCGGGGGGACGTGGCTCCCTGGGCCTGAGATGGTACATTCCTGGTCCCTTCCCCTTCCCCAGCCACCCACGCTGGCAGCCTGAGTCCTGGAGGCTGAGCTACTGCAGGATGACCGAGTGCGGGAGGAACTGAACTAATTCCCATCCACCCAAGGTAGCCACAGTCCCGTGACAGCAGCACCTTCTCCCAACCTGAACACCGCCCTTCTCCCTCCTCCTGGCCACCAAATCAGCGACTGCACCCAGCCCACGTGACAGCAGCACCTTCTCCCAACCCAAATGCCACCCTTCTCCCTCCTCCTGGCCACCAAATCAGCGACTGCACCCAGTCCTGTGACAGCAGCAGCTTCTCCCAACCCGAATGCCACCCTTCTCCCTCCTCCTGGTCACTGAATCAGCGACTGCACCCAGTCCTGTGACAGCAGCACCTTCTCCCAACCCAAATGCCACCCTTCTACCTCCTCCTGGTCACTGAATCAGCGACTGCACCCAGTCCTGTGACAGCAGCACCTTCTCCCAACCTGAACGCCACCCTTCTCCCTCCTCCTGGCCACCAAATCAGTGACTGCACCCAGCCCACCTGACAGCAGCACCTTCTCCCAACCCAAATGCCACCCTTCTCCCTCCTCCTGGTCATCGAATCAGCGACTGCACCCAGTCCTGTGACAGCAGCACCTTCTCCCAACCCAAATGCCGCCCTTCTCCCTCCTCCTGGCCACCAAATCAGCGACTGCACCCAGCCCACGTGACAGCAGCACCTTCTCCCAACCCAAATGCCACCCTTCTCCCTCCTCCTGGCCACCGAATCAGCGACTGTGCCCAGCCCACGTGACAGCAGCACCTTCTCCCAACCCAAATGCCACCCTTCTCCCTCCTCCTGGTCACCGAATCAGCGACTGCACCCAGTCCTGTGACAGCAGCACCTTCTCCCAACCTGAACGCCGCCCTTCTCCCTCCTCCTGGCCACCAAATCAGTGACTGCACCCAGCCCACGTGACAGCAGCACCTTCTCCCAACCCAAATGCCACCCTTCTCCCTCCTCCTGGTCACCGAATCAGCGACTGCACCCAGTCCTGTGACAGCAGCACCTTCTCCCAACCCAAATGCCGCCCTTCTCCCTCCTCCTGGCCACCGAATCAGCGACTGCACCCAGCCCACGTGACAGCAGCACCTTCTCCCAACCCAAATGCCACCCTTCTCCCTCCTCCTGGCCACCGAATCAGCGACTGTGCCCAGCCCACGTGACAGCAGCACCTTCTCCCAACCCAAATGCCACCCTTCTCCCTCCTCCTGGTCACCGAATCAGCGACTGCACCCAGTCCTGTGACAGCAGCACCTTCTCCCAACCTGAACGCCGCCCTTCTCCCTCCTCCTGGCCACCAAATCAGTGACTGCACCCAGCCCACGTGACAGCAGCACCTTCTCCCAACCCAAATGCCACCCTTCTCCCTCCTCCTGGCCACCGAATCAGCGACTGCACCCAGTCCTGTGACAGCAGCACCTTCTCCCAACCCAAATGCCACCCTTCTCCCTCCTCCTGGCCACCGAATCAGCGACTGCACCCAGTCCTGTGACAGCAGCACCTTCTCCCAACCCAAATGCCGCCCTTCTCCCTCCTCCTGGCCACGAAATCAGCGACTGCACCCAGCCCACGTGACAGCAGCACCTTCTCCCAACCCAAATGCCGCCCTTCTCTCTCCTCCTGGCCACTGAATCAGCGACTGTGCCCAGCCCACGTGAGAGCTGCTGATTTTGGTTTATGGAGGCAGAAACCCAGGCCAGGCTTTCCAAACTCAGTTCTGTCCAAATGGTACCCTTGTGTTTATGCTCTGGAGAGAGTCCTTTCTGATCCCTACCGACCCAAAGACTTGTGTGGAAATTATACTGAATAAAACCCACTGGCCACCCAGATGAGTAGGGCTGGTCTCCAGGTTTGTATATTGCAGTCTTTACCCATAAAGTATCTTCTCTGATTAGTAAAAACCATTCTTTACTCTTGATTCCAACCCAAAGTCTCCAAAGAGACTGTGCCACAAAACAAATTATGAGTTATCTCTTTAAAGTTGAGAAAATGTTACCCCCATCTAATATATAAAAAATGCACAAGAAATTATCTGTCTTCCTGCAAAAAAGAATCAAATTTTACAATTCTATCAATGAAAAACCTGTCACGAAAACCATCAGTGAAGAGACCGTCGAGTCACCATGCTCTGCTGTGATCCACTGTGGCTCCAGGAAGGCAGCCGTGACAGAGGGGAAGGAGAGGCGTCCCCTGCTCTGCTGGCTTCATCAGTAAAGCGACATGTTAATCTTCAAGGGGTTGTGTTGAGGACGACACGAAATCAGCTGATTAAAGTCCTAGCCAGCATCTGACACATTGAATTTACTCCACAGATATCTGTTCACAACATCAGAGCCCGTGGTTTAGTTTCTTCATAGTAAATTAAAACAAAATAGTCATAAGACACAAGTTCGATCATAAGCCACTTGTACACAGAGAACATGGCTCTGTTGTATTGGAGCAAGTGGTCTTCAGTGGAGGATTATTTCACAATGACAGGCTCAATTCTTAGGCTTATGTAGCTCCATGTTTCAAAGGAAGCATGGTGTGGACAGAAGCCCGGGGCCGCAGAACCGAGTCCGGCCACATGCCAGCGTCCTTCCTGCTCACGCTGCACGTGTTCTTGACATGGGATGGGTGTTCTCATGGTCCCTCTGTCAATTCCAGAACGTGAAAAGGTTTACTGACTTCATTCCATTACATAAAAACACCCGAGGTCCCGAACCTCTGTGAGTACTTTTTGCCCTGTGGGAGGCTGAGGTGGGTGGATCACTTGAGATCAGGAGTTTGAGACCAGCCTGACCAACATGGTGAAACCCTGTCTCTACTAAAAACACAAAAATTAGCCGGGCGTGGTGGTGCGCACCTGCAATTCCCGCTACTCGGGAGGCTGACACAGGATAATTGCTTGAACCTGGGAGGCAGAGGTTGCAGTGAGCCAAGATTGTGCCACTGCACTCCAGCATGGGTGACAGAACAAGACTCCATCTCAAAAAAAAAAAAAAAAAAAGAAAACAACAGAATTTAAAATGCCAGAGAGGGTGCTGGATGATCCTGACAGCTCTGTGAGTGCTCTAGGCCTGCTCCCATTTCCTACATATGTGCAATTAATCAATTTTATAAACAATACATGCTTGGTATTGCAGTTAATTTGAAGAAGAAATGAGCCCAAGCCCATTTAAAGTTTTCCTGACAGTGACAAACAAGCGTGCATGGAATAGAACATCTTTCAAGCATTCCTCAGTTGCAATATTAATTATGGATAATGAATATCATGACAAGTGACAATCTCTGAACGTGGCGCTTAAAATATTAACATGCTCAGCAGAATAGGGTGACCCCTGGGGCCTATGCATGTAAACCAGCTGGCTGTCACTCCTGTCTGGGACGCACGCTGGTCTTGTAGGGTGACACCTCAGGTATATGCATGTAAACCAGCTGGCTGTCACTCCTGTCTGGGACGCACGCTGGTCTTGTAGGGTGACCCCTGGGGTCTACGCATGTAAACCAGCTGGCTGTCACTCCTGTCTGGGACGCACGCTGGTCTTGTAGGGTGACCCCTGGCGTCTACGCATGTAAACCAGCTGGCTGTCACTCCTGTCTGGGACGCACGCTGGTCTTGTAGGGTGACCCCTCAGGTATATGCATGTAAACCAGCTGGCTGTCACTCCTGTCTGGGACGCATGCTGGTCTGTAGGGTGACCCCTCGGGTAGATGCATGTAAACCACCTGGTTGTCACTCCTGTCTGGGACACACACTGGTCTTGCACATTGGTGGGAAAGATGCTGAGTGGCCAGAGGCCCTAGCACAGCCTACAGAGCCCCATATCATGGGGACGCCCGACCCTGCTCTCTGTCCTGGGACACCCTGTGCGGCTGCCTTCTCCCACTCCTGTTTTCATGTCTGGATGCAGAGAAAACTCCCTGTGTTCTCTCAAAGCCGACACATCCTAGGTGGGTCCTGAAGGCTGTGTGCAAACCCTGTCTTCCCCAGGGAAGGCTGCTCTGAGCCCTGTCCTGCAACCTGAAGCCACACGCAGGTCTGTGCTGCTGGAGGCTCAGAGATTGTTTTGAGTTTGATAAAAAACCATAGACACATTTACACACCACTTTGCAGAAATTTGTAGGGTTTCATGAACTCCCTGAAGTCTGAACCATTATTCATGATGCCAGGTAACAATGCCTGTCTAAATATGTCAGGTTGAACCATAGGAAGATGGCATTTGTGAAGGTCAAAAACAGTGAAGTATCAGTCATCTCATCTGACTCAACACAATAAAAGGCCAGGTATGATACATGTTAGAATAACTTCTACCTGAAGGCATAAAACACAGTAAAAGGTTTTATCCTTACTGTGGGGAAGGTGCTCAGTTATTCAGAATACTAAACTAACTTCAATGACCAGAATTTTAAAAACTCAAAAATTTTGTGTTTCCAAACATGCTGCAGGAAGGCAACATAGAAGATCTTATTAAGATCAGACAACAGAGGCTGGGTGTGGTGGCTCATGCCTGTAATCCCAGCACTTTGGGAGGCCGAGGCGGGTGGATCACGAGGTCAGGAGATCAAGACCATCCTGGCCAACATGGTGAAACCCCGTCTCTACTAAAAACACATACAAAAAATTATATACATATACATATATATATATATAATTATATATACACACATATAAAAAATTATATATATATATATATATATATATATATATATATATATGATCAGAGAACAGAGACAATTGACAGGAGTTTAGCTTTTATAATTTCCCTGCATCATAGTTTAAAGGAATTTCATGAGCTGCAGAAATGTGCATGCCCTTGAAAATAGAATTAACAAAGAAAATGACAAGTAGTGAGTTGCGTGACTCTGCAGACAACAGCTATTTGTTGCCATCACTGAGGCATCCTGGAGGGAGGAAGGGCAACCTTCTGGGGGAGGCGTGGGACGGGGGAGGTGTGTGGGGCTACAATATTTGGCTTTCATGAAGGAAGTTATGCTTTGCATTAGAGGGAAGAGAAATATGGCAATTAACATAGTGAGGAAAAATTGCCTGTAAGAAAGATACCATTTTTAGTAAATACCAGATATCAGTTTATTTCAAAATGAAGCTGGTTTGCGAAGAACCATCTGTCTTATCAGAATTAAAGTTTCAACTTGCTGCCATCAGCTTGTCCTATTAGTATTCAAAGTAGATTTCTGGGCTACTAGTTAAGGATACAAACCTATGTTTCTAGGAGACCGAGTATAGATAAATATGCTGGAATACATTTCTCAGTAAATTTCTTACGGCATACACAGCCTCCAGGAAAACTCAGAGTTTCATTTTAGAGCAGGAGCAGGAACAATGAAGAAATCTAGTGGAGACGTTTGTTTTCTCTCTGCAACCATTTCTGTGGTTGCCAGCCATCGAACACGTCGATGAATTATGACTATAACTTGAGAACAACCCCTTGGAGTTAGATCTTGTAAAAATGTAGATAAGCAAAACAAATAAAATGGGATGAAAACGAATACACAAAAGGCCTACTCCAACATATTTCATCTGCTTGAATATAGGATACACTGAAAAATCTTGCAACTCCAATAAAATAGGAGTCTTTTATCAAATCACTAGGGGCACGGAGGGAACAAAGATGACCACATTGAAATGAAGCCCTGTGATCTGCAGGCCCAGAGCCAAGCAGCCCTCTGAACTCGGGAAAGGCTAATTGCAGGCCTGGGCGCCAGCGCTCATTAGTGTGCTGTGATGTGTTGTCACTGAGAGACCGCTCGGGGCCGGAGGGCAGGCACCGGGCTCATCGGCATCACAGAGCTCCCTGGCAAAACCGATTTCACCAGTGCACAGCCTGCTGACGTCCAACGACCAGAGTGCAGGCACCCGGGCTCACGGCATCACAGAGCTCCCTCGCAAAACCAATTTCACCAGTGCACAGCCTGGCACAGCCTGCTGACGTCCAACGACCGGGGCCTTCAGCGTTTGCTGGTTACCAGTCACATAAGGATCCTAGACAACTCTTCAACAATCGGTCTCATTTTATTTTTCTAATGATGCAATTTGTGTTTCTCTGGTGACACTTTTTCATTAATTAAATTGCTTAGTTTGCTGCAAAAAGGTGATGCTTCTGATAATAATTTTTACAAACCAGTTTTTACTATGAAATGGGCCTTTTCTGGGACCACATTATCACAATCCTTGGATTATGATTCAGCAGATTCTTGATCCGCTGTGTGCAAGCAGCAAAGGAGACACCAAAGTCAATTTTGAATCATTATGTGATTGCCTTGAAAATGCTTTGATGTTTAGATACACGGCACCATTAGTCAGGAAGACGACAGAATTTCGGTCATATTTAAAGGGCGTGATGAATACGTACAGGGTGGCAGCCTGGGAGAAGCGTGTGTGTAGAAACATTCTGTAACCCACAATGCTGCCAATGAGGAAGGCAGCGTGCAGCACACTCGGTGTTTGGCAGAGAGACTAGGGCGTCCTGTTTGCAAAATGCTGCAGAATCCGCAGCTTTCTTAGGAAAGAGGTGGCTCAAAAACCGGCATGAACTCACTCCTGAGTTCAACGCGACATGGGAGTCAAGCTTTGATCCATCGAAAGCTGCTGGGAGGGACCCAGGAGTTGGCCAACAACAGATTCCTCAGAATCCAATCAGCGAGCGGCCATCGGGCTGGTGTGCATCATGGGGCATCAGGTCTTTTTAAGACAAGATGATGTGTAATGGGTCTGACCACATGCTGGGGGCCTCGGATCCAGCCTCTCAGTCATGTTGATTGATTTCGTGCCGGGCAGAGGCCGAGACAGTGAACAAGACAGACCGACCGCCTGCCGTCCTGGAGTCTGTGGTCTGCCTGGAACGCTGCAGCCTTGCTGATGGGAGGAGGTGGTGCCTTCCGCACACTCACTCAGTGGCATGATGCAGCTGGGGTGAGGGTCAGGAAGTGCCTCTGGAGGATGCGACGCTTAATTAATATATAAATGGGGGGCGTGGATGTGACGCTTAATTAATATATAAATGGGGGGCGTGCCCCTGGCAGTGGGACTGGCCCTGGGCTGAGACAGCAGGACAAGCTCAAAGATGAGGTGCGCTCCGCCTCCACCGAGGCTGCAAGGAAAAGCAAAAGGTCCTGGCAAGCCTCTGTGTGTCAGGCGGACTGACTTCCTCCTCTCAGCCCTGCTCAGGCGTGAAGGACACGGGCAAAGCTGTCTAGGCTCAGGCCCGAATGTTGACATCTTCCTTTCAGCTCTCTCCCCGACAGCTGAGTCCTGACAGACCAGGGTCCCCCTGGGACCCCGAGGGGCAGGGGGACTCATGTGGACTTCAGTCTGCAGCGGCCTTGGCCCCACCATCGGGAAACCCCACCTGCAGGCAGGCAGCTCCAGAGGGGCCCTGCCCCAGCGCATGAGAATCAGTGCCTGAGATGGGCGGGACCCACCTGCACCTGCACCTGACTGGGCGTCCACGTGGAGCGCTGTGACCTTGAGCACTCACTGACTTGATGCCAGCATCTCCCTCTGGGCTTTAGACGGGCTCTCAGACCAGCCGCTCACAGGGTTGCCATGAGCTCATTACATTGCTCAAACCACCCCTCACGGCAGCCAAGGAGCTGATGATGTGTCTGGAACCTTCCTTGCATCCGGTATCCCCCCCTCCCCAGACCCCCAAGATGTAGCTGACAGTGCTCACGGGTGGCTGTGCCTTACCATGGGTGAATGTGTGGAAACTGGGGGCCCGATGGGCGGGGAAGCTCAGAGGTGGCTGTTCTTCCTGTCCTGGCCATCAGGTCATCCTGTCTGCATGACGGGAGGGTGGGCCACAGGACCACCAAAGGCCCTAACCTTCCATCATCCTGATGGGGTATCGAAGGTCTGAGTGCTCAGTGGGGGTCTCTGGGCCACTGACTTTATTCCTTTTCTACCTGCCTGTTCTGTGACTAGGATGCTGCTCATGACCTTGAACCACAAAACAGATATCTCAGCCCTCAAGCTGAACTCCCTTAGAGAAAAAGTGAAGTCAAAAATGTCCTTTGAGTTTTTGGAAATATCCAGCCCCTGGAATGGAGCTCGGAAATGTAAAGGGATCTTAATGGAGATGAATCTTGGCTTTCCTTGCAATGAACACTCACATTGGTCGATTTCAACCCACCCAGGAGGAAGCAGTGTTTTCTGCTCCTCTCCTCCAGGGGTGGGTTTCTGGTTCGAGTCACCACTACAGTTGCTGTGCCAGAAAGACCTGCCCTCCCCTCTGTGAAGTTGCCAGCAGGAACACCCTTGCCCTCAAACTCACGCAGGGACGGTAGTTTCAGTGTAGAGAAAAGATAAAAAAAAAAAACGTTACAGAGGAAGAAAAACCTCACTGTGTTCAGACTGCCATGGATGCTACTGTTCAGCAGCTGGGAAAGCTGGCAGTGGAACTCGGCCACCTCCCAAGTGGGGACGCTGTGGATGAAACCTTACGGGGACATCCTGCCGGGCGGCTGTGGACGTGCTTGTCACACAGACATACACACACATCCACAGAGGGTTTGCGAAGACCCGAACCCCATCCCCAGCCCAGAAAACATTCTCAAATCTCTTTGCATGTGGTTTCCATGGCTTCATCGTGCCTCAGATTTCAACTTTGCGATCTGTCATTCAACAGTGTTAACTTTCCACTCTGCCTTTCAGCGGATCCCACTGCCTGGCAGGAGGCCACGCCAGCCGACATCGCCTGCGCCACACGCCACATCTGGCTTTGTATCTGTGCACATGTCCACATTCCAAGACATGCAAAACCCCAAAGACAAAAATATCTCAGAGCATCTGAATATCCAGTTTCCATGGAGACTGAAATCAAAGTGAGCTGTCTAATGAGGGGGCGTTTTTCTTCATAATTCTTGCATGATGCCTTATGGGTTGGGAGTATGTTGAAACTCCTGCTGGTTACTATTCCAAACACATTTTCTAATAGGCAAGTGCATACTCTCGTGAGAAGAGTTGATGGGGCGGATTCTCCCGCTTCTCAGGCCCAGGTAGAGAGTTCGGCTGGGTGGATGGTGGTGTTGCAGGCACAGGTTGAATTATGCTTCTTGCAAGGGACCCCAAGAGACGTTCTGTAAGGTGTCACCAAACTCAGTTTGCAAATGACTGCACTCAAGAATAATCCACTTAAATTCTGGGTGTTTCACTCAGAATACATAATGATTTTCAATGCAGCCACGCCAACACTCCAGCATACACTCCGTTCTCTCTGTTAGGTATGGAATAATTAGGTCGACCCTAACAATAACCTACTTAAGAAGGTAAATTTCATTATGGGCTGTCTTTCTTTCTCAGACACTTGTGAAAGTACTCAAGAAGATAAATATGATGAAGGAAAAATACTTTTTCTCCCACTTGGTGACAGTCACACACCTCCCCAGGCTCCTCCTGCTTCTCCCCAGCCTGACCGGCCAGCACGGCCCATTCCCGTCTCCGTCCCAGCTCCGAGAACTGTGTGCCTAAGACCTTCCATCCTGGGCTCAGTAGGCCACCCCAGCCCTCTGCCCAGCGCGCTCCAATACCTGCGACGTTCCCCTTCCTGGCATCTCAGCTCCCGAGCAGTCTCCTCTACAAGGGATTTCTCTTCTGGTCATTTGTGTCCATTTGCACCCCAGAGAAATGTCTAACCCTTCACAGATGGCACTCAGTGTGTCTTCCTTTGAATTGTGGACTTCTCACGTCTCCTTCCCATCCATAACACCTGCCGCCCGACAAGTATCAAACCCCCATGATCCACTGCATGGTGGGGGCTCACAGGCCTTCGTAATAGACCTGGCCACCCCCCTTTTACAAAAACAGAGACTCTTTAATGGGCACCGTCCTGAGACAATCTGGTTTCATAGGCTGGGATCCATAGACCTGCGTTTCTAAGAAGCTCGGGTCCCCAGAGATGCTGGTCTGGGAAACACCTGGAGAACCACTGACCCAGCCTGACCCCGGCTGCTGTGGAGGCGACAGCTCAGCTGCCCAGCGCAGAACCCGCACAGAGCCTTTGCTGATAATGTTTCGGCATCTCCTGCCTCCTAAGTGGTCTGTTTCCCTCCAGAATTCTCCATCTCCTCTTCCCTGTGTCCTGCCTCCACCCTTTGCCTGGCAATTTAAGCCGGGCCACTGGGCCTCCAGCTCTCCCCGGAGCGCCCAGTGTCCCACAAGCTCAGAAGCATCGGGCATCCTAGCGGCCCTGAGATGACCATATTCCATGTCCACTGGTGCTGAATGCATCTTCCATTTGTTCTCATTCTCCTTCCCCAGCTGGGGCTGATGAACCTGTCGCACGCATAGCCTCGGCTCAGGGCTGATGTTTGGTGCTGTTCCCACAGTCACCTCTGTCCTGTGCACACCTGTATGGAGGGTGCTTGGCCCTTCACTGTGCAACAGAGCGCCCAGCCACAGAACACCCAGCCACAGAACACATGGCCACAGAACACGCAGCCACAGAACACCCAGCCACAGAACACATGGCCACAGAGCACGCAGCCACAGAACATCCAGCCACGGGGCTATGCCTCAAACTGAGGCAGTGTCTTGACAGACAGCTGGAAGACACGGCCCTGGCATGCATGTGTTCGCTACAACCATGCCCAGTGGCAAATTCACAGATGGCTCAGATCCGGATGCCTCGGTTGTGTGCTGCCCAGGATGGGACATCGGCAGAAACCGCAGTTCCGGTTCTCTTAACTAGATTTTGTTGTCGTTTTAAGAGTCAGATATGGGAGTGGTGGACAGATAACACGGAAGAGAGCAGGGTGTGGGGCCTGGGCCGTGTGTGTGGGAGCCCGTGAGCTCTGGTGGAGGGAACAGGATGGTTTGGGTACATTAGTGATGATCGCAGCGAATGTGGGCCAGCTACCTAGTGGGATATCCGGACGTTGGGAGAATGTTGTGGCCTCAGGAAGATGTGGGAGTCGTTACTGTGGAGGGAGCTCCTGGACATAGATGGAGTTGCTGAGGCGGAGGCAGCATGAGGCTGTGTGATGGCTGAGAAGGGGCTGCTGGGGACCTCAGTTTTCGATGTGGGGAGGGAAGAGGAGCCGGCAACAGAGGCGGAGGGAAGCCAGGAGGGGACATGTGATGGAGGCGGAACAGGTACCTCGGATTTGATGAGGCCAGAGGCGATGCTGAGGTGGGGAAGGATTAAGGCGGTTTATGGGACCAGGGGTGGTGCTGAGGTAGGGAAGGATCAAGGCGGGACAGGGACCCTGGCACCAGCGCCCTTTCAGAGCGTGCTGGGCTGATGGATGTGATAAAGCTTCAAGCAAACCTCAGGTCTGGCAGGAGGTGGCTGGAGGACTCACTCATGCATGCAACCTGGAGGCACTTGGACAGGGAAAGGGGTGCCGGCCTTGGCTGCCTCCTCCCCCAGGGACTGAGTCTGGGGAGTCAGCTGAGTTTTAGTGGTGTAGTTATGTAGGATGTTAGTTACGCTGCAACAGGCCTGTTCCTTCTTCAGGTGTAGAAGGAGGAACCAGGCTCCAAATATGGCCTGCATGCAGCAGCACTGGCAGCGGCGGAACATGCTGGAAAGGTGTGACTCCAGTCCCACCCATGGCCCACAGAACGGGAATCCACTAAGTAGGATATGTGTTACTCATGTAACTTTAAAACCACCGTAGGGACCACAGGAGCTCTGCCAAGTGAGCCAGTGATGCCCTGGAATTCGGTGACCCTGGGACTCCCTTGTCACTGGCGCCCTTACGAGGTATGATGCATTTCCAAATAGAGAAATTATACAAAGAGAAGCAACATAAAAAGTGTTTCACTAAGCAATTCATAGAGGACTGTTTATTACGGTGTCTCTTTTAAAATAAATATTATGATTTTGTTCTTTACCAGAACAAATACCTTCTAAATATTTGCCCAAATAGTACTTTTCTGTCTCCCAGGCTTGGGAACGTTGAGCGCAGAGACATAGCCATGCTGCGTGGAGGACGGTGCCTGTCGCTTGGCCCCCTCCTCATCCCAAGGCCCTGGGGACATAGGCCATTTAGAACCACAGTGTCACATAATTGCAGAGTGGGAATGATGGGGGGGAAGACAAAGTTTGGAAAGGAAAAAAGGTAGGCAGGAGGAAGTAGCCCTGGGGCCATGGTTCACAGAAAGGCGAGTCCTGCCAGCCCCGCAGTGCCTTAATTATGGATGTGTCCTCACAGCTCCGCCTCAGCCACCGAGGCCGCCCACCTCATCTTCACCCTCACAGCTCAGCCTCAGCCACAGCCACCGAGGCCGCCCACCTCGTCTTCACCCTCACAGCTCAGCCTCAGCCACCGAGGCCGCCCACCTCATCTTCACCCTCACAGCTCAGCCTCAGCCACCGAGGTCGCCCACCTCGTCTTCACCCTCACAGCTCCGCCTCAGCCACCGAGGCCGCCCACCTCGTCTTCACCCTCACAGCTCCGCCTCAGCCACCGAGGCCGCCCACCTCGTCTTCACCCTCACAGCTCCGCCTCAGCCACCGAGGCGGCCCACCTCGGTCTTCACCCTCAGAGCTCTGCCCGAGGCACCAGGGCCGCCCACCTCGTCTTCACCCTCAGAGCTCCACCTCAGCCACGGAGGCCGCCCACCTCGTCTTCACCCTCACACGCCGCTACAGTCACAGCCACCGAGGCCGCCCACCTCGTCTTCACCCTCACACGTCCGCCTCAGCCACCGAAGCCGCCCACCTCGTCTTCACCCTCACAGCTCCGCCTCAGTCACCGAGGCCGCCCACCTCGTCTTCACCCTCACAGCTCCGCCTCAGCCACCGAGGCCGCCCACCTCGTCTTCACCCTCACAGCTCCGCCTCAGCCACCGAGGCCGCCCACCTCGTCTTCACCCTCACAGCTCCGCTACAGTCACAGCCACCGAGGCCGCCCACCTCGTCTTCACGGCAGCCCAGTGCAGCACGGCTCCTTCTCTGCGGCCCTTGGTGCCTCTCCCATTCGCATCCTGCATCCTTACAGCAAGGCTTGTCCTGGCAGCTGGTGTCATCTGCACACCCCCTGCTCCCACCTTCTGCTGAAGCCTTGACCTTTCCAAGTGTGGCCCAGGGACCCTCAGCCTCAGCATTGCCCGTTCAGAATGCAGAGTGCCAGGCCCACCCTGGAGCTCAGGAACGGGGTCTGGGTGCAGACAGGACTCAGTGGCTGTGGTGCCTGGAAGCCAGCAGCTTGGCTGTGAGAGCCTCTGACATCCCAGGTCCATGCCCGCTGGTGCCGTCCCGTCCCACTGCTCTTCCCAAAACGCTGAGCTCTACTCCCAGCTCTGTCAAACTCGAGTCCCCCTGGAAGCTCCAGCCCCAAGACAACTCTGAGAGAATTCCTGCAGCTGCCTGGGCTGGACTAAGCATGCCTGCCCATGCCCCAGTGACCCTTCACTCTTTAGTCCATCATGGCCCGACCCTGTCTCAGAACAATTACCCCGGAATCACCAGGGTGAGGACTTCATTGGTACGTGTAAAAACCTCCCTGGCAATAGGAGGCTCAGCTGGGCTGAGAACTGTGCTGTGTGGTCAGCGTGATCATATAAGTGACTTTCCCCATCAGGGGAAGATGAGAGGAAAGAGAACAGGAATTAATAATCATTAGGCCGGGATGACAGGCACGAGGCATTCCCAGAGCTGCTCTGGGGGGCCGGGATGTGCCGTCCCTGACCCGTGCTGAGCCTCCCCATCACAGCCTACAGCTCTCAGAACATGCGTCAGCTTTTAAACCAGACTTTGCGTGACCTAAGGACACAGACTTTGCTTCCTTGAAGGCCCAGCAGCGGCTGCATGTTTGACCCACTGTAGAGACATCTGAAATGTGACATGCTATTATGGGTCAGGATCAACATTAGAATCCAGGCTTTCTCCAAATCTTTCCATGGCCGGATCAGGGCAATGATTGATGTCATGCATTGATTTTTGCACGCAGTGAGGGGAACGGGAATGCAGAACAAAAATGTTGGGTCTCCAAGTGAAAAAAGTACATTTAAAAACAATAGCAAAGAACTATCAAAGTCTTCAAGATAGTTGCTCAGAAGTATTAAATTTATTTAGCCGTATTATTTTGTGGGTGATAGTGTTTGTTTGAGTACATAAGCAAGTGGACCTAATAGACATCTACAGAACTCTCCACCCCAAATCAACAGAATATACATTTTTTTCAGCACCACACCACACCTATTCCAAAATTGACCACATAGTTGGAAGTAAAGCTCTCCTCAGCAAATGTAAAAGAACAGAAATTATAACAAACTGTCTCTCAGACCACAGTGCAATCAAACTGGAAGTCAGGACTAAGAAACTCACTCAAAACCACTCAACTACATGGAAACTGAACCACCTGCTCCTGAATGACTACTAGGTACATAATAAAATGAAGGCAGAAATAAAGATGTTCTTTGAAACCAACGAGAACAAAGACACAACATACCAGAATCTCTGGGACACATTCAAAGCAGTGTGTAGAGGGAAATTTACCGCACTAAATGCCCACAAAAGAAAGCAGGAAAGATCCAAAATCAACACCCTAATGTCACAATTAAAACAACTAGAAAAGCAAGAGCGAACACATTCAAAAGCTAGCAGAAGGCAAGAAATAACTAAAATCAGAGCAGAACTGAAGGAAATAGAGACACAAAAAACCCTTCAAAAAATTAATGAATCCAGGAGCTGGTTTTTTGAAAAGATCAACAAAATAGATAGACTGCTAGCAAGACTAATAAAGAAGAAAAGAGAGAAGAATCAAATAGATGCAATAAAAAAAGATAAAGGGGATATCACCACCGATCCCACAGAAATACAAACTACCATCAGAGAATACTACAAACACCTCTACGTATATAAACTAGAAAATCTAGAAGAAATGGATAAATTCCTCAACACATACACTGTCCCAAGACTAAACCAGGAAGAAGTTGACTCTCTGAATAGACCAGTAACAGGCTCTGAAATTGTGGCAATAATCAATAGCTTACCAACCAAAAAAAGTCCAGGACCAAATGGATTCACAGCCGAATTCTACCAGAGGCACAAGGAGAAGCTGGTAACATTCCTTCTGAAACTATTCCAATCAATAGAAAAAGATGGAATCCTCACAAACTCATTTTATGAGGCCAGCATCATTCTGATACCAAAGCCGGGCAGAGACACAACCGAAAAAGAGAATTTTACACCAATATCCTTGATGAGCATTGATGCAAAAATCCTCAATAAAATACTGGCAAACCGAATCCAGCAGCACATCAAAAAGCTTATCCACCATGATCAAGTGGGCTTCATCCCTGGGATGCAAGGATGGTTCAACATATGCAAATCAATAAATGTAATCCAGCATATAAACAGAACCAAAGACAAAAACCACATGATTATCTCAATAGATGCAGAAAAGGCCTTTGACAAAATTCAACAACCTTCATGCTAAAAACTCTCAATAAATTAGATGGGATGTATCCCAAAATAATAAGAGCTATCTATGACAAACCCACAGGCAATATTATACTGAATGGGCAAAAACTGGAAACATTCTCTTTGAAAACTGGCACAAGACAGGGATGCCCTCTCTCACCACTCCTATTCAACCTAGTGCTGGAAGTTCTGGCCAGGGCAATTAGGCAGGAGAAGGAAATAAAGGGTATTCAATTAGGAAAAGAGGAAGTCAAATTGTCCCTCTTTGCAGACGACATCATTGTATATCTAGAAAACCCCATTGTCTCAGCCCAAAATCTCCTTAAGCTGATAAGCAACTTCAGCAAAGTCTCAGGATACAAAATCAATGTACAAAAATCACAAGCATTCTTATACACCAATAACAGGCAAACAGAGAGCCAAATCATGAGTGAACTCCCATTCATAATTGCTTCAAAGAGAATAAAATACCTAGGAATCCAACTTACAAGGGATGTGAATGACCTCTTTAATGAGAACTAAAAACCACTGCTCAATGAAATAAAAGAGGATACAAAGAAATGAAACAACATTCCATGATCATTGGTAGGAAGAATCAATATTGTGAAAATGGCCATACTGCCCAAGGTAATTTATACATTCAATGCCATCCCCATCAAGCTACCAATGACTTTCTTCACAGAATTGGAAAAAACTACTTTAAAGTTCATATGGAACCAAAAAAGAGCCCGCATCGCCAAGTCAATCCTAAGCCAAAAGAACAAAGCTGGAGGCATCACACTACCTGACTTCAAACTATACTACAAGGCAACAGTAACCAAAACAGCATGGTACTGGTACCAAAACAGAGCTATAGATCAATGGAACAGAACAGAGCCCTCAGAAATAATGCCACATATCTACAACCATCTGATCTTTGACAAACCTGACAAAAATAAGCAATGGGGAAAGGATTCCCTATTTAATAAATGGTGCTGGGAAAACTGGCTAGCCATATGTAGAAAGCTGAAACTGGATCCCTTCCTTACACCTTATACAAAAATTAATTCAAGATCGATTAAAGACTTACATGTTAGACCTAAAACCATAAAAACCCTAGAAGAAAACCTAGGCAATACCATTCAGGACATAGGCATGGGCAAGGACTTCATGTCTAAAACACCAAAAGCAATGGCAACAAAAGCCAAAATTGACAAATGGGATCTAATTAAACTCAAGAGCTTCTGCACAGCAAAAGAAACTACCATCAGAGTGAACAGGCAACCTACAAAATGGGAGAAAATTTTTGCAACCTACTCATCTGACAAAGGGCTAATATCCAGAATCTACAATGAACTCAAACAAATTTACAAGAAAAAAAGCAAACGACCCCATCAAAAAGTTGGTGAATGATATGAACAGACACTTCTCAAAAGAAGACATTTATGCAGCCAAAAACCACATGAAAATATGCTCATCATCACTGGCCATCAGAGAAATGCAAATCAAAACCACAGTGAGATACCATCTCACACCAGTTAGAATGGCAATCATTAAAAAGTCAGGAAACAACAGGTGCTGGAGAGGATGTGGAGAAATAGGAACACTTTTACACTGTTAGTGGGACTGTAAATTAGTTCAACCATTGTGGAAGTCAGTGTGGCAATTCCTCAGGGATCTAGAACTAGAAATACCATTTGACCCAGCCATCCCATTACTGGGTATATACCCAAGGGATTATAAATCATGCTGCTATAAAGACACGTGCACGCGTGTGTTTATTGCGGCACTATTCACAATAGCAAAGACTTGGAACCAACCCAAATGTCCAACAACGATAGACTGGATTAAGAAAATGTGGCACATATACACCATGGAATACTATGCAGCCATAAAAAATGAAGAGTTCATGTCCTTTGTAGGGACATGGATGAAACTGGAAACCACCATTCTCAGCAAATTATTGCAAGGACAAAAAACCAAACACTGCATGTTCTCACTCATAGGTGGGAATTGAACAAATTAGAAGACTTGGACACAGAAAGGGGAACATCACACTCTGGGGACTGTTGTGGGGTGGGGGGAGGGGGGAGGGATAGCATTAGGAGATATACCTAATGCTAAATGACGAGTTAATGGGTGCAGCACACCAGCATGGCACATGTATACATGTATAACAAACCTGCACATTGTACACATGTACCCTAAAACTTAGAGTATAATAATAATTAAAAAAAAAAAAAAAGAATGATCTGGCTGGGCGCGGTGGCTCATGCCTGTAATCCCAGCACTTTGGGAGGCCGAGGTGGGTGGATCACAAGGTCAAGAGATCAAGATCATCCTGGCTAACACGGTGAAACCCTGTCTCTACTAAAAATACAAAAATTAGCTGGGCATGGGGCACACGCCTATAATCCCAGCTACTCGGGAGGCAGTAGAATTGCCTGAATTGGAAGACGGTGGTTGCAGTCAGCCGAGGTCACGCCACTGCACTCCAGCCTGAGTGACAAGAGTGAAACTACGTCTCAAAAAAAAAAAAAAAAAAAAAAAAAGAATGACCTGGCTCAAAGCATGATCATGAAATGCCTACTATGCCTACTACAGGAGTAAGCAGGGGAGAAAGGGGACTGCAGATGGTGACACTGAGTCAAAATCATGGGACCATCAACCTGGAAATGGGGAAAGAAGACCCTGAAGGAGGGATGATGGAGAAGGAGGTGGAGGGAGGGTTCTCGGAATCACGGAGCATTGTCAATGTGCTCTTTGAAGGATCAGGCACACTGTCTCTTTCTCTCTTAAAAAATTCCATAAGAAATGCAAAGACCCACCATGCAAATGAAGGCAGATGAAAGACATCAAACAAAACAAGGTTAGGGAAGGCCTTAAATATGGAAATATTGTAGACACTGACCTCCAGAAATGAAGAAAGCCACAATGTCCCTTTTCAGTAGCAATTTGAGTATTTGGTAGTGTTGTTAACAGTTAAAAACTCTAATACCGTGTAAGTGCCCATTAATATGGAGTTGGTTAAGCAAATTATATTTCAGCCATAGTATTGAAGACGATGATATTGAGACGGGTGCAGTGACTCATGCCTATAATCCCAGAGCTGTGGGAGGCCAAGGCAACAGGATCGCTTGAGGCCAGGAGTTCAAGGCTGTAGTGAGCTATGATCGCGCCACTGCACTCCAGCCTGGGCAACGGAGAGAGACAAAAAGCACTGGAGCTTAAGGTAGAGGGAGGTGTAGGGAGAGCATGGTTTTTTTCCTCCATCCACATATTCAGCATGAGTACAATGATCATGAACACTGGAAAACTCATAATTGGCATGCTTCTGACAGTCCTAGAAAGCTTAAGTCACAGCTCTGTCTTGTTATAGAGCTAAAGTTATTGCTTTTAATCAATGAAGGCTTTTGTTTTTTATCAGTACCACTTCCAAGTCACTCACCCTGAACATTTTAGCCATGAGACATGGTTTGGCTGTGTCCCTGCCCAAATCTCATCTTGAATTGTAATAATCCCCACGTGTCAAGGGTGGGGCCAGGTGGAGATAATTGAATCACGAGGGCAGTTTCCCCCATACTCTTCTCATGGTAGTAAGTCTCACTAGATTTGATGATTTTATAAAGGGCAGTTCCCCTGCACAAGCCGTCTTCTCTGCCACCATGTAAGATGTGACTTTGCTGCTCATTCACCTTCTGCCATGATCGTGAGGCCTCCCCAGCCGTGTGGAACTGTGAGTCCATTAAACCTCTTTCCTCTATAAATTACCCAGTCTCAGGTTTGTCTTTATTAGCAGGGTGAGAACAGACGAATACACCACGCCACCCCTCTCTTGCAGGAGAAGACTGAGGGATGTGAGAATATATTCATGAAGCATTAAGTGAAACTGGCAGAAATAAACCCATGTACAGCCGCTAGAGGGAAGGCTGGAAGTATTAACATCCAAATGTTACCCGCGATTATCTCTGGGCAGTGGAGGGAAGGCTGGAAGTATTAACATCCAAATGTTACCCGCGATTATCTCTGGGCAGTGGAGGGAAGGCTGGAAGTATTAACATCCAAATGTTACCTGCGATTATCTGTGGGCAGTGGAGGGAAGGCTGGGCGCTGGGATTATATGTCAATATCTTTTCATGTTGATCTATGTTTTCTAAGTTTTTCTGTAATGATTATGACTTTCATAACATAAAACTTTTCATGTTTTTTTAACTACATACTTTCCATGTATTTGCAGTATTAAAATGATAATGTAACTAAGGGTTGTCTAACAAAGAGAAATGCACTAAATGTTAAAAGAATGATAAAGTTAATTTTAAAATCTTAACTACAAGAGCTTCCATAAGTACGTAAGCAAATAAGTTTTGCTTGCTTTCAGAACTCGTGTTTACGGTAAAAGATGTAAGCAAATTTATGTCATACAAATAGCTAGACTCAGGATCCTGTGGTTTACAGGACAATCCCAGTGGCTAAACCCACAGCAGCCTAGAGGGTCTATGCCTGGATCCGTCTCCCCCAGTGGCTGAACCCCCAGCAGCCTGGTGGGTCTATGCCCGGATCCGTCTCCTCCAGTGGCTGAACCCACAGCAGCCTGGCGGGTCTATGCCCGGATCCGTCTCCTCCAGTGGATGAACCCACAGCAGCCTGGCGGGTCTATGCCCGGATCCGTCTCCTCCAGTGGCTGAACCCACATCAGCCTGGCGGGTCTATGCCCCGATCCGTCTCCCCCAGTGGCTGAACCCACAGCAGCCTGGCGGGTCTACGCCCGGATCCGTCTCCCCCAGTGGCTGAACCCACAGCAGCCTGGCGGGTCTATGCCCGGATCCGTCTCCCCCAGTGGCTGAACCCCCAGCAGCCTGGCGGGTCTATGCCCGGATCCGTCTCCTCCAGTGGCTGAACCCACAGCAGCCTGGCGGGTCTATGCCCGGATCCGTCTCCTCCAGTGGCTGAACCCACAGCAGCTTGGCGGGTCTATGCCTGGATCCATCTCCCCCAGTGGCTGAACCCATCAGCAGCCTGGCAGGTCTATGACTGGATCCATCTCCTTCTCCAGTGGCTGAACCCACAGCAGCCTGGCGGGTCTATGCCTGGGTCCGTCTCCCCCGGTGGCTGAACCCATCAGCAGCCTGGCAGGTCTATGCCTGGATCCATCTCCTCCTCCAGTGGCTGAACCCACAGCAGCCCAGAGGGTCTATGCCTGGATCTGTCTCCTAGCCAGGTCAGAGGAGACACATGCTCACTCTGTTGCTCCTGAGTTTAGTAAGGTGCCCTCTGGGTCTGTGTGCACAGTTCCCCTTAGAAACTGGTCACGCTCTTCCTGTGTTAGTTTGCTGAGGATCATGGTTTCCAGCTCCATCCCTGTCCCTGCAAAATACATGATCTTGTCCCTTTTCATGGCCGCATAGTATTCCATAGTGTATATGGACCACATTGATAGGTGCAGCAACCCTGTGGAGCATGTTTACCTACGTAACAAACCTGCATGTCCTGCACATCCCAGAACTTTAAATTAAATTAAATTAAATAAAAAAAAAAAAACTGGTCAAGCTGTTGAAAGCCCACTCTCACAAGCTGAGAGGGCAAATTTCACATCCAACAGTGATGCTAAATATGAGTTTTACTTTTTTTTTTTTTTTTTTTGAGATGGAGTCTATGTTGCCCAGGCTGGAGTGCAGTGGTGTGATCTCGGCTCACTGCAACCTCCGCCTCCTGGGCTCAAGCGATTCTCCTGCCTCAGCCTCCTGAGTAGCTGGGACCACAGGTGCCCACCAACACGCCTGGCTAATTTTTGTACTTTTAGTAGAGACGGGGTTTCACCATGTTTGCCAGGATGGTCTTGATCTCTTGACCTTGTGATCTGCCCACCTCGGCCTCCCAAAGTGCTGTGATTACAGGAGTGAGCCACCATGCCCGGCCAAGTTCTACTTTAAATGGGGCCTTAGGTTGATCGCTCTCAGAAACAGTGAACAATTAACAAAAGTAGGGGCGTGAAGACATTTCTATTATTTAAGAAGCACAGACATAAGTAACGTAATTTTATGCAATTTTAAAATACAACGATAAGCAGTATATACATAATTAAATCTGCCAGAATTTATGAAAACTCAGGATGCATTTTAATGAAAAGATTAACACTGAATAAATATTGCACATCAATTATATTAATACATCTCTTTGTTTAGATAATACTTCCTCAAAACTGCATTTCTTGGAGCTTTTTATTCTGGGATTATGTTTCGAACATAGACTTTTCCCTTCAGCATCTTTTCTGCCTTGAAAACACAACCACAAATGTTTCATTTTTCTATGTATGCCCCTACCATTTGGCTGGAAAACCCGTGCTGGGAGGGTTTCATGTAGACTTACGTGCTTTTGCATTAAATTTGTTTTTATAAAAGATATTTCAGAAGACAGTCCTCCAAACTTGGCATGAAAGTAGCAGTTTAGGATGTCCTAAAACAGCCCTGGGCACTCCAGAGAGTTCCGTGGTTGCTGGAATATAAAAAGAGCCATTTGTCCTCATAAGCTGGGCAGTGCCCAGCCTCATCTGCAGGTTCATCTGCCACGAGCGCTTGCCTCCACCAATGTCGGGGTTGCTTCTCTGTAAAGAGACACCAAGGGCCCTTCAGGACCCAGAGGGCGGCTCACCCGACAATCCACGCTCAGCCGGTCACTAGTTCAGCAGGATTTTTATTCAGGAGAGCCCATGAGTCTTCTAAAATTTCTGCCGTTTTCCCCCTTTAGTCTTAGATTTGTGTCATAGCAAATGTGCATTGTGTAACATTTGCACGGCTAACAGATTCCACTCAGACTCTCTGGGTTTTCTCTCTGCTGGCTCAAGAGCTTCTAGTGTTTCTCTGCATTCGGGCAGGGTGGGCCGTGCACTCGCAGCGGAGTGCCTGTGTGCCATCCAGCTGGTTTTACACCTGTATATTTACATTCACTTTTGAAACGTAACGCAAAATTCAATGTATAAAATATTGACTCCATTTCCCACGTGAGTCCATTTTAATGTTAAATTCAATAAACTGTAACACCCTGAATTTAAAAGTATGCTAAAGGAGAACTTGAACTCAAAATAGATACCCGATTTATACCACAATTTAGGGCTATGTCTGTTTTATATTTGGTGGAAGTTGTATCAGGGTCTTTTCTCCCCTTACTTTAACAGACTTCCTTTTTTTCTTCTTAAAATGAAGAGGAGTAAAATCTCACATTTCTGCTTTCTAGAATAATGGGACCTGAGAGGTAGCTGAGCTCAGAGGTTGAGAAGAGTCTTTAAACCACATCTGTATCTTTACATCCTCACTCTATCACTTACTAGAGTGTGGCTCTGGTGACTTGCACATCATAGGTGCTCAAATATCAAAATATACTGTGACCTTAATAAAAACTCCGTTCACTGTCATTGTCTAGGGATGAGGACATTCAGCCCATCAACAGTCTCATGTCTCTTCACACAAGAGGCCTCCAGAGCAAGCACCTCACTATGCAACATCTCTGCCCTCAAATGCCAGGCCCTGTGTGCACACGTGGCTCATCGGAAGCAGTCTGGGGGATGGTGGGGAGAGGGTGGGCACATGTGGCTCATCCAAAGCAGCCTAGGGGATGGCGGGAAGAAGGTGAGCAGGAGACATACTGCTCACGTTGCCGTTTCAGTTTCGAGACCCTGTCTCTCTGCGCACTCCGTCCTTCTGCCTGCAACGTTCTATTTGTCTAGAAAAAAAGGAAGGAAAGTGACTGGAGACCGTGTTGCCGTGGGACTGAGCGAGGCCCACGTTAGGATCTCAGCTCAGCAACATAGCCACTGTGGGCCTCTGATGACAGGGCTGAGCCCTGGAGCCCTGGTCAGCAAGGCTGGGCAGCAGGTCCTGCTGCGTGGGCTCCCGTGAGGAACTAGAGAGGACACGCAGAGGCTCCGGAGGGCACAGGGTACACGGCAGGACCGTGGCAATGACTGTGCTGTCATTATCCACCTCTAGCTCCCACAGACAGCGCGAAGCTTCCTCCTAAAACCCCCACAGCCTCTGTCCCTCCTTCCCTTCCCTCTTCCATCAGAACCCGGCTGCCACGTGCTGTTCAGTCCTGGCGCCGGTGACCATGCTCCTGCCTCTGGAGGGGAGGGGCTGGGCGGACTATGCTTTTCATTCATTCTCTTAAATTCTCAGCACTTAACGCTCCACGTGGCTCCATAAATCATTAGGGAGGATAAAGTCACCACTTTCTCAGCCCAGCATGTGCGTTCTCTCCTCTCCCATTTACACTCGTCTGACTCTACACTGAAGCTTTGTTTCTTCATAAGCTTCATAAAACATAAGCTTTGTTTCTTCATAAGAAGCTATTATAAAGTGGCCAATCTTATTTTAACAAAATGTTCCTATTTTCATGCTTCACAATTGTGAACGTGCTTTTTTCTAGTAAAAAAAATGAAGGAGAAGGTGAATATTACGATATTGGTATTACAGCCCATTCCACTTCCAACCAGATTCTGCTCAGGAAACATTTGTGGATGGCAGTTTCCATAGCAACCAGCAACATATCTTTAGAGCCTGCTGCCGCCTCCATTCTAAGAATTTCGTTGTTATCACAGTCTGTGCATGCGGAAGTGATTTTCTGATGAAGTGTGTATTGTGATAGATCAAATCCTGCCCTTGGAGGAGAAAACTCTGGCGAGTGTTGCCCGGCTTTTTCTCCATGTATAAAATAGTTCTCGGTTCTTTCCTCACTGCTAGTTTCACTAAAATATTTTCGATATCAGCCATTCTTTTGAAAAGAAAAAAATTACTTAGTCAAAAGCTAGTGGTGAGTCACCACTTACATACGTATGGTGGTTTTTTTTTAAAAAGCCACAGCTCTTTGGGCCTTGTTACTGTTAAGTTAAATTAGCAATTTTATTCTTTGGAAAAACTCCCTTAGCAACGCACTAAAATGGCCTCCTAAGCAGCGAATCTGATGAGATTTAAGACCAAAACGCTAACTGTAACTGGTCTTCTGGTTTTAATTCTCAGTAATGGAAAGACCCCTTACCCTTCCTCATATCCATGACATGGTTGGGGGAGGAAACTGGGATGGGGAAAGACTTCAAAGTCTGAGACACACTCTATTTAAAATGCATTTTAAAAGAACCAGGTGGCTAGCGCTGGTTGCCCCTCGTAACCACACCCACACGATGGGAGCACTTCCTCCGGCACTTCCTGAGACAGGAGTACTGACTTCTGGGGACCAGCAGGTGTTTCTGAAGTGAAAACAGCCCACAACTCGAGAAATCCTCTATACCAAATTTTAACTTAGGCCTCTTTTCCTACTTTGGTTTTTATTTTATTCATTTTATTTTTTTGAGATGGAGTTTTGCTCTTGTCGCCCAGGCTGGAGTGCAGTGGTGCAATCTCGGTTCACTGCAACCTCCATCTCCAGGGTTCAAGCAATTCTCCTGTCTCAGCCTCCCGAGTAGCTGGGATTACAGGCACATGACATCACGCCCGGCTAATTTTTTTTTTTTTTTTTTTTTTTGTATTTTTAGTAGAGACGGGGTTTCACAATGTTGGTCAGGCTAGTCTCGAACTCCTGACCTCAAATGATCCACCTGCCTTCGCCTCCCAAAGTGCTGGGATTACAGGCATGAGCCACCGGCCGGTGATATTTATTTTTAATGTATAAACTGATGCATATTTACAGAAAAAAAGCTGATGGAGGGGAAATAACTTTTCCTCACACAATTAGGAATCACAAAAGGAATTAATTCACCACTCAGATAGCGTTCTGTGTACTCTGATCCATCCATCCACGTGAACTAAGGTGTTCCAGGAGGTTAGGTCGATGTCAGAACCTGCTCAGAAATTTGGTAAAATAGCGCTTCACCGAAAACATCGTCTTACGCTACAAACCAGTGGGGTTCTACGTTCCATCATTACAAGTAATAAGTACAGTCATGTGCCACTTAATGAGGGGGCACATTCAGAGAAACGTAAGGTGGCCTCGTGGTTGTGTGAGCATTGTGGAGCGCACTGATACAAACCCGCATGGCTTCGCGCCTGCATGCCTGGGCTGAACGGAGACCCGGATGGCGTCACCCTTACGCGCCTGGGCTGAACGCAGACCCGGATGGCGTCACCCTTACGCGCCTGGGCTGAACGCAGACCCGGATGGCGTCACCCTTACGCGCCTGCGCTGAACGCAGACCCGGATGGCGTCACCCTTACGCGCCTGGGCTGAACGGAGACCCGGATGGCGTCACCCCTACGCGCCTGGGCTGAACGCAGACCCGGATGGCGTCACCCTTACGCGCCTGGGCTGAACGCAGACCCGGATGGCGTCGCCCCTACACGCCTGGGCCGAACGGCATAGGCCTCCTGCTCCCAGGCTGCACCTGCACAGCGTGTGACTGCACTGAAGACTGTAGAAAACTGTAACACAGGGGTAAGAAGTTGTGTATCTCAACATGTCTCCACATAGAAAAGCTACAGTAAAAATATGGTACAAAAGGTTAAAAATGGTACGTCTGCAGAGGACACTCACCATGAATGGAACTTGCAGAACCCGAAGCTGCTCTGGGTGACCGGGTGAGTGGGTGGGTGAATGGGTAAGTGGGTGAGTGAATGGGTGAGTGGGGAGTGAATGCGCGGCCCGAGACATCACTGTATGCTACTGTAGACTCTACACACACTGCAAACTTGGGCTACATTCAATTTTCAAAAAATACTTTTCATTCCTCAATAATAAGTTAACCTTAGCATACTGTGATGGTTAATATGGAGTGTCAACCTGATTGGATTGAAGGATG
The DNA here is from genome assembly GCF_000001405.40 of Homo sapiens. NCBI lineage: Eukaryota > Metazoa > Chordata > Mammalia > Primates > Hominidae > Homo > Homo sapiens. The sequence continues at coordinate 1,436,543 of NC_000008.11, read as the reverse complement.
CAAAGTATTGTCCTGGGTTGTCTGTGAGGGTGTTTCCAAAGGAGATTAACACTGGAGTCAGTGGGCTGGGAGAGGCAGACCCACCCTCAGTCTGGGTGGGCACCATCTATTCGGCTGCCAGCACGGCTAGGATAAAAGCAGGCAGAGGAAGGTGGAAGGACTGGACTGGCTGAGTCTTCCAGCCTCCATGTTTCTCCCATGCTGGATGCCTCCTGCCCTTGAACATCAGACTCCAAGTTCTTCAGCTTTTGGACTCTTGGACTCACACCAGTGGTTTGCCCGGGGCTCTCAGGCCTTTGGCCACAGACTGAAGGCTGCACTGCCGGCTTCCCTGCTTTTGAGGTTTTGGGCCTCGGACTGGCTTCCTGGTTCCTCAGCTTGCAGACGGCTTGTGGTGGGAGTTCACCTTGTGGTTGTGAGTCAATTCTCCTCAATAAACTCCCTTTCATATATACACCTATCCTATTAGTCCTGTCCCTCTAGAGAACCCAGACTCATACACACACTGTAACTCTTGTACTTTATTTTATTTTTAAAACTGTTTGACTCTCTTGTAAGGCTGAGCTTAAAACACAAATGCATTGTACAGCTGTACAAATATTTTTCTTTATATTCTTATTCTATAACCCTTTTACTATTTTTAATCTTTAATTTTTAAATTTACTTTTTAAACTCTCTTGTTAAGCACTAAGACCCAAAAACACATCAGCCTCTACCTGCGCAGGGTCAGGACTGTCGATATCACCATCTTCCAGCTTCACTTCCTGTCCCACTGTTAGGACTTAAGGGGCAGTGGCGGTGACAGACGTGGAGCTGCCATCGCCTACGACCACAGTGCCTTCTTCCGGACACCTCCTGAAGGACTGGCCCAGGGCTCTTTACAGATAATGGTTTTCCACAAGCAGAAGGAGCGCACTCTAAAATAATAATGAAACGTACAGTATCCCAGATGCATAAACCAGCAACATGGTCGTCTGTCAGCACCATCACAAGATGCACTGCGCATCCCTCTACGGCTACACTTCCGTACGGTGGCTGCACAGGGGGTTTCTCTACCAGGGTAAGTCACACGTGAGTCATGCATTGTGACGGCTATGAGGTCACTGGACAGTAGGAGTCTTCCAGCTGATGATAATCTTACAGGGCCACCGCTGCACCTGCAGTTTGTCTTTGACTGAAACACCCGTGTGCGGTGCGTGATGTAGTCAAAGCGCCGGTGTGGGAGGTTATAAAGCCCTTGCCTGCTTCCGATGGATGGCACTTAACTCACATTTATTCTTACAAAAAGGCTTTGTTGCCCTCATTCCACTACCACCCCAAAATCTACAAAAGCTGCTCAAGTCACACAGCTAATGTGGAAGATCTGGGGCTTAAACCCAAATATCCCCAAACTGTGCTTGTTCACAAAATACAAGAGGACACAGTAGGCCCGAGTAGGTTGGAAGGGCCCTGGGTCCCTAAGCTTCCAGGAGCAATAAGGACGGCGGAGCCAAAGTGACCATTGAAATGTTGGCAAAGCTCAAGTTTTAGGAAGAATAACACAGAGTACTGAATGTTGTACATCTGGATCCACAAGATCAAGAGTCCAGGGCCAGAGGCATGTGACATGCAGACCAGGCACGCCCATTCCTGCATCAAAGCCCAGTGATAAGAAGGATGATGATACCATGGAGGAGGGAGGGGAGGAAGGATGAAGGGAGGAGGAAGGAACGATAATGCATGTTACTCATGTTCACGGAGCATTTTCTGTTTCTCAAAATGCCAATGACGGCCGGGCACAGTGGCTCAAGCCTGTAATCCCAGCACTTTGGAAGACAAAGGCTGGAAGATTGCCTGAGTCTGGAGTTCGAGATCAGCCAGGGCAACATAGTGACACCCCATCTCTACTAAAACACAAAAATTAGCCTGGTGTGGTGGCGCACGCCTGTAGTCCCAGCTACTCGGGAACTTGAAGTGGGAGGATTGCTTGAGCCCAGGAGGTTGAGCCTGCAGTGAGCCAAGATTGTACCACTGCCCTCCAGGCTGGGAAACAGAGTGAGACACTGTCTCAAAAAAAAAACCCAAAACCCAAAATGCTGACACTCCCGGGAGGTAGCTCAGTGACCCAGTGGTGGGTGTGGCAGGATGCTAAGGGCTCTCTCTTACACAGGAGATGGGCCAGGCAGGTGGAGTGCTTGCTGTCTGCACGTGAGGCTACTTCCCACATGGCTCTTCCACCTGGTGTCTCCTGTCAGCCTCCTGGGTCACTCAAGGACCCCATCTCTGCAGACTCAGATAATCTGCAGGAAAACGGAACGAGATTTCCTCAGGGCCAGTCTGAGAATCCACATTTACCAAGATGAAACCCACCCAGAAAGAGAGAGCGGCTGAGCTGCTGACGGTCATATTAATCCTCCAATGCGAAACCCTCAGCCCTGCGGCCACGTCTCCATGCTCCACCTGCAAAGCAGCCACGCCCATAGCACAGAGCCTCATTCAGCGCCATTTCTGGGACTTCGCAAAAACACTTTCTTGCAGGGCATGGAGAGGCTTAGTGAGATGCCCAAGTCCCTTCTTTCTCTCCAATAACATTTACATAAAGAATCTTGGCTTGTGGTTTGCAAAGAGGTGTTATTCTCGGTTTCTGAGAGTGTAAGGACCCCAGGGACCATGGACAGCACTGGATTCCATGTGCATCATGGAGAAATTTAGAACAAATAAGCAGAGGTTTATACCATTTAATAAAAATTTGGATTCCTACAAATATGACCTGCTCAGCTGTCAACACAATATCTGAACTCTCCTAGCAAAAAAAAAAAAAAAAAAGCCAGTTTTGCCTCATCTGTGTATTTATCTTCAGTGTCTAGCAAAACTCCAGGCACCTAACCAGTGTTCAGTGGTTTGCCAAATGTGTGTTTGTGGATACAGAAAAAATTCCAAGTCGGTCAGCTGCGTTGGCTGCCCAGTGTCCGACTGTGCACCTTATTGATTAGGACTATTCTTCAAATGTGTCATCCAGCTCGAGGACCTACTCGGGTGGGCTCACCAGACAGCACCATCTGTACACTTGCACACCACAGCAGCCTCACGGGCTCAGCAGCAAGCACCTTTGCAAAAAGACCTTTCTAAACCACGTGGTTCGGGTGCTTGGGCCTGGCCACCGCAGCGGGTGCCTGGCAGGACCAACCCCTCCTGTTTGTGCTACACGTAGGCCATGCACTCCTAGGACTGGATGCCCCTGACGGCCACAGCTGGACCAGTACAGGGGTTGTTTCGGAACATGTAGAGCAGAGAGCTGGATGGGTTCTGTTGCCAGAGGCACAGGAAGCATCTTCAGTGACTTATTTTCAAGGTAAGCTCCTTCAAGAGTTCATGGAACCCAAGTCCCGCACGTTCCTGGAGGGGCTTTGGGCTCATGGCGGGGGCTTCCTCCCCTGCTGACTCCCACCCACACACTGGGGACGTGTGGCTCGGCAAGGGAGTCCCAAAGCCTATGTTAAGTGCCCTGGGACTAAAACTTGGCAGAATCATGAGGAGAGCAGACTGTGGGGGTCACCTCCATGGAGGTCCAGCCGCCTGTGAGTCCTGGAGCAGTCAGCAGCACAGCGGGCCCTGGGTCTTCCATGCAACTCCGCGCCTCGATGCTCGCCATTCCCAGGGTCTCTGGTCTCTGGGGACGCCCCCAGCTCGGCCAGTCTGTGTCAGGACCCAAGTCACCGGGGTCCAGTGTGTCTGGACCAGGCGACTCCCGCTGAACCTGGTTTAATCCAAACACGCGATCGCGGGAATCACCCGTAACCTGCATGCTGGCAGGTCATGGAGGTCCCCAGAGGCCCTGGCATCTCACCAGCCAAATTCACAGCATGCCGACATGACAGACACAGAAGAGAACAGCTCAGGGCCAGTGCCTTCAATATGAAAATGTCAAATGTGTTTTTACAATTAACTTAAAAGGCCTTGACTTTCTAGAACTACAACTACAAAAGACAAAGTTTCATAAATTCCACACCCTGGACTCCCTCGCCCATCTCTTTTGTCTCCTCTCCCCAGTCAACAATTTCAGTGGCAATTTCAAGACAATATGCCCCATGAATCTTTATGGGAAAATGACAAATAAACATTTAGACAGGACTGTGGCTTCCTTGGTTGGGCTAATCCCCAGATTCTAACTTCTTTCAGTTAAGTGGATGTTTCATCCCCTCTACCATTATTTTTTTAAGGTGCATAGAATTTCTTGAATATAAAAGCAGTTTCTCAGATTAAATTTGGCAGCTGCTTTTGTAGAGGAAGCAAAGCCAATCAATAAAGAATTTTTAAATGCTGCAATCTTCATCTTAGCCACTGGCTTTTACAGCAATGAAATATGGGGCAAAAAAGCAGAAAGAGAAACACTTGTTTCCTTATGAGTATGTGAAGTGGAACTAGCCCCGAATGATCAAACGCCAGAGTTCAGCCCCGATGGATGGCAGCCTGTAGCAGTGCTGGCTGGCATGGGGTGCTGGGTGCCGGCAGGGTTCAGCCCCGATGGATGGCAGCCGTAGCGGTGCTGGCTGGCATGGGGTGCTGGGTGCCGGCAGGATTCAGCCCCGATGGATGGCAGCCGTAGCGGTGCTGGCTGGCATGGGGTGCTGGGTGCCGGCAGGGTTCAGCCCTGATGGATGGCAGCCGTAGCGGTGCTGGCTGGCATGGGGTGCTGGGTGCCGGCAGGGTTCTCAGGGCTTGGTGGCCATCGACACGGAGGCATCAGAAGAGTCCCTGTCATGCACGCATCAGTGTCTTCATTTTACAAATGAAAACACCAAACTAAAGAAAAGGAAGGCTGAGTAAGCTGCCCAATAGCCCAGGAGAGTAAGCCCGGGAGCCAGTGCCTCCACTCCGCAGTCGGACTGAAAGCTACACTGGAAGGACAAGCCCCGGTCTCATCACCACGCCAGCGAGCCTGTGATAGGTCAGCTGACTCTTTATACAGGTGGATGTGGCCAGTGCTGCCTTTGGCCTGGGAACTCGTGCATGAACGGCTGCTGAGCGCCAGGCAGCTGGCTGCCTCTTCCTTTCTCCTTTCTCTTCTTCTTTCTGCTGCTGTTTCTATGCATTGTCCTTTGCCCACGGGTAGAGTCTACCTGGTCAGCCAACGGAACTGAGCTTGACACAGTGCTGACGCCCAGTAGGTTGTCAGCATGGATCAGACGTGCAGTCAAGGAGCACAATGAATGAACAGATGAATAAAGCCCCTACTCTATTACTAAACATTAAATTTAGTGAGTTTTAGTCTTTAAAAACATTACAAAACATTGAATCGGGACTTACACATAATGATTCTAATGATGTGTCAGATTGACAGAAAATGTAACTTTTGCTAACGGCCTGTAACAGGCATGAAAGACATTTCAGCTCACTGACTTGTATTTGAATCGCATGTGTTTCTGTTCTCTGTACACTGGGTTGTAACAATTGAAATAATAGTAGTAGCCTTTGCTTCCCATTTTACAGTTTGCAGGCACATTTTTGTTTCTATGTCCAAATATTTGCTTTGTTCCTTTCCGTAAGAGGGGCATGAGTGCTAGCCTCATCTTGTAAATAGGAGACTTGAAGTAAAAGAGAAGGTAATGACTTGCCCAGAACCCCAGAGACAGTCAACAGCCGAGTCAGAATAGGAAACCAGATCTTTTCATTATTCATTCATTATTGCCAATGCCTGATATCAAAGACGCTGCCGTGCCATTCCTGATTTAATGTGTCAGACGTGTCAGGGTCGTCCTTTAAAGACTAACAAAGGATGTTTCAATAACTGTTCATCTTATTTTTGGATCTGCAGGTTGAAGATATTTCTGAGTGGAAGAAAACTGTGATAGAAAAGAATACTTAAAATGATTAATTTTTCTTCAAGAAAGTATGAAAGGCAGGTCACAAACTCCTCTCAATCTCATAGAAGAGCAGTCATAGGCAACTGTGTGAGATCCATGGTCTGATCTTCATTTTAAATACAAAACCTCTGAGGCCCAGAAGCAATGGGGTTTGTCTGAGTCACCTTAGCTACAAGGCCTGTAGACCTAGGCTTTGCAAACATCAGTCTTTCCAGGCTTCTTCTGCTAGAAGACCAGCTTAAAGTCCTTTGCCTAATGTGATTTGATCAAACCGACCTTGAAGAAACATCAGCATGACTTCCTTGTATTTGAGAAAACAGCCACACATTCGCAATGCAACGTAAATGTGGCTAAGTTCCTCTATAAAGCAATGAAGCCACTAAAGATTTAATCTGTACTATTATTTTCTTCTTATTTTTAGCAAGGAGGATTTCGAATGCTTATGTAGAATCTAAATTAAAATCTAACCAAAGGAATCACAGATCATTGGTGACATATAGGGATTAAAGTATTTTTGCAGAGAATGTCACCTTTAAAGTGAGTGCTGAAACCTCCTAAGGAGCCATAAAATTATCCTAAAAGGCAAAATGCTGCGGCAGTGGTTTATTTTACCACACAGTAACATAATTATTCTCACTAAAAATGAATTCTAAGTTCATATGTGTGTGTGTGTATATATATATATATATATATGTATATATATGCATCTCTCCCCTTCTGCTTTCATTCTGCAGGATGATATTTTCAGGTGCATATCTGAAAATTAAGCAGAAGGCCGTGTATGATGAAGGTAAAATGGGTTCTGAGCATCGGCTTGACTCCACAATGAATGGCCAGATCACCTTGGACAAATCAGATGAATACTGCTTATTTTTTTTAAGGACAGAAAAACCCTGCTTTTCTGCCTCAGTGTGAAGCATGCACTGAATATCCTCTATGTGTAAATGGAAAGCACTGGGATTGAAGCTGGGGAGTAGAGGTCTGCTTGGAGAGTTGTGCCATGTGCCTGCTGCAGGCTCATCCCTGCTGGTTTTAACTGTGCTGACACCGGGCAGTGGAACATATTTCTCCCCTCCTCTCAGTGGCTGTGGATGACTGTCTTTAGGATTAGTTCTTGTAAGTTGTTATTGTAAGAATGTTTCACAAAAGGGCAGTGTTCCATGTCCCTAAGTCATCTTCAGCTTACACACCATCAGCACGTTAACCCAGCCTTTTGTATCTCTTATGTCTCCTGTACTTTGTTTAGTATGGAAGCCACAGCAATGAACAAGACACAATCCTGGACCCCATGAGCTCACAGTGAGTGACAGCAGCCACTACAGTGTTAACGAAAGTTTAATTCGGAGGCCAATGGGCTGGGATGGCCCCAGCACTTTTAGTTCCTATGTAAGCAAACCAAACTCCCGTGTAAATGGTGAAATGAAACGAGAGCCCTTACCAATCAGAAACCACCAGCTGAACCCTAAGTAGGAATTCTACCATCCAGAAACTGCCAACTGACCTCTAAGTAGAGACTCCACCAATCAGAAACTATCAATTAACTCTAAGTAGGGATTTTTCAAACTAATCCAACATGTTTTGTTTTGTTTCCAGGAACAACTTATGAAATTTTCTGTCTCACCTCTGAAGCCCTAGAGAAGTGCTACACTGCTTGCAGTCTGGTGCTGCCCAATTTATGAACTGCTGTCTGTTCAAATAAACTCCACAGAATTTTAATGTGCCTAAGTTGATCTTTTAACAACAGAAATGCCCAAACCTCAGGAAAACAAGGATGGCTCACCCTAGATAGCCAAGCAGGGCATGAGACGACGTCCTGTGCATGGGAGTCACCTAGCTGGTGAGTGAGCAGCTGGATGTAGACCGTGCATGCCAGATTTTGTTTAAGGCTCTCCCATGTGGGTGTGCAGCACATGCACTGATATGAGCCACATGGCCTCTTCCTGCCTGCAAAGCTTCCACTTGACACATTTGCTGGCACTGAGCCATCCTTGCATTCCTGAGATAAACCTTACATGATTGAGAGCCATCACTGTGTTAAAAGTATGGGCACATGCATATTTATTAGGTATACATAGGCATACTTCTGTACCTGTAAATGTCTAATGTCTTATTTAATATTTTCCATCTGTTCCCAGCAGTCAATCTGACCTATAATTTTCTTTTCTTATTCTGTCCTTGGCCTGTTTTGTTACCAAGAATATATCATTCTCATGTTAGCCAAGTAGCTTTCCCCTCTTTTGTATTCCCTGGCACATACTCACTCACTCTTTCTCTCTCTCTCTCTCAAGGAAAGAGAGATCTAGTTATTTAAAATTATGGATTTATTTACTGGTAGTAAGTTTATTTGCATTCTCACTGAATTGTTCAATTTTATTTTTTAGACAAATTGTCCTTTTTATCTAGCTTTTTAAATTTTACATCATAAAATTGCTCATTGTGTTATATTTTTTCAAAAAATTATATTTCTAATAGGCTTTAAATTTTTTTTCTGATTTGGTGAGTTTTGATAGAGATTGTCTATTTTTAACTAACTAGCATTTTGTTTTCTATTTTGATTATTTTTTATTTTATATTTATCATTTTCTTTCTCTTATTTTATTTAGCGTACTCTGTTCTTTTTCTAGCTCATTTTGCTATGTAAGTCATTTATTTTTATTTTCCTTGTCATTTTCCAATAAATACATGTATGAACTTTTAAGGTTGCAATCTAAGTTGCATTTTAGCTGTCTTCCTACAAATACTGATATAAGTTCATTTTATATTAATTCCAAGTATTTTACAATATTCATTGCGGCACTGTTAAGTTATGAATTATGGAGAAGAGTACTGTATTGGTCAATTTTCATGCTGCTGATAAAGACATACCCAAGACTGGGCAATTTACAAAAGAAAGAGACTTATTGGACTTACGGTTCCATGTAGCTGGGGAGGCCTCACAATCATGGTGGGAGATGAAGGGCATGTCTCACATGGCAGCAGACAAGAGAAGAGAGCTTGTACAGGGAAACTCCCATTTTTAAAACCATCAGATCTCATGAGACTCATTCACTATCAAGACAACAGAGCAGGAAAGACCCACCCCCAAAATTCAATCACCTCCCAACATGCTCTTTCCATGACATGTGGGGATTGTGGGAGTTACAATTCAAGATGAGATTTGGGTAGGGACACAGCCAAACCATATCAAGTGCTTTCTGTTGACATTTGATTATTTTCAAGTATATGAGGATGTTTGTTTATATTATTTCTAACTCAACTGCATTACATTATGAGGGAGTAGCCACATCATATTTATTCTTTAAAATGTTTGTAATTGATTTTGTTACTCTTTGGGTTATGCTTAAAAAGAGTGTTTATTCTACACTTGGTAATACATATTTATCATATTACATTTGTCGTTGTGTTGTTCAAATCATCTATATCCTCACTAATTTGTCTGCTTGAGCAATTCCTTTTCTGAGAAAATATACTGAAATCTATAATTGTAGGTTTGTCAATTTCTCCTTTTTATTTTATGAAATTTAATGCTAGTTGTAAAAAGCTTATTAGTTCATACTTATTATGCTCCTGATTAATTGGATTTTTAACCTATGTAGTGTTTCTTATCTTTTATTTTGTATTTTGCCTTAACTAAAGTTTATTAAAATAAAGATCTTAACACCTTTTACCTATTGAAGCCTCTTCTTTAAATTATTCAAATAAGCACTCATAGTTTTTAATTGTCAATAAGACACAATATTTTTTATTGATCTCTCTGTTCACTGCTGTTTCTTGTATCCTGTATCTTCTGTTGTTATTTTTTTCCCCTTTCATATGCATTGGAGTAATCTTTCAGGTAGAATAGAAGGTTGAGTTTTTGTATATCTGACACTAATTTTTTTTTACGACTAATTTACTTAGACATGAGATTTTAGGTGGGAATTTTATTTTTCTTCAAGACGTGGAAGCCATAATTTGACCATCTTCTTGCATATGTTTTTACTAACGAAGAATCTATTGTTGGTCTAATCCTTGCTCCTTTGTAGATTCCTATCTTTCTGGGTGAGGTTAATAAGAGTTTCTCTTAGTCATGCATGGTCTTGAGTTTCACATCATCTGTCCAGGTTGGGGATTTTTCCTTCCAGGCAACAGCAGAACCCTTTCAGTCTGGATGGGTGATGTTATCCTGGTCAATTCCCAGCCACTGTTCCCTGGATACAACTTTTCTGTCGACCTCTGGGATCTTTTCTTCTGGAATTCTGCTAACTTGTTGGAGTCTCTACATCTTTCCTCCCTAGCTCTGGGCTCCTGCTTCATGCTGTTCATTTGTTTGTATTCCTTGGCCATGTTCTCGTGGGCAACTCAGCATTTCCCTCCAGATGGACTTTGAGCAGATCTAGTCTGGAGTCGGTCCTTCCCAATTTTAGGTCTCCAAATTCCTTAGTCTCCTCGTTTTTCATAGACATCTGTTCTTAACTTACATCTGCCTCTGTTCTCATCATTTTGAATTTGCTGATGTGGGTATTGGGTGGACAAAGTCAGTTCACAGTTGTCCTGCTGCATGTGTGGCCTTGAGGTGAGTTTCTCCAGCAGCTGAGCCGGTTTCTTCCTCCTCTTGCCCTACCCTGACGCTTTCTCCCGGCCTTAGGGGATGCTCTCCCTTGGTTCAGAGTTTGGTCTCATTCTCATGCTGAGGACCCCACACCCACGCATTCACCTTGCAGGTGTAGCATGTTCTGCTCAGTGCTGTCCTCCAGCCACCTGGTTTCCATAAGCCCTACATCAGGTCCTGGCTATTTTGCTTTTCCCCAGTCTCCTTTCTTCCCTGCTTTCAGACACCAAGCTCCAGTCCGCATTCCCTGCCTCAGGCACTGAACTGAACTTCTGGCTGTCTCTGTTTCTCGGTCTAGGGCCCTGACATCCCCTGGGCTCATCCTGCAGCGGCTTTGCTGTGGGTTTATTTTTTTAATGGTGCACAGACGTCCTTATCTTGGTTCATGAGCCCACAGGGGCCAGTTCCCTACAGGACAGGAGCCTCATCTTGCCATCAGGGCAGTCTCAGGGGTTTACATGACAGCTCTAGGCTTGTGGAAGACCATGTGGATCATGCGCCCAGGCTGTCCGGGATCTGGAGAGGTCCACATCTGCTCCAAGGGATCCAGAGGAACGCCTTCTGGGGCCCCTGCAGGGATGCACTCAGCTGTCCATGTCTGTCCTCAGGGAAGACCCAAGCACAGTGTTCCCATCAGACACTTCTTTCTTTCTTAAACAGGTACCAGGTTCCTGATGGGTCCCTGGTACCATGGGCGATGCTGTCGAGTAGCAAAGCTAATGTTGTACCTGGCTGGCCTCCCGGGGAAGATGCTAGATGTTAACACCAGGTCCCCTTCTGACAGATCAAGCACATGCTTTTATGAACCCCCCATTTACCATGGGCATGGCTAAGTCTTTTATATTCTTTAAAATACAGACAGATATTTTCACTATCATTGAAACGAGTTAAAAGATTGAATTCATAATGTTATCATGACTGAGGCTATGGAGTTAGGCATAATTTATAAATTTAAAAATCCTTATATCACCCAGTGCTGAAATATAATTTTAAAAACTACCTTAGTTGGCAAAATACTATACAAGTTTACTAAAAACTAAGTGCAAAAAATTTTTTAAATGTTTAAATTGAGATCAGCTACACATAAGATTCACCATCATGGGCATTTTTGTCTATTTCAGTGGCATTAAGCACTTTCTCATTGTTGTGCAGCCATCACTGCCAATATCTCCAGAACTTCTCGATCTTCCCAAACTGAAGCTCTGCCCCATTAAACAGCCCTCCTCATTCTCCCTCCCCAGCTGCTGGCAGCCTCCCTCTGACCTGTCTGTGTATCCAACTCCTCCAGGTGCTGCGTATAAGGGGATCATACTGTCCTTGTCCTATTCGGCCTTCTGTCTGTGCATCTGACTTCTCCAGGTGCTGCGTGTAAGGGGATCACACCATCCTTGTCCTATCCGGCCTTCTGTCTGTGCATCTGACTCCTCCAGGTGCTGTGTGTAAGGGGATCACACCATCCTTGTCCTATCCGGCCTTCTGTCTGTGCATCTGACTCCTCCAAGTGCCACATGTTAGGGTAATCACACCGTCCTTGTCCTTTTGTGATGGCTTATTTCACTCAGCATAGTGTCCTCAGGGTTCACCCAAGTCGTAGGATGTGTAGAATTTCCTTCCTTTCTATGACAGGGTAACATTCCATTGGGCAGCTATACACAATTGAACATTTTCATTTTATTATTTCATTTGGAAATCACAACCACCCCATATGCCAATATCAGTATGCTCTGGCCAAAGAAAAATGAGAAAAATGTGTAACAAGGGGCTTGGCTCATAGTGGGCCCTTGATACGCACGTCTTAATAAGTCTCTGTTGTCTTTAGATTGAAGAGTTAGATGCAGACTACAGAAGGGACCCCCTTTTGCTGTGACTTTCTTACGTATGCCAAACCATCAGCTTAAGACTAGCTGAATTTCTAGAGGTCTCTCAACTTGCGTGAAAGAGAGAAATAGCTGCAGGCTCATTCTGTGTTCCTTCACCCATGTGGAGCCCGCTTTAGTTCACAAGGACCTTCATGCTGGTGTCCTCTGAGTGCCATGGGAGAGTATCTCACACAGGAGGAGAACCTCCATCCAACTGGCTGCCTGATACGAGCTTTGAATAATCCGGCTGCTATTTTTGCAGAATTCATTCCAGTCATGTGAGTTGATCACAAGAGTACATCTATTTTTCAGCACTGCTTCCTCATTTGGGTTCTTCTGAACGTGGGATATTTTTGCTTTCTTGATGTTTCCATGCAGGGAATGGCTGTAGACGTGCAAGTGTCATTTGAAAGAGGGATTAACCTGCTCGAATTTCTCCTGTAACAACTAGAAGCTTGCAAGTGCATGGGCCCGTTGCTCCTGCCACTAGCCCTGGCTGTCTTCCCCACCCGCCTCTCTCCCTTGGAGTGCTCTTGCACACTCTGTCAATGGTGTTAGCAGCTACACATGCCAGGCTCTCAACGCACAGAGCAATTCCTCCAAGAGTTCAATAAGGGAGCAGCAGGTCCCAGCAGCCTCTGCTCCCAACATCGTGTTCCCTCATCCTGGAAGTCGTGCTTTTCAAAGCCACTCACAGTCAACACTTCAGGAGTATTAAGCCTAGGCCTGAAAGCGCTGATGCCTTGACAAGCTGGTGCCAGAAGTGCATGGAGCGGTATGGAGATGGCAGGGCAGTGGTCATCAGACCTCGCGGAGCACAAAGTGGGCTATGGGATGTGGTGGGAAATGCAAACTCCAGTCCAGACCCCTCCCAGAGACAGAACCTGGGGTGGTCCTGGGATCTGCCTCCACCTGAGCTGCCCGGGTGCCTGGGGGAACCTGTCTGTCCCATGGACTGAGCAGGCCTGGGGTCAGGGAGTGATAAGAGCTGTGACTAAGTAGAGTTCTGAGCTCTACACACCTGTGTTTACATTAAAAAAACTCAATCTCTGCTGGTTGAATTCAAAACTATATTATATTAACTTGCCACCTAGGCTTTAGCTGTTGTGGTTCATTCATTATTTTAAAAACATATTATTTCCCCTAAAAGATTTCCACTTGTCTACACTGTTGTGGCAGTCTGAACATTTTCACCTTTGTTTTGATGTCACTATGATGAGCACCATGTATCCTGATGTGCTCAAGATGTAGCCACAGTCACATATACCAGGCCACCTGCACGGATCCCCTCCCCAGGCTAAGGGGCCCCCTGGACAGAGTTGGCCTAGGGTGAAGTGAGGAAGGAGCTGGAGCTTCCTCAGGCCTCACACCGCTTGATTCTGGAACAGCACAGCATCCAACTCTGCCCTGAGCAGCTCTCACATTTGAAGACTGCTTGTGGATGAAACACTCCCATGCCCTCAGCCTTTCCCCTGCTAACGAAAGGACACATTCCCCCACCCCCAATCCTGGCTGGTCTCAGCATGTTGAGTTCCCTGAGCACTTAACGAGCACCTGCTGTGTACCACCCCCTGGTGGGCAGGGAACACACACCAGCCGTGCCCTCCAGCCTTTGCTGATAACCGTGAGTCGGCTTCTCAAGATGCATCCACCCTGTCTGTTCCACCCACACCTTTTTTTTTTTTTTTTAATGTCAAAGAAAGCCTTTTCCAAACACTCTTCTGCCTTCATGGGATCAAGACGCAGATTTACATTAAGTCTCTAAAGACAGGAGAGGTTTCCCTGGCATCACTTGCTCTTAGTGATCCTCGCTCAGTCACGGCCATCTTCGCTTTTCTCCCTACATATACACAAGCGTGTCATTAAGACTTGAGTTGTGTAACTTCGCTTGCAGTGGACGGAAATTTCACAGGTACATAATTAATTGCTGGAATGCACTTCTTCCCTATTGTGAAAACTAGAATGACATTTTTCTATCCCTGGTCTTCTGGTATCTTTTCCATATTCCATAACTCCTAAAAAAATACCCTTCAGGAGGGTCTGTGTCTTTCTCTCCTAGCGGCCATAAGACATTAGGAAACATCCTCGCGACTCAGCCATGTGGTCCGTGAAACGGGGTAGCTGTCCTACACACCTTGTCCAGGTGCTCTGAGATTCCATGGAGTAACAAACGCAGCCTCGCCCTCGGTGCCTAGCGTGTGTTAGATGCTCAGCAAATATCAGCTATTATGATTGCTAACTGTTTTACCCGCCACTTTTTCTCTTTTTTCTTTTTTCTTTTTTTTGAGATGGAGTCTCACTTTGTCGCCCAGGCTAGAGTGCAATGGCATGATCACGGCTCACTGCAACCTCCACCTCCCGGGTTCAAGTGATTCTCCTGCCTCAGAGCCTCTTGAGTAGCTGGGATTACAGGCATGTGCCACCATACCTGGCTAATTTTTGTATTTATAGTAGAGACGGGGTTTCACCATGTTGGCCAGGCTGGTCTCGAACTGCTGACCTCGTGATCCACCCACCTCAGCCTCCCAAAGTGCTGGGATTACAGGCGTGAGCCACTGTGCCTAGCCTTATGAATTTTGTTATAGCCAAACATATGTGCTTGCTTCTTGATCATCACTAATCTCTATTTTCATCTTTTGCAATCGTTACTCTCTTCAATATATGAAAATATAACTTTCATAATATTCATAACTTTAATGAAATAACTAAATTCCCCCCACCCCATGGAATACTGTGGTATTATAGAAAGGCTGAGTACGTAGCATGAAAGTGATTCTATGCATTTTCAGATTGTGTTGGCCTGTATATTAATTCCATGTCTCTTGTGTGGGTGTTATTATTCTGAGAGCCTCAGAATGGGATGTTGATTGATGAACTGCAGTCACAACTTCACTCAAACACAGCTGGAAGATTCTAATGTATGCAAGGCCTATACACAAGCTTTTCAGTTCAAAAAGCACTGGATAGAAAAATCAAAGAAGAGCAAAGGACAGGCTGTGTTCACAGATTACAGCAGCTCTCACACACACAACATGAAACACTCAGATGTTAGAGCTATGTTCCAGGAAAAATGAGCTCGGCTTCCTGTTTATTATGAACCACAAAATTCAAAGGTCTGAAAAACATACTTTGGATAAGTTATTTTACTATTTTCTACTAGTGACTTGTTGGAGAGATTGAAATTTTCTCCAGTGTATTATTCTGAGTTGGGAAGTCTATAACACAACTTGCATCCTCCTGAGAGGAGCTACAGCCCATGAGAGAGGACCCCGCTCTTTGGGAAGCAACATTCAGTACAGCCTCAAAACAGCCAATCGAATGATTAAAATGCAAGAAAGAAAGACCCTTGCCACACCTGCAGCCCAGGCAACGAAGACACCAAACAGGACTGCGCAGATGGGGAAGCACCTCTGAAATGGCACCAATAGGTCTAAATCTGGATGATTATGGGATTTTAATCAAGGTCACTGTGGGAGGGCCAAGTTAACAAGATTACCACCGAGCCAGGGAGCTGAGTTATGTGATAGATTTGGGAAACAGCAGTGGCTTTACTGGGTTGGAGTGGAGGGCATTTTGGCGAGAGGGAATGCAGTCGGAGGCACAAATTGGGTCCTGACAGTGTGAAACCTTGACCCACAGGCTTTGACATTGATGCTCAACATAGAAGATCATATTTTTAAATATATTCAGGTATACTGTGGATAGCTTAAACATGCTTTAGTAGGATAGTGACATGCATAGAGTTGTAGTTTAGGAAATTTGCTATAGGATGAATTGGAATTAGAAAAAACTCAAAGTGCTGAGATGACCTGGGACACCAGCGTAGAGTGGAAGAGAGAATCGCAGAAGTGAGGTGGCCAGAAATAGGCTTCATTTACGTGTATTTATCTGAACACTGTTGTGATAGAGCGACTTCTTGCTCAGAGCTCCTAAAACCCCATGGTTTCCTAAGTAATAAGGGCAATAAAGGTTGAAAGGACAGTCCTTAGTCATTCCCAGCCAGCCCTTCAACCACACCTGAGTTTACGCTGATGCAGAGACTCAAGCTGGACCCTGGAGAGCCTCAGGATAAGGCAGTCCTCAGGGAACTAGCCTTGTGATTAGAGGATTGGAACTTCCAGCCCCTCCCGACCCCAGACCTCCAGGAAGGGAAAAGGGACTGAAGGTTAGCTGGATCAGGGATGGCCAGTGACTTAATTCACTGTGCTTATGTAACAAAGTCTACATAAAAAACCCTAAGGATTTCATTCTTTTTACAGCTGAACTGTAGTCCACTGTGTCTACCTACCCCATTTCACATGTTCTTTCTCCATTCTTCTGTTGATGGACACTCAGGTCGATTCCATCTCCTGGCTATTGTGAATGGTGCAGCTCTGATACCATTTCTTTTGGCTGTACACTCAGTAGTGGGATTGCTGGCTCATATGGTGGCTTAGTTTTTTGAGGAACCTCCATGCTGTTTTCCTTAGTGGCTAGACTAATTTATATTCTCACCAACATTATAAGAATTCCCTTCTCCACATCCTTGCTAGAACTGTTACTTTTGGTCTTTCTGGTAACCGCCATTCTAACTGGAGTGAGACAGTATCTCAGTGTGGTTTTGATTTGCACTTCCCTGGGGATTAGTGATGCGATGCTGGATACTGGAGCATGTGTTCATACACCTCACCTTATACATTATGTACACGTATCAACATGTAACACAAGATCCACAGATATGTACAATTACTATCAGTCAACCAAAAATAACCATTTATAAAATGAAAACAAAACCTACACACACACACACACACACACACACACACACACGTATCAGAGTGTAACACAGTATCCCACAAATATGTACAATTACTGTGAGTCAACCAAAAATAACCATTTATAAAAGGAAAACAAAACCTACACACACACACACACACACACACACACACGTATCAGAGTGTAACATAGTATCCCACAAATATGTACAATTACTGTGAGTCAACCAAAAATAACCATTTATAAAAGGAAAACAAAACCTACACACACACACACACACACACACACACGCACGCATCAGAGTGTAACACAGTATCCCACAAACATGTACAATTATTATGAGTCAACTAAAAATAACAAATTTAAAATGGAAAAACAAAACCTACCAAGGGTTTTGGAGTGCTTGCAGAGGGCTGAACACAGGGAGGCGGTGCCCAGAGAGGGCACGGAGAGTCCACATGGCCCTGGCCTCTGCCTCGCCCCATGTGCCCCTTCGTTCGGCTGTGCCTGAGTGGGAGCATTTACATAGTGTGGGTAAACACAAGTAAAGTGTTTCCCCGAGTTCTGTGAGCCATTCAAGCAAATCACTGAACTGGAGGTAGAGCCATGGGAACCCATGATCTCTAGCCAGCGGGCCAGAAGCCAGACTTGGGATTGGCCCTGGTCTTGCGGGGCTGCGTCCTTAACCTGCGGGGTCTGAGGGAAGTGCAGGTGGTCAGGGTCAGGACAGCAATGAATTAGAGGACGCCCAGTTGGTGTCCTGGTAGTGGGAGAAACGGTGCATGGGAAAATATACACACATTTGGTGGCCAGAAGTATTGGCGTGAGTGTAGCAAAGAAAAAAAAATGGAATTTTTCTTGCATTTGGTGTCGAGAAGGAAACACTTTTTTCCCTTTTATTTGGCGTCGGAGTGGAGTGTCGTGTGAATGCAGAGAGAGCACTGGCAGCCAGGTGAAGCTTCCATTTTGACTGTGAAAGTAGAGACATAAATCGTGGGTTTGGGGTTAAAAGAGAGAAAGAAGTTAACGATGGCTATAATTTCAGGCTAAGCGACTACAGAAATAATCATCTTTTTAAAAACATGCCAGAATCAAATCCATTAATTAGCTATACTTTTTTAATGACTTGAGGATACTGAATATAAATATCTAAAGTTGAATATTTTCATGTTTGAGGCCATCTAAAGTGAAGCTGTTTAATTTTTAGACCATACTATTTAATAAATGACTTAGTTATTACACATACAATATCCATTTCTTAAATGTTCAGTAGTAGAGACAGTTACATCATCATTCTTTGGGCCACCCAAGATCAAGGTCTTTGAAAATGGTTCGGAAGGAGAATGCTGTGCATGAGGCCACACTGTATGGCTGGAGATCTTTTATTTGGTGGAGGGACAGGAGTTACATTTATTTTTGCTAATGAGATAACAATATTCTTGCAGGCATCTAATCCCCCACTTCCACTGTCCAGAACGGGACTGTAGAGCCCATTCTCCAAACGTGCTGATTTCAGATATTTAATTCTTTTTTTTTCACGACAGACGAATGTCAGTGGTAGCTATTTTGAAAATGTAATATTTTATCAGAGCAAAAGGCTCCTGGAACTGCACTTTTGTGTTGTGAACTCTGAATTCCCGCCAATAAAGATGAGGTAATAATCGAATTCTTCAAATGCATTAGCTGCATTTGTGGAGACATTGATCACTTTCTCTGAAATCATTCCAGGACCCTCTGGTCCGTTCATAGGTCTCCGTGGGCTTCTGTGTCTGGAGCCTCGCCGAGTGAGGCAGGAGTGGGGCCCCCTGTGCCCCCCTGGAGCCTCGCGGAGTGAGGCAGGAGTGGGGCTCCCCGTGCCCCCCTGGAGGCGGCCACGCAGTGAAGTCCTTCTGAGCCTCCTATTTATCTGTCCGCATTTTCTCCTCTCCTCCCCTGTTCTGGGCTTCGGATCCCCATTGCATTCACACCTGTGCTATGTACTATGCCTGCCCTGGTGAGCCCCGTGGAAACTGTTACCACATTAACCTTCACAGTAAGAGAACACAAAGAGCTGAAGTCAGAGAAAAACAAGGTTTGCTTCAACAATCAGAGGCTCCGTGTCCTGATCAGGATAAAAGCAGTGACAGTGCTGCTAGCTTCAAGGGCTTCTATGAACATGCGGTGAGATGCTGTCGAACCTGGGCACCCCGCAGACGCTAAATGAACGCCGGTCTCTCCTCCCGCCTCAGACGCTAAATGAATGCCGGTCTCCCCACCTCAGACGCCAAACGGACGCTGGTCTCCCCTCACTCAGAGTCTCCCCCGCCTCAGACACTAAATGAACGGGGGCTTCCCCTTCACTCAGAGTCTCCCCCGCCTCAGACGCTAAATGAATGAACGGGGGTCTCCCCCCCACCCCCCCATCCCCCCACCCCCGCCCTTTCTCCTGCTGAACCCGCCGGGGACAGTGTGGGGCGGGACCGCTGACGGCTGCTCGGAGGAGTGACGGGGACCCCTGAGCCCTGGACTCTGAGTCTCAATGCCACAGCCGCACTGAGCTGGGCCTCCTCACGAAGCAAATCTGTTTCCGGGAACAAAAGCGCATTCTTTGCAAGTCTGAGAAGCTTTCACACGAACAGGTTTTAGGGAGAGAACGGATTATGCTCACGCTTTGCAACAAATGTCTGAGGAGAGACAGAAAAGGAGGCCGGCACGGGTGCTCGCGAGCCACATTCCGCCCCCAGGCTCTCCTCTTAAGCAGCCAACACGTCCGATTCCTTTTCTTACTACCTGGTTTTTGATTCCTTGTTTTACTTATTAAGTGACCTGATAGACACTTTGGATTGAAATGTCAACACAGAAACAGAGTTTCCATGTTGATATTTCTATGTTGAGGTGACAAAAAACTGTTCGTTTTCATGGTAAGTTTTCAAAGAAGGGGCGGCCGTGGAGGCAGAGGGGTTCTGGTTCAGGCCTCGGGTGGTTCATTCAGCGGGGCTAGAACTCCATGTCCTCACTTAGGAAACAGGAGCAGCAAAATCGGATTCTCCGCCTGATGGACTGTTCTGAGGATCAGACACATTTATGGAAAAGTTTAATTTGCCTCAGAAACTGTAGTATCGCTGCACTGCAGAGGTTTGAACCTCCCTCAAGTGACCAGGCACGTCTGAAATACGAAGGCGGACACCTGGGCTGACCACGGGAAGCTGGTTTCCATGGCCGTCGTGACGGGAACCTACAATCCCCCGCCAGGCCGGGCTGGTCGCCACTCTGTATGGACGCTGGAATCATCTGGTCGCCACTCTGTATTGACGCTGGTAACCAGGCATCGTCTGGGGACAGGATGGGTTTCACGTCCAAACTGAGCACTGAAAATACTTTGAAAAGTCTCTTTAGCACCTCAAGCAGATATTATGCAGGGTCCTCTATGTTTTTGTCATCTAATAACATCTTTAAGTCTGTCAAATAATTTTGCATTTTCCACCTGCTTCCCATTGGCAGGGGTAGTCAGTTTTGTCACCCATCACCCTCCCCCAATTTATGTTAAAAAATATTCTTTTAGTCATGAAATGACCCCTCAAGGAGTTTCTACCCTGTTTGTGGGATTGTAAATTAGCTCAGCCACTATGGAAAGCAGCTTGAAGATTTCTCAAAGAACTTAAATCAGCAATCCCATGACTGGGTATATACCCAAAGGAAAATAAATCATTCTACCAAAAAGACACTGACACATGTATGTTCACTGCAGCATGGTTCACAAGGTTCGCAATAGCAAAAACATGGAAGCAACCCAGGTGCCCATCAAAGGTGGATGAGATAAAGAGACAGTGCTACCTATACACCACGAAATTCTATGCAGCCGTAAGAGAGAATGGAATCACGTCCTCTGCAGCAACACGGATGCAGGTGGGGGCCTTAGTCCCAAGTGAATTACCACAGGAACAGAAAGCCAGACACCACGTGTTCTCACTTATAAGTGGAGGCTAAACATAGGGCACACGTGGACATAAAGGTGCGAACAGCAGACACCAGGGCTACTAGAGGGGGAGGGAAAAAGGGGCTGGGGAAGAAACACTGCCCATTGGGTGCTGTGCTCAGTGTCTGGGTGATGGGATCATTTGCACCTCAAACTTCAGTGTCATGAAATAAATCCATGTAACAAACTTGCCAACGTACCCCCGGATCTAAAATAAAAGTTGAAAAAAAAATTAGCCTTTAAATCAGAAAGACGCACTAGAGAAAGTCATAAGAAAATAATTAAAAGTGAAAGTTTTGTATCCTAAAACCAGTTTAGGGCTGCCTGGAGTCAAGTTCACAGATTAAAGATAGACACAGCCCACAGGTTGGCAGAATAGAGTTGCCTGTTTGTACGCATGTGTGTACCTGTTTGTATGCATGTGTGCACATGTGTGTACACGTATGTATGCATGTGCACCACAGCCAAAGGCTGGACAAGTATAATACAGGGATCAAAATGCTTGATTTTTTTTCTTCTTTTTTTTTCTTTTGAGACGGAGTCTTGCTCTGTTGCCCAGGCTCGAGTGCAGGGGCATGACCTCAGCTCACTGAAACCTCCACCTCCCAGGTTCAAGTGATTCCCCTGCCTCAGCCTCCCAAGCAGCTGGGATTACAGATGCCTGCCACCACGCCTGGCTAATTTTTGTACTTTTAGTAGACATGGGGTTTTGCCATGTTGGCCAGGCTGGTCTCAAACTCCTGACCTCAGGTGATCTGCCCACCTTGGCCTCCGAAAGTGTTGGGATTACAGACATGCACCACCGTGCCCAGCCAGACACCTGATTATTTAACAGGAGGTTCCATGCTTGTAAAGGCAAGACACGCTGAGGGCAGAGGACGCCTGGACGTGCGTAGATGGCGGGATCCTCAGAGACAGCTGCCGGGCAGCTCCGCTCAGTCCCTCCCAGCCGTGTTCTGCCTCCACTCTGGTGTGGACTCTGCACTGGGACCCACAGCCCGGTCAGTCCCTCCCCGCCACCTTCCGCTTCTGCTCTGGTGTGGACCCTGCACTGGGACCCCCGGCCTGGTCAGTCCCTCATGTCCCCATGCCTCTTGCCTCCCACACTTGACCGGCTCCATGGGTCACGACCTGACTCACACCCCGGACCTTGCATTTCTGGCTTGCCCTTGGCAGGTCCTCACTGCCTCTCCCTGGCTACAGCCTTCAGACTTGTTGGCCTCATTCTGACAACTGTGAAACACACCCTCCAATCACATGCTCAGGGCGCCATGCCAACCCCACAAGAGTCCACAGAACACCCCTGCCATTCCAGTTTCCAGCTTTAGCACTTTCTCAGATTCCATCTTTACGAATATAAGTCAGTTTCTCTCAACAGACAACTCCCCCCAACCCTGAACACTTCACTTTCTCAACAGCCTGCAACTCTGACTTTACTGACCTTGAAAGAATGCCTTTCCCCAACACTAACAGCAGAGGAAAAAGCAGAATTCCTAGGCATGTCACTAAGTGTCCACACGGTGCCCTGAGCTGCACTTTTTGACTATTTGCTTTCAATCACAGCACCCTGTTGATGGTGTCTTCAGTGAACAGCTTACGATGAGTTTGGAGCTCTTTTTGAAAAAAAAAATGATAAACAAGAATTCACCATTTAATAAGTATGCCATTGACATTGTGCATCTGCACGTGCCTCTTCTCAGGCTGTGCCTCACCAAGGCCCACCTGGCAGGCGTGTGTGCACTGATGGAGCTTTGTGAGACCTGCACAATCTAACCCCATCATCCTGTCATTGCACCTGCAGAAGAGCTACATACTGGGAGACTGGGTGGTGCCCTTTGAGTTCAAGACCATTTATCAAAGATAAGAGTGACTCCAATCATTGATTACTGAGATTTTCATTCCCTTTCATATTATTCCTCCATCCAGAGAAGGGCCTTCGAACATCTCATGTTTCTGGACTTTAAGGCAATACTTTTTCTGTGACAAAACATTTTTTCATTTCCATTATAACTCTATACTTGCCAGATTTAGTGCAAAGTAATCTACAACTTTTTGAGAATCTAAGTAAAATATGCATAGTGACTTTTGCTTGCCCTTAAATTGGACTTACTTTGAAAGTCTTTTTTATGCTTCTTGAGCATTGAAACTATATTTTCCTTTCTTCAATAGGTTGTTCATTTATATTACAATAGTAATTCATTTTCTTCCTCTGTTCTTGAAAATATCTATCCATTTATTCATTCTGCTTCCCATCCTTCTATCTTTATGCTTCTTCCTTTATTTACTTTAAAAATACTATAAATAAATAGCTAATAATAAAGGTGTTGAAACATACAAAGGTGCTACAGAGAGGAGGGAGACAAGCCATGACTTGGAAGGAGCCACTGTCCAGTAGAAAACACAGAGGGGCAAATAGAACACAAAGCTGTGAGTTCCAGAGGGACACTAGGAGAACTGAGGAGGTAATGGCACTGGTCAAGAAGAGGAAGCCCTCTTCACAGAGGAGGGGACACTTGAGCTGGGTATTGAAGGATTTTTCCCACACTGTGGTCAGGAAGGGCAAGTCTGTTTTACGGAGGAGGGGACACTTGAGCTGGGTATTGAAGGAATTTTCCCAGCAGGAGGGAGGGAAGTCAGAGACAGGGAGACAGGAAATAGCATGCGAGAGGCACTGTAATCTCAGGAAATGCAGGTGGCCCTGAGCACTGGAGACACAGGCCATCTGCTGGGGAGGGCTGTGAATAGGGAGGGTATGTTAGAGTCAGAATGGCCATCACAGCTGGCAATTGCCTTTTGCCTGTAGAGGTCTTGCTAAGTGCCCAAGAACAGCAAGAAAGACTCAATAATTACATGCACTGACTCTGACCTTCACAAAGAGCCTGTGATCTTCACAGTGGGCTCCATTGCTATCACCATTTCTCAGAAGAGGACACTGAGGCAGAGAGGGGTGAAGCAACTTATCTGAGGGCTCACAGCTGGAATGGCTGGGGCTTACCAAGGATACACAAGGCCAAGCTGAGAAACCACACATTTATTCTGCAGGTCAAGTAGCAGCAGTGGGATATTTCAGCACTGAATTCGTGAGATCAGATGCATGCATGCATTTAGCAATGTAACAAATCATATGGAAGAGGGTGAGACTCTGAGAACCTTTTGGAACCTCCACATCTGTAAGAGAGATGGAGGAGAAAGAGCCCGGGAGACAGGGAGGCTGAGGGAGAGAATGGAGCCTCAGAAGGCTAGGGAGGAGGAGGCATGAAAGACAAGCAGGCTGCAGAGTCTAGCGCTCAGAGCAGGAGGCTGGCGGGGGACCTCGCCTTCAGCATAAAAGTCCCAGTGCTGGGGGCTCTGCAGAGGGCAGTGGGAGCCATAGCACTGGAGCTAAAAAGGGAGCACAGGTGAGGAGGAGGGAGATGCAGCAAGCCCAGCCCATGCTTGAGAGGCCTGGAGGCAGGAATGGAGAAAGGGCAGTGACTCCAGGGGAGGTGAGGGTCCATGGCAGGACATCCCTAGCAGGAGATCACCTGCCCATGGCATCTGTGTCTTCCAGAGCCCTTGCTGTTGCCTGTAGGTTTTCGGAGCATGTGTCTGAACGTGGAGGATACTGGCGTGGAAGCATCCACCCCCACACTCTGTGTCCCACTTGCAAAGGCCTGGATGAGTGTGCCGCACCACCAGGGCCCACACGACGGCTCATGAGGGCAGAGCTGATTAGGGAAAATTCACCCTTAGTGAGAGAGACTTCATGCGCAGCTTTCCATAAATTCAAGTTCTGGAAAGTTCACGGAAATAATTTTAGAAGCCCTTAAATGAAGTAGACACGCAGCTTCGTGAGCCTGTGAAATGCTTACTCTTGGCATTGTTTGAAGTTTAGCAGATGGTTCAGAGCAGGAGGGAAAGGAGAGGATAAACCAGGCCAGGAGGAGCACGAGGCCCTCAAGTCTACCACCTGCAGGTTCCGCATTTCGGTTACCTCGTTTAATCTGCCCAAGGCTCTACCGGCACAGTTTATGACTCCGTCTTCCTGCCAATGTCACCAGGCTAGGGAGCCGGAGGCAAGCAGGATGGAGTTATATCTTCGGCACAAGTGGGGCCAAAGGCCAGCTAGGACCGCCTGGCTCAGGGGTCAAGTCCTTCGTGCTTTTATGCTCTTTTATGTGGAAACCCATATGTATCAACATTATAATTCCCTGCCTTCAAAACCATATAAGATTTTTGGTGTTTTGATTATTCCTAACTCTGTTTTCTTTGACTTATTATAGTATATAATGTAGCTATGCATTGCACATTGTTAAAAGACACAATATATATAAACATTCATTTTCAGACCAAATTATTGCAATGAATAATTTCTCTGTAGTTAAGCAGAGCAATTAACATACGACGATTTTAATTAGGAGATGTTGGGTTTCCAGAACAAGAGACCACGACTGAATACCTGAAAGGAACAACTGGCGTATGCAGGTAGCTTTCCACGGTGACACTTTAGTCACCTTTTATGCACTGAAACTCAATAAATAAACCCACAGAAATATTAGTTTAGCTGGCAAGTCAAAGTAACGTACAACACTATGCAATTATAACAAAATAATGATTACAATCTCTTAAATAGAGAAGTAAAGATATTTACATGTTCACCAGGAGCTCAGCCTTCCTTCCTGGATAAGACAACTGAAAACAAGGAAGTTTAAAAAAAAAAAAAAAAAAATGGCTCCAGAGTGAAGCAAGGACATTCCCACAGGGAAAGGTGGCCATAATCTGGGAAAATTCCTGAACAAGAAAACCAGGTTCCAAATCAGCATCTCTGGATCCCTTGACCTGGACGTGGGGTTTGACGCAGGCCCATGGGGTGTCCCTGATGCCGTGCGTGAAACACACTTATGTGCTGCTGCCTCTTCATACTTACAAGCTCCCCCAGGAGTTTTAAGCCATAATTTCACTGTATTTCATTCTGAGAAGGGAGCTGACTTGATGCTTTTGCTTTAACTCGACCTGTGCGGAAATGCAGTAGCCTGCAGATGGACCCCTGCAGGAAGCCTTCCTCTAGTGACCCCATGAAACTGTGGGACATGACAGTAAGTTACTGCTACAGAATTATGTGAACTGAGGGGAGAGAATAAAAAGGAAGCACTCAGCGAGTATTTCAAAGGGGTCAGACTGGCGTCTGCTCTGCTGGGAGCTCCTCACCGTGAGGCTGCCTGGGCCACGGTGCCGCACGCGTGAAGCCATGCCCGTGAATGTTACCTTCCGTGTCACTATTACTGGTATCCTCATTGCCAGTGCCTCACAATGCAAAGATTCTGCTCTGAAGCCAGTGAGATTCCAACCACTCCCAGATGATCTGGGCCCTGATCGAAGCTTGCAGTCTCCTCAGCAGATCGAGGGCATGTTTTGAAACCTCCCCTTCCCCTTGGGCACTTGGTGTCAGCGTCTGGCATTCCTGGGGAGGACACCGCTTGGCTTGTGGACCTGACACCATTTCTCAGTTAGCCAAAGGTCTACACACCTGCAGCACGTATCGGTCAGGGTTCTCTGGAGGAATGGAACCAACAGGACACACAGACACATAAGAGGGGGTTTTATTTTCGGAACTGGATCATATGATTATGGAGGCTGAGAAGCCCCACAGCTGGAGACCCACGGGGTCAGGTGTAATTCAGTCTAAGCCCGAAGGCCCCGGCACTGAGGGGCTGCTGGTGAAAGCCTCAGAGCCTGAAGGCCCTGGGGCTCTGGTGGAGGGCAGGAGAAGATGAAGGTCCCAGCTCAAGAAGAGAGGAGGTCCTCCCTTCCTCTTTCAGTTCTATTTGAGCCCTCATGGACTGGGGGAGGCCCACCTGCACTGGGGTGGGGTCTGCTTTACTCATTCCCTGATTCAAACGCTGGTCCTTCCAGAAACACCACCACAGACACATCTGGAAAATGTCTTCCCAGCTCTGTGGGCATCCCCTATCCCAGTCTAGGTGACGGAGAAGATTCACCATCACACGGTGACAGGCTGGGAAGCGAGGAGGGTTCTGAGCACGTTCGTCACACCCAGCTCTCTTCTTGAACTTGTGTCTGGAGAATTTCTGAAATCAGTCTTTACTGAGCCCATTTCTTCCGGTTGGTTCTCAGCTGGTCTAGACAATTCTGTGCTCAGCACCAGGACTGCCAAGGAGAGCTGGGCGCCTACGGTGAGGAAGGAGTTGGGCAGTGGTCCAAGGGGAGCCAGGCGCCTGCTATGGTGAGGAAGGAACTGGTTGGTTCCAGTTGGTTTTCAGCTGGTCTAGACAATTCTGTGCTCAGGGCCAGGGCTGCCAAGGGGAGATGGGCTTCCTATGGTGAGGAAGGAGTTGGGCAGTGGTCCAAGGGGAGCCAGGCGCCTGCTATGGTGAGGAAGGAACTGGGCAGTGGTCCAAGGGGAGCCGGGCGCCTGCTATGGTGAGCAAGGAACTGGGCAGTGGTCCAAGGGGAGCCGGGCGCCTGCTACAGTGAGGAAGGGGTTGGGCAGTGGTCCACATTCTGGAACTGAGGCAATGCTGCTGTCTTTTTCATAGGTGGATTTATCTTTCAGGGAATTAACTGATGCTTCCCCAACAGACATCGATTAAATGTCCACTGTCTCCAACAAGACAGACCCTGTGGCCCAGGAGGGTGGGCAGACAGGCATCATGGACCACCACTGCCCAGCTTTCTTCTCTGTGCCCTGCGCACCTTAATGTTAAATGACAGTCAAGTCTTCCTGTTAACGCAGTGAAAGTGACAGACGAAGGGTCTCTTGGTGGTAGAGCTGCCACGAGTTCCCAAAACCTGGCTTTCCCGGGTTCTGCTTTCACCAGAAAACCCTCTGCACTGTCCTGTGAAAGCCTGAAACAAGGACTTGCTAGAAGGCCTCAAACATCCAAGATACATTTTCAAAGTTATGCGTGAATCCATGTTGCCTGCTCCAGAAAACAGGCTTAGAAACTCCAGTTGCCGAACAGTTAACACCGTGTGTGTCTGTGCCTGACAATGCTGGAGTCCCAGTGGAGAGCAGCACCCTCATCATCCAAGGCCCAGAGAAGGTCCCTCTGCAGGGCCATGGGGGCTTCAGGACTTGACACGGTGCCCCAGATGCTCGTGGAGATTACGCAAGGCCCCAGGTGAACTAACAGGTTGTGGCGAACTTGGAGCTGGGGCCTGGAACTGATTTCTCCCCTGATGAGAACACAGACGCCTCCCCGAGGGAAGGGGAAACCCTCGGACACTCTGGAGAGTGAGGAAACAGACCCAGATCATCAGCAAGAGGGGAAACTGAAATGGCATCGCGGAAAGTGGAGAATGAGTTGGACAGTGAGGCAGGTGGAAAGAGCACAAGGATTCCTGTGTTCTTCAACTACGGGAATAAAATGCTAGCTGGAGATGCTGGAAAGAAAGAGTGAGCCAGAGACCAGGCTTGCCTTGATCTCAGTGAAGACCAGCTGTTCTCAGGAGACGATTCTATCCCCTGGGGGGCATTTGGCACTATCTGGAGGCATTTTTGGTTGTCCTGACTGGCATCCAGTGCTGAGTCCAGCGATGCTGTTAAACATGCTGTGCTGTGCAGGACAGCCCACCCCAACCCCCAACAAGGAAATGCTGGAAGCCCTGAGGTGGACCCTGCGGTACTCAGTCAGCACTCAATACATGACTCCAGAGGACAAGGAGGTGGTGCTCAGTAAGCACTCAATACACGACTCCGGAGGATGAGGAGGTGGCGCTCAGTAAGCACTCAATACACGACCCCGGAGGATGAGGAGGTGGCGCTCAGTAAGCACTCAATACACGACTCTGGAGGATGACGAGCTGGCGCTCAGTAAGCACTCAATACACGACTCTGGAGGATGAGGAGGTGGCGCTCAGTAAGCACTCAATACACGACTCTGGAGGATGAGGAGGTGGCGCTCAGTAAGCACTCAATACACGACTCTGGAGGATGAGGAGGTGGCGCTCAGTAAGCACTCAATACACGACTCTGGAGGATGAGGAGGTGGCGCTCAGTAAGCACTCAATACACGACTCTGGACGATGAGGAGGTGGCGCTCAGTAAGCACTCAATACACTACCCTGGAGGATGAGGAGGTGGCGCTCAGTAAGCACTCAATACACGACTCTGGAGGACAAGGAGGTGGCGCTCAGTAAGCACTCAATACAGGACTCCGGAGGACAAGGAGGGAGCGCTCAGTAAGTTCTCAATACACGACTCTGGAGGACAAGGAGGGAGCGCTCAGTAAGCACTCAATACACGACTCTGGAGGATGAGGAGGTGGCGCTCAGTAAGCACTCAATACACGACTCCGGAGGACAAGGAGGTGGCGCTCAGTAAGCACTCAATACACGACTCCGGAGGACAAGGAGGGAGCGCTCAGTAAGCTCTCAATACACGACTCCGGAGGACAAGGAGGTGGCGCTCAGTAAGCACTCAATACACGACTCCGGAGGACAAGGAGGGAGCGCTCAGTAAGCTCTCAATACACGACTCCGGAGGACAAGGAGGTGGCGCTCAGTAAGCACTCAATACACGACTCTGGAGGACAAGGAGGGAGTGCTCAGTAAGCTCTCAATACACGACTCCGGAGGACAAGGAGGTGGCGCTCAGTAAGCACTCAATACACGACTCCGGAGGACAAGGAGGGAGCGCTCAGTAAGCACTCAATACACGACTCTGGAGGACGAGGAGGTGGCGCTCAGTAAGCACTCAATACACGACTCAGGAGGACAAGGAGGGAGCGCTCAGTAAGCACTCAATACACGACTCTGGAGGACGAGGAGGTGGCGCTCAGTAAGCACTCAATATACGACTCCGGAGGACAAGGAGGGAGTGCTCAGTAAGCACTCAATACACGACTCTGGAGGACGAGGAGGTGGCACTCAGTAAGCACTCAATACACGACTCCGGAGGACAAGGAGGGAGCGCTCAGTAAGCACTCAATACACGACTCTGGAGGATGAGGAGGTGGCGCTCAGTAAGCACTCAATACACGACTCTGGAGGACAAGGAGGGAGCGCTCAGTAAGCACTCAATACACGACTTTGGAGGACGAGGAGGTGGCGCTCAGTAAGCACTCAATACACGACTCTGGAGGACGAGGAGGGAGCGCTCAGTAAGCACTCAATACACGACTCAGGAGGACAAGGAGGTGGCGCTCAGTAAGCACTCAATACACGACTCAGGAGGACGAGGAGGTGGCGCTCAGTAAGCACTGTGGTGCGCTCAGTAGCACTCAATACACGACTCTGGAGGACAAGGAGGGAGCGCTCAGTAAGTTCTCAATACACGACTCTGGAGGACAAGGAGGGAGCGCTCAGTAAGCACTCAATACACGACTCTGGAGGACGAGGAGGTGGCGCTCAGTAAGTTCTCAATACACGACTCTGGAGGACAAGGAGGGAGCGCTCAGTAAGCACTCAATACACGACTCCGGAGGACAAGGAGGTGGCGCTCAGTAAGCACTCAATACACGACTCTGGAGGACAAGGAGGGAGCGCTCAGTAAGCTCTCAATACACGACTCTGGAGGACAAGGAGGTGGCGCTCAGTAAGCACTCAATACACGACTCCGGAGGACAAGGAGTGGCGCTCAGTAAGCACTCAATACACGACTCCGGAGGACAAGGAGGGAGCGCTCAGTAAGCACTCAATACACGACTCTGGAGGACGAGGAGGTGGCGCTCAGTAAGCACTCAATACACGACTCAGGAGGACAAGGAGGGAGCGCTCAGTAAGCACTCAATACACGACTCTGGAGGACGAGGAGGTGGCGCTCAGTAAGCACTCAATACACGACTCAGGAGGATGAGGAGGGAGCGCTCAGTAAGCACTCAATACACGACTCTGGAGGACGAGGAGGTGGCACTCAGTAAGCACTCAATACACTACCCTGGAGGATGAGGAGGTGGCGCTCAGTGCGCACTCAATACACGACTCTGGAGGGCAAGGAGGTGGCGCTCAGTAAGCGCTGAGTTACGCGACTCTGGAGGACAAGGTGGGAGCGCTCAGTTAGTACGACTCTGGAGGACGAGGAGGGAGCGCTCAGTAAGCACTCAATACACGACTCAGGAGGACAAGGAGGTGGCGCTCAGTAAGCACTCAATACACGACTCAGGAGGACGAGGAGGTGGCGCTCAGTAAGCACTCAATACACGACTCTGGAGGACGAGGAGGGGGCGCTCAGTAAGCACTCAATACACGACTCCGGAGGACGATGAGGGAGCGCTCAGTAAGCACTCAATACACGACTCTGGAGGACAAGGAGGGAGCGCTCAGTAAGCACTCAATACACGACTCAGGAGGACGAGGAGGGAGCGCTCAGTAAGCACTCAATACACGACTCAGGAGGATGAGGAGGGAGCGCTCAGTAAGCACTCAATACACGACTCTGGAGGACGAGGAGGTGGCGCTCAGTAAGCACTCAATACACGACTCTGGAGGACGAGGAGGTGGCGCTCAGTAAGCACTCAATACACGACTCTGGAGGACAAGGAGGGGGCGCTCAGTAAGCACTCAATACACGACTCTGGAGGATGAGGAGGTGGCGCTCAGTAAGCACTCAATACACGACTCTGGAGGACAAGGAGGGAGCGCTCAGTAAGCACTCAATACACGACTTTGGAGGACGAGGAGGTGGCGCTCAGTAAGCACTCAATACACGACTCTGGAGGACGAGGAGGGAGCGCTCAGTAAGCACTCAATACACGACTCTGGAGGACGAGGAGGTGGCGCTCAGTAAGCACTCAATACACGACTCTGGAGGACGAGGAGGTGGCGCTCAGTAAGCACTCAATACACGACTCTGGAGGACGAGGAGGTGGCGCTCAGTAAGCACTCAATACACGACTCTGGAGGACGAGGAGGGAGCGCTCAGTAAGCACTCAATACACGACTCTGGAGGACGAGGAGGTGGCGCTCAGTAAGCACTCAATACACGACTCTGGAGGACGAGGAGGGAGCGCTCAGTAAGCACTCAATACACGACTCTGGAGGACGAGGAGGGAGCGCTCAGTAAGCACTCAATACACGACTCTGGAGGACGAGGAGGGAGCGCTCAGTAAGCACTCAATACACGACTCTGGAGGATGAGGAGGTGGCGCTCAGTAAGCACTCAATACACGACTCTGGAGGACGAGGAGGGGGCGCTCAGTAAGCACTCAATACACGACTCAGGAGGACGAGGAGGGAGCGCTCAGTAAGCACTCAATACACGACTCAGGAGGATGAGGAGGTGGCACTCAGTAAGCACTCAATACACGACTCAGGAGGACGAGGAGGGAGCGCTCAGTAAGCACTCAATACACGACTCAGGAGGACGATGAGGGAGCGCTCAGTAAGCACTCAATACACGACTCAGGAGGATGAGGAGGTGGCACTCAGTAAGCACTCAATACACGACTCAGGAGGACGAGGAGGGAGCGCTCAGTAAGCACTCAATACACGACTCAGGAGGATGAGGAGGGAGCGCTCAGTAAGCACTCAATACACGACTCAGGAGGATGAGGAGGGAGCGCTCAGTAAGCACTCAATACACGACTCTGGAGGACGAGGAGGTGGCACTCAGTAAGCACTCAATACACGACTCTGGAGGATGAGGAGGTGGCGCTCAGTAAGCACTCAATACACGACTCTGGAGGATGAGGAGGGAGCGCTCAGTAAGCACTCAATACACGACTCAGGAGGATGAGGAGGGAGCGCTCAGTAAGCACTCAATACACGACTCTGGAGGACGAGGAGGTGGCACTCAGTAAGCACTCAATACACTACCCTGGAGGATGAGGAGGTGGCGCTCAGTAAGCACTCAATACACGACTCTGGAGGACAAGGAGGTGGCGCTCAGTAAGCACTCAATACACGACTCTGGAGGACAAGGAGGGAGCGCTCAGTAAGTTCTCAATACACGACTCTGGAGGACAAGGAGGGAGCGCTCAGTAAGCACTCAATACACGACTCTGGAGGACGAGGAGGTGGCGCTCAGTAAGTTCTCAATACACGACTCTGGAGGACAAGGAGGGAGCGCTCAGTAAGCACTCAATACACGACTCCGGAGGACAAGGAGGTGGCGCTCAGTAAGCACTCAATACACGACTCTGGAGGACAAGGAGGGAGCGCTCAGTAAGCTCTCAATACACGACTCTGGAGGACAAGGAGGTGGCGCTCAGTAAGCACTCAATACACGACTCCGGAGGACAAGGAGTGGCGCTCAGTAAGCACTCAATACACGACTCCGGAGGACAAGGAGGGAGCGCTCAGTAAGCACTCAATACACGACTCTGGAGGACGAGGAGGTGGGGGGATCTTCTCAATTCATCCTCCACGCATGAGGACTTGGATGTAGCCCTCTTTTTACAATCTCTTCACTACGCAGGACGACGAGTAAGTCGCCTTAATCTCCTTACTTCACATCCACCCTTCACCACCTGGAGTGATCAGCGATTTTACACTCTCTTCACGACTCTGGAGGATGAGGAGGTGGCGCTCAGTAAGCACTCAATACACGACTCTGGAGGACGAGGAGGGAGCGCTCAGTAAGCACTCAATACACGACTCTGGAGGACAAGGAGGTGGCGCTCAGTAAGCACTCAATACACGACTCAGGAGGACGAGGAGGTGGCGCTCAGTAAGCACTCAATACACGACTCTGGAGGACGAGGAGGGGGCGCTCAGTAAGCACTCAATACACGACTCCAGAGGACAAGGAGGGAGCGCTCAGTAAGCACTCAATACACGACTCTGGAGGACGAGGAGGTGGCACTCAGTAAGCACTCAATACACGACTCTGGAGGATGAGGAGGTGGCGCTCAGTAAGCACTCAATACACGACTCTGGAGGATGAGGAGGGAGCGCTCAGTAAGCACTCAATACACGACTCAGGAGGATGAGGAGGGAGCGCTCAGTAAGCACTCAATACACGACTCTGGAGGACGAGGAGGTGGCGCTCAGTAAGTTCTCAATACACGACTCTGGAGGACAAGGAGGGAGCGCTCAGTAAGCACTCAATACACGACTCCGGAGGACAAGGAGGTGGCGCTCAGTAAGCACTCAATACACGACTCTGGAGGACAAGGAGGGAGCGCTCAGTAAGCTCTCAATACACGACTCTGGAGGACAAGGAGGTGGCGCTCAGTAAGCACTCAATACACGACTCAGGAGGACGAGGAGGGAGCGCTCAGTAAGCACTCAATACACGACTCAGGCAATACACGACTCTGGAGGACGAGGAGGGAGCGCTCAGTAAGCACTCAATACACGACTCCGGAGGATGAGGAGGTGGCACTCAGTAAGCACTCAATACACGACTCAGGAGAACGAGGAGGGAGCGCTCAGTAAGCACTCAATACACGACTCAGGAGGATGAGGAGGGAGCGCTCAGTAAGCACTCAATACACGACTCTGGAGGACGAGGAGGTGGCGCTCAGTAAGCACTCAATACACGACTCTGGAGGACGAGGAGGGGGCGCTCAGTAAGCACTCAATACACGACTCAGGAGGACGAGGAGGGAGCGCTCAGTAAGCACTCAATACACGACTCAGGAGGACGAGGAGGGAGCGCTCAGTAAGCACTCAATACACGACTCCGGAGGATGAGGAGGTGGCACTCAGTAAGCACTCAATACACGACTCAGGAGGACGAGGAGGGAGCGCTCAGTAAGCACTCAATACACGACTCAGGAGGATGAGGAGGGAGCGCTCAGTAAGCACTCAATACACGACTCAGGAGGATGAGGAGGGAGCGCTCAGTAAGCACTCAATACACGACTCTGGAGGACGAGGAGGTGGCACTCAGTAAGCACTCAATACACGACTCTGGAGGACGAGGAGGTGGCGCTCAGTAAGCACTCAATGCACGACTCTGGAGGACGAGGAGGTGGCGCTCAGTAAGCACTCAATACACGACTCAGGAGGACAAGGAGGTGGCGCTCAGTAAGCACTCAATACACGACTCTGGAGGACAAGGAGGGAGCGCTCAGTAAGCACTCAATACACGACTTTGGAGGACAAGGAGGGAGTGCTCAGTAAGCTCTCAATACACGACTCTGGAGGACGAGGAGGGAGCGCTCAGTAAGCACTCAATACACGACTCAGGAGGACAAGGAGGGAGCGCTCAGTAAGCACTCAATACACGACTCTGGAGGACGAGGAGGTGGCGCTCAGTAAGCACTCAATACACGACTCAGGAGGATGAGGAGGGAGCGCTCAGTAAGCACTCAATACACGACTCTGGAGGACGAGGAGGTGGCGCTCAGTAAGCACTCAATATACGACTCCGGAGGACAAGGAGGGAGTGCTCAGTAAGCACTCAATACACGACTCTGGAGGACGAGGAGGTGGCACTCAGTAAGCACTCAATACACGACTCCGGAGGACAAGGAGGGAGCGCTCAGTAAGCACTCAATACACGACTCTGGAGGACGAGGAGGGGGCGCTCAGTAAGCACTCAATACACGACTCTGGAGGACGAGGAGGGAGCGCTCAGTAAGCACTCAATACACGACTCTGGAGGACGAGGAGGTGGCACTCAGTAAGCACTCAATACACGACTCTGGAGGATGAGGAGGTGGCGCTCAGTAAGCACTCAATACACGACTCTGGAGGATGAGGAGGGAGCGCTCAGTAAGCACTCAATACACGACTCAGGAGGATGAGGAGGGAGCGCTCAGTAAGCACTCAATACACGACTCTGGAGGACGAGGAGGGGGCGCTCAGTAAGCACTCAATACACGACTCCGGAGGACGATGAGGGAGCGCTCAGTAAGCACTCAATACACGACTCTGGAGGACAAGGAGGGAGCGCTCAGTAAGCACTCAATACACGACTCAGGAGGACGAGGAGGGAGCGCTCAGTAAGCACTCAATACACGACTTTGGAGGACGAGGAGGTGGCGCTCAGTAAGCACTCAATACACGACTCTGGAGGACGAGGAGGGAGCGCTCAGTAAGCACTCAATACACGACTCTGGAGGATGAGGAGGTGGCGCTCAGTAAGCACTCAATACACGACTCTGGAGGATGAGGAGGGAGCGCTCAGTAAGCACTCAATACACGACTCAGGAGGATGAGGAGGGAGCGCTCAGTAAGCACTCAATACACGACTCTGGAGGACGAGGAGGTGGCACTCAGTAAGCACTCAATACACTACCCTGGAGGATGAGGAGGT
Organism: Homo sapiens; assembly: GCF_000001405.40. Lineage (NCBI taxonomy): Eukaryota > Metazoa > Chordata > Mammalia > Primates > Hominidae > Homo > Homo sapiens. The sequence goes on along the minus strand of NC_000008.11, from coordinate 1,400,395 downwards.
GGCGCTCAGTAAGCACTCAATACACGACTCTGGAGGACAAGGAGGTGGCGCTCAGTAAGCACTCAATACACGACTCTGGAGGACAAGGAGGGAGCGCTCAGTAAGTTCTCAATACACGACTCTGGAGGACAAGGAGGGAGCGCTCAGTAAGCACTCAATACACGACTCTGGAGGACAAGGAGGTGGCGCTCAGTAAGTTCTCAATACACGACTCTGGAGGACAAGGAGGGAGCGCTCAGTAAGCACTCAATACACGACTCCGGAGGACAAGGAGGTGGCGCTCAGTAAGCACTCAATACACGACTCTGGAGGACAAGGAGGGAGCGCTCAGTAAGCTCTCAATACACGACTCTGGAGGACGAGGAGGTGGCGCTCAGTAAGCACTCAATACACGACTCCGGAGGACAAGGAGGTGGCGCTCAGTAAGCACTCAATACACGACTCCGGAGGACAAGGAGGGAGCGCTCAGTAAGCACTCAATACACGACTCTGGAGGACGAGGAGGTGGCGCTCAGTAAGCACTCAATACACGACTCAGGAGGACAAGGAGGGAGCGCTCAGTAAGCACTCAATACACGACTCTGGAGGACGAGGAGGTGGCGCTCAGTAAGCACTCAATATACGACTCCGGAGGACAAGGAGGGAGTGCTCAGTAAGCACTCAATACACGACTCTGGAGGACAAGGAGGTGGCACTCAGTAAGCACTCAATACACGACTCCGGAGGACAAGGAGGGAGCGCTCAGTAAGTTCTCAATACACGACTCTGGAGGATGAGGAGGTGGCGCTCAGTAAGCACTCAATACACGACTCTGGAGGACAAGGAGGGAGCGCTCAGTAAGCACTCAATACACGACTTTGGAGGACGAGGAGGTGGCGCTCAGTAAGCACTCAATACACGACTCTGGAGGACGAGGAGGGAGCGCTCAGTAAGCACTCAATACACGACTCAGGAGGACAAGGAGGTGGCGCTCAGTAAGCACTCAATACACGACTCAGGAGGACGAGGAGGTGGCGCTCAGTAAGCACTCAATACACGACTCTGGAGGACGAGGAGGTAGCGCTCAGTAAGCACTCAATACACGACTCTGGAGGATGAGGAGGGAGCGCTCAGTAAGCACTCAATACACGACTCTGGAGGACAAGGAGGGAGCGCTCAGTAAGCACTCAATACACGACTCTGGAGGACGAGGAGGTGGCGCTCAGTAAGCACTCAATACACGACTCTGGAGGATGAGGAGGTGGCGCTCAGTAAGCACTCAATACACGACTCAGGAGGACAAGGAGGGAGCGCTCAGTAAGCACTCAATACACGACTCTGGAGGATGAGGAGGTGGCACTCAGTAAGCACTCAATACACGACTCAGGAGGATGAGGAGGTGGCACTCAGTAAGCACTCAATACACGACTCAGGAGGATGAGGAGGGAGCGCTCAGTAAGCACTCAATACACGACTCAGGAGGACGAGGAGGTGGCGCTCAGTAAGCACTCAATACACGACTCTGGAGGACGAGGAGGGGGCGCTCAGTAAGCACTCAATACACGACTCAGGAGGACGAGGAGGGAGCGCTCAGTAAGCACTCAATACACGACTCAGGAGGATGAGGAGGTGGCACTCAGTAAGCACTCAATACACGACTCAGGAGGACGAGGAGGGAGCGCTCAGTAAGCACTCAATACACGACTCAGGAGGACGAGGAGGGAGCGCTCAGTAAGCACTCAATACACGACTCAGGAGGATGAGGAGGTGGCACTCAGTAAGCACTCAATACACGACTCAGGAGGACGAGGAGGGAGCGCTCAGTAAGCACTCAATACACGACTCAGGAGGATGAGGAGGGAGCGCTCAGTAAGCACTCAATACACGACTCTGGAGGACGAGGAGGTGGCGCTCAGTAAGCACTCAATACACGACTCTGGAGGACGAGGAGGGGGCGCTCAGTAAGCACTCAATACACGACTCAGGAGGACGAGGAGGGAGCGCTCAGTAAGCACTCAATACACGACTCAGGAGGACGAGGAGGGAGCGCTCAGTAAGCACTCAATACACGACTCCGGAGGATGAGGAGGTGGCACTCAGTAAGCACTCAATACACGACTCAGGAGGACGAGGAGGGAGCGCTCAGTAAGCACTCAATACACGACTCAGGAGGATGAGGAGGGAGCGCTCAGTAAGCACTCAATACACGACTCAGGAGGATGAGGAGGGAGCGCTCAGTAAGCACTCAATACACGACTCTGGAGGACGAGGAGGTGGCACTCAGTAAGCACTCAATACACGACTCTGGAGGACGAGGAGGTGGCGCTCAGTAAGCACTCAATGCACGACTCTGGAGGACGAGGAGGTGGCGCTCAGTAAGCACTCAATACACGACTCAGGAGGACAAGGAGGTTCTGAAAACCTCGAATGCCTTCCTGAGGCCTCGGATTCACATTTAGAGCAAAACTGATCTGTCTCCATTTGGGGGGAATAGTTGTAAAAAAAGAGTCACAGAGACTCCGTCTCAAAAAAAAAACAGAAACGTCACATTTAACAAAGACACACGCCCCATTCCAACACACATACATTCACTTTGCCAAAGTCCAGTCACCTAAAAAAGGGAAGAAGGAAAGACAAAATAAGCAGTGAAAAAACAGAATCCGGAGACAAGAGGGGGAGAGCTCAGTAAGCGCATCAATAACAACTCAAGAGAGGATGAAGAGATACGCTCAGTAAAAACATCAATACACGACTCTGGAGGACAAGGAGGGAGCGCTCAGTAAGCACTCAATACACGACTTTGGAGGACGAGGAGGTGGCGCTCAGTAAGCACTCAATACACGACTCTGGAGGACGAGGAGGGAGCGCTCAGTAAGCACTCAATACACGACTCAGGAGGACAAGGAGGTGGCGCTCAGTAAGCACTCAATACACGACTCAGGAGGACGAGGAGGTGGCGCTCAGTAAGCACTCAATACACGACTCTGGAGGACGAGGAGGGGGCGCTCAGTAAGCACTCAATACACGACTCCAGAGGACAAGGAGGGAGCGCTCAGTAAGCACTCAATACACGACTCTGGAGGACAAGGAGGGAGCGCTCAGTAAGCACTCAATACACGACTCAGGAGGACGAGGAGGGAGCGCTCAGTAAGCACTCAATACACGACTCAGGAGGATGAGGAGGGAGCGCTCAGTAAGCACTCAATACTCGACTCAGGAGGATGAGGAGGCAGCGCTCAGTAAGCACTCAATACACGACTCTGGAGGACGAGGAGGTGGCACTCAGTAAGCACTCAATACACTACCCTGGAGGACGAGGAGGTGGCGCTCAGTAAGCACTCAATGCACGACTCTGGAGGACGAGGAGGTGGCGCTCAGTAAGCACTCAATACACGACTCAGGAGGACAAGGAGGTTCTGAAAACCTCGAATGCCTTCCTGAGGCCTCGGATTCACATTTAGAGCAAAACTGATCTGTCTCCATTTGGGGGGAATAGTTGTAAAAAAAGAGTCACAGAGACTCCGTCTCAAAAAAAAAACAGAAACGTCACATTTAACAAAGACACACGCCCCATTCCAACACACATACATTCACTTTGCCAAAGTCCAATCACAGATGCCCAGGAGTTTCAAGCTGCAATTATCCCGAAGAAAGAACACAGCCCATGAGCATCACTACTGTGCCATCACCTGGCAAAGGTCCGTCAATACACGACTCTGGAGGACAAGGAGGGAGCGCTCAGTAAGTTCTCAATACACGACTCTGGAGGACAAGGAGGGAGCGCTCAGTAAGCACTCAATACACGACTCTGGAGGACGAGGAGGTGGCGCTCAGTAAGTTCTCAATACACGACTCTGGAGGACAAGGAGGGAGCGCTCAGTAAGCACTCAATACACGACTCCGGAGGACAAGGAGGTGGCGCTCAGTAAGCACTCAATACACGACTCTGGAGGACAAGGAGGGAGCGCTCAGTAAGCTCTCAATACACGACTCTGGAGGACAAGGAGGTGGCGCTCAGTAAGCACTCAATACACGACTCCGGAGGACAAGGAGTGGCGCTCAGTAAGCACTCAATACACGACTCCGGAGGACAAGGAGGGAGCGCTCAGTAAGCACTCAATACACGACTCTGGAGGACGAGGAGGTGGCGCTCAGTAAGCACTCAATACACGACTCAGGAGGACAAGGAGGGAGCGCTCAGTAAGCACTCAATACACGACTCTGGAGGACGAGGAGGTGGCGCTCAGTAAGCACTCAATACACGACTCAGGAGGATGAGGAGGGAGCGCTCAGTAAGCACTCAATACACGACTCTGGAGGACGAGGAGGTGGCACTCAGTAAGCACTCAATACACTACCCTGGAGGATGAGGCTCAGTAAGCACTCAATACACGACTCAGGAGAACGAGGAGGGAGCGCTCAGTAAGCACTCAATACACGACTCAGGAGGATGAGGAGGGAGCGCTCAGTAAGCACTCAATACACGACTCTGGAGGACGAGGAGGTGGCGCTCAGTAAGCACTCAATACACGACTCTGGAGGACGAGGAGGGGGCGCTCAGTAAGCACTCAATACACGACTCAGGAGGATGACGAGGGAGCGCTCAGTAAGCACTCAATACACGACTCAGGAGGACGAGGAGGGAGCGCTCAGTAAGCACTCAATACACGACTCAGGAGGATGAGGAGGTGGCACTCAGTAAGCACTCAATACACGACTCAGGAGGACGAGGAGGGAGCGCTCAGTAAGCACTCAATACACGACTCAGGAGGATGAGGAGGGAGCGCTCAGTAAGCACTCAATACACGACTCTGGAGGACGAGGAGGTGGCACTCAGTAAGCACTCAATACACTACCCTGGAGGATGAGGAGGTGGCGCTCAGTAAGCACTCAATACACGACTCTGGAGGACAAGGAGGTGGCGCTCAGTAAGCACTCAATACAGGACTCCGGAGGACATAGGAGGGAGCGCTCAGTAAGTTCTCAATACATGACTCCAGAGGACAAGGAGGTGGTGCTCAGTAAGCACTCAATACACGACTCTGGAGGATGAGGAGGTGGCGCTCAGTAAGCACTCAATACACGACCCCGGAGGATGAGGAGGTGGCGCTCAGTAAGCACTCAATACACGACTCTGGAGGACAAGGAGGGAGCGCTCAGTAAGCACTCAATACACGACTCTGGAGGATGAGGAGGTGGCGCTCAGTAAGCACTCAATACACGACTCCGGAGGACAAGGAGGGAGCGCTCAGTAAGCACTCAATACACGACTCTGGAGGATGAGGAGGTGGCGCTCAGTAAGCACTCAATACACGACTCTGGAGGACAAGGAGGGAGCGCTCAGTAAGCACTCAATACACGACTCTGGAGGATGAGGAGGTGGCGCTCAGTAAGCACTCAATACACGACTCCGGAGGACAAGGAGGTGGCGCTCAGTAAGCACTCAATACACGACTCTGGAGGACGAGGAGGGAGCGCTCAGTAAGCTCTCAATACACGACTCCAGAGGACAAGGAGGGAGCGCTCAGTAAGCACTCAATACACGACTCCGGAGGACAAGGAGTGGCGCTCAGTAAGCACTCAATACACGACTCCGGAGGACAAGGAGGGAGCGCTCAGTAAGCACTCAATACACGACTCTGGAGGACGAGGAGGTGGCGCTCAGTAAGCACTCAATACACGACTCAGGAGGACAAGGAGGGAGCGCTCAGTAAGCACTCAATACACGACTCTGGAGGACGAGGAGGTGGCGCTCAGTAAGCACTCAATATACGACTCCGGAGGACAAGGAGGGAGTGCTCAGTAAGCACTCAATACACGACTCTGGAGGACAAGGAGGTGGCACTCAGTAAGCACTCAATACACGACTCCGGAGGACAAGGAGGGAGCGCTCAGTAAGTTCTCAATACACGACTCTGGAGGATGAGGAGGTGGCGCTCAGTAAGCACTCAATACACGACTCTGGAGGACAAGGAGGGAGCGCTCAGTAAGCACTCAATACACGACTTTGGAGGACGAGGAGGTGGCGCTCAGTAAGCACTCAATACACGACTCTGGAGGACGAGGAGGGAGCGCTCAGTAAGCACTCAATACACGACTCAGGAGGACAAGGAGGTGGCGCTCAGTAAGCACTCAATACACGACTCAGGAGGACGAGGAGGTGGCGCTCAGTAAGCACTCAATACACGACTCTGGAGGACGAGGAGGGGGCGCTCAGTAAGCACTCAATACACGACTCCAGAGGACAAGGAGGGAGCGCTCAGTAAGCACTCAATACACGACTCTGGAGGACAAGGAGGGAGCGCTCAGTAAGCACTCAATACACGACTCAGGAGGACGAGGAGGGAGCGCTCAGTAAGCACTCAATACACGACTCAGGAGGATGAGGAGGGAGCGCTCAGTAAGCACTCAATACACGACTCTGGAGGACGAGGAGGTGGCGCTCAGTAAGCACTCAATACACGACTCTGGAGGACGAGGAGGGGGCGCTCAGTAAGCACTCAATACACGACTCAGGAGGACGAGGAGGGAGCGCTCAGTAAGCACTCAATACACGACTCTGGAGGACGAGGAGGGGGCGCTCAGTAAGCACTCAATACACGACTCAGGAGGACGAGGAGGGAGCGCTCAGTAAGCACTCAATACACGACTCAGGAGGACGAGGAGGGAGCGCTCAGTAAGCACTCAATACACGACTCCGGAAGACAAGGAGGTGGCGCTCAGTAAGCACTCAATACACGACTCAGGAGGACGAGGAGGGAGCGCTCAGTAAGCACTCAATACACGACTCAGGAGGATGAGGAGGGAGCGCTCAGTAAGCACTCAATACACGACTCAGGAGGATGAGGAGGGAGCGCTCAGTAAGCACTCAATACACGACTCTGGAGGACGAGGAGGTGGCACTCAGTAAGCACTCAATACACGACTCTGGAGGACGAGGAGGTGGCGCTCAGTAAGCACTCAATGCACGACTCTGGAGGACGAGGAGGTGGCGCTCAGTAAGCACTCAATACACGACTCAGGAGGACAAGGAGGGAGCGCTCAGTAAGCACTCAATACACGACTCTGGAGGACGAGGAGGGGGCGCTCAGTAAGCACTCAATACACGACTCCGGAGGACGATGAGGGAGCGCTCAGTAAGCACTCAATACACGACTCTGGAGGACAAGGAGGGAGCGCTCAGTAAGCACTCAATACACGACTCAGGAGGACGAGGAGGGAGCGCTCAGTAAGCACTCAATACACGACTCTGGAGGACGAGGAGGTGGCACTCAGTAAGCACTCAATACACGACTCTGGAGGACGAGGAGGTGGCGCTCAGTAAGCACTCAATGCACGACTCTGGAGGACGAGGAGGTGGCGCTCAGTAAGCACTCAATACACGACTCAGGAGGACAAGGAGGTTCTGAAAACCTCGAATGCCTTCCTGAGGCCTCGGATTCACATTTAGAGCAAAACTGATCTGTCTCCATTTGGGGGGAATAGTTGTAAAAAAAGAGTCACAGAGACTCCGTCTCAAAAAAAAAACAGAAACGTCACATTTAACAAAGACACACGCCCCATTCCAACACACATACATTCACTTTGCCAAAGTCCAATCACAGATGCCCAGGAGTTTCAAGCTGCAATTATCCCGAAGAAAGAACACAGCCCATGAGCATCACTACTGTGCCATCACCTGGCAAAGGTCTGGCACTTCCACTGAAACGCAGATGTGCTGACCCAGGCCTGGCCCAGTCCCCAGAGATGCATGGAGGCCCAGGCCCACGGGACTCCCCACGGGTTTCCACACCATGTAGGGTCACAGTTAAAATGCAAAGTTAATATGATAACAAGCAGAGTCTATTTTGGGCCTTTTCGGACAAGGTCTATTTGCTTTCACTTAGTTGCATTCTCACACTCGGCAATGAGGCACAGCAGGACAATGGCACTTAGAAGGACCACGCGGCGTCCAAGTCAGCGGAACGGGTTTGCCTCCCATTAGCAAGTCAGGCCGACGGGGGCCACAGGTTTTCCCCGAGTGCCGCGAGTTGATGGGAAGAAAGGGAAGCCCTCCCCGTGGGAGTGCAGGTAACGGGTAACCCTGCACCTCGACCCTGGATCCAGATGGCGCCTCAACCCAGGATCTGGACTGCGCCTCGACCTGGGATCTGGACTCATGGAGGAATGACTCATCCTCACGTCCACTTCAAGGCCGCCCCGTCCATAATCTGGGTGTTCCAATGGCACCCGAGCCTGGAACTCAGGGGTCTTGTTTTCTAGGCCCACCCCAGCCTCTGAAAAATTAGAGATGTAGATAAGGCAATTCAAACAGTTCTTCATGCTCTCAGTCCTATGACCTGGGTTTTCTGAAAGATCCTACAGCATCGCAACAAGGGGATAGATAAGGCGATTCAAACAGTTCTTCACGCTCTCAGTCCTACGACCTGGTTTTCTGAAAGATCCTACAGCATCACAACAATGGGTTATTTTGTCACAGACACCGACGGCTCCTCCATGGCCCCTTGTTGGTTGTCCAAGGTGGACGCACAAGCGTTCAGGAGGGGAAGACACATACTCGGGTCTTGGAGATGCAGCAACACATTTGCTGCTTCCGCTTAATGAAATGACCTCTTCTAAGGATAAACTGGCTTGAGAAAGGGTGTTTTCTTCAAACTAGGAAAAATAAATTATTTGCACCAAAGTGAGCTCCTTAAATACTGGAGTGAAATCAAGAACAGAAAACACATCGCCAGGCCCTCTGCCCTCTAAACCTTTTATGAACCCATCTCCTCTTCTAGAGCAGTCCCCTGCCCAGCCCCTTCCTGGACTCTGCATGGGGCCAGCTCTGTGAGGCATCCATGGTGGAACATGTGCTGGTAGCGCTCCAACTGATAAAAACACCAATCTTACTCTCATTACGTGGGGCCAAAACCCCAGCTATTATCATTTTTCATCATCCCTCACTTTGCTTGGCACTGAGTCACCCCTTCCTGACATCCCATTTGCAGCCACAGCCTGGTGTCCCTGGATAAGCCGCGTGCCTCTGCACAGATCCGATCTGGCCTCTGAATGGGGCATCCAGACTCATGGGTACTGCCAGGTCGTTCTGCAGGGTACCCCAAAACCCCTACCTCAGGCCGTTTGCTTTCTTGTTGCAAATCCTTGAATGCCCCATTGCCTAGTTTGGAAGCTCGTAATGTCTAGCCTTGGATTCAACATCCTGCACAATGTCCCCATGGGAACTTCTGAGTTAATCTTTCCAATTCCCATCTAGCCAACCGGGGTCTCATTATCCCCAGACATTTCTGCCTCCAAAGCTTCTTCCTACTCTTGGAACGTCTTCTTTCTTCTGACTTAGTCCAACTCATTTTCAAGGTCCTGTTGTATTCACCCAAGGCACGTGTTCCAGATGACCCCACATGGGGGGTTCAGCTGCTGCCCCTTCGTCCTGCCAGCACAGACCCTGGGTCTTTCTGATTTCAGTGCTGCCATGCTGACTGTGTTTAATTTGGCTTCTGAGGTTGCTGCCTGCCTTGCCATTTTATGAGGACGGTGATGCTGCCTTGTAATTCTTTATGACTCTTGCACACAGCACAGTGTGTTTGCATTCGCTATGGGCTCGCTCTGTGGATAAGAGACTTGAAAAATGGTTTTGTAACAGAGGGTTGAGCTGAAATCCACCTGCAGTATTCTCAGGCAGAGCCCTCCGCCAAATGAAAAGATCCTCCCTCACCACCAGCACCCAACAAGAGACTCAGATCAGAGCTTGGCGGCTCAATGGAGGTGAGAGGTGGACGGGACTGCAGTTAAAGGGCAGAAGTCCAGTCCTCAAGCAGGCAAGGGAGGCGGCACGCAGAGACCAGAGGCCCGCAAGCATACAGGAGCACACAGCTCGACAGATTGTCATTTTCTAATTGCAGTGCAGTACACAGAGGTCCCAGAATGGACAGGAAGGGCTTGTAGGTGGGCCTGGAACTAACCCTGATGTTCTGAGTTCATGGCCATCTGTTTCATTTTATGCATACAAAAAACTTACTCCAGCAAAAGGAAGAAAATGAAAAAAAAAGTATTATTTTAATAAACGGAGTTTTAAAAGGTCATACATAAGAGTTTGTAAAGATACAAGCACACCACAGCGTTGTGTAGGTGACAGACACATTTCTGCGCCTTCTGGAGAAGCCCAGATGAGAGGCTCCCATCTGGTTTTCACCAACATGATTACTATGGCAGAGATCATTCCAGAGTCGTTTGGTTTACATCTGGAGAGCTCAGAGAGTGCCTCGATTTAGTTACTGATTTTTGGAAGAGCTTCTCCTCTAAGCCTGATACTCCACCAGGGCCCTGTGATCTCCATCAACGGATGAAATGTCAGCCTGTTAAGTTTTTCCTGCCTGGAAGCATTTCCAGGCAACATCCATCCAGACACACTCCGTGGGTGCAGACGAGAGCCTGCGGTTGCTCCTGTTCACGTGTGAGGGAGAGCTGTCTGTGCCGGAGCTGGGTGCTCCGCGGCCCCTCTCTGTGGGACGCCTGCTAGCTGTTTTTCAGCAATCACTGTTGTCTTCCAATTTTCATGAAAAGGCAGATCTGGGTCTGGGGCAGATCTGGGTCTGCGTTGGATCCTTGCAGGGAAGGCTCGCTCTGGGTCTCCGCCCGGGGTTGTACCTGTAGGTCCCCAGCTGCTCCACGGCCACCTAAGAGGAAGTCTGGAAAACAGCTGTCCTTGGAGGACGTTCTCATGGACAGGCAGTGCTTGTCTCTCCGCTGCATCCATTCTGCACAATCTGAGGTCTGGAAGCATTTCATCATCAGCTTTTTTTCTATCCAAGCTGCTGAGCCTGGTGGGATAAAAATCAAAGAACTGTGCAGATTGGTTCTGCTAAAAACCTGTGGTCTGCACCGAGCGGCCTCGTCCACACCTCTTCCAGCTCTGAGTGCCCTTAGCGGGGTCCCTCATCGACACTTCTTCCAGCTCTGAGTACCCTCAGCAGGGCCCCTTGTCAACTCCCGTGTTATCATTCCAAGCTTCGCCACTTTCTCTGACCTCTCCTCTCTGCAGATCCTCTGGCTTCCCCGGGATGCTGCAGCCACCCTCCCCACTGACTGGGAGGAAGCCACGTCGCCTTCCCATCCTCCTCCTCCAGAGTCCCCTCCCCACTGACTGGGAGGAAGCCACGTCGCCTTCCAATCCTCCTCCTCCAGAGTACCGCTCCTCCCATTATGGCATTTCCCATAAAGAGGTCCACGTGCCTCCCGTCATGAAGAGGCCCTGCACTTCCACACCCTTAGTCTGTGGGACCAGAGCCCTCCCCACCTGCAGCCTCTGCTCTCACAGCCCTGACACCTGAACCAGAGCCTCCTCATCCACGGCCTCTGCTCTCACAGCCCTGACACCTGAACCAGCGCCTCCTCATCCACGGCCTCTGCTCTCACAGCCCTGACACCTGAACCAGCGCCTCCTCATCCACGGCCTCTGCCTCTCACAGCCCTGACACTTGAACCAGCGCTTCCTCATCCACGGCATCTGCCTCTCACAGCCCTGACACTTGAACCAGCGCCTCCCCATCCACGGCCTCTGCTCTCACAGCCCTGACACCTGAACCAGCGCCTCCTCATCCACGGCCTCTGCCTCTCACAGCCCTGACACTTGAACCAGCGCCTCCTCATCCACGGCATCTGCCTCTCACAGCCCTGACACCTGAACCAGCGCCTCCTCATCCACGGCCTCTGCCTCTTACAGCCCTGACACCTGAACCAGCGCCTCCTCTTCCACGGCGTCTGCCTCTCACAGCCCTGACACCTGAACCAGAGCCTCCCCATCCACGGCCTCTGCTCTCACAGCCCTGACACCTGAACCAGTGCCTCCCCACCCACTGCCTCTGCCTCTCAAAGCCCTGACACCTGAACCAGCGCCTCCTCATCCACGGCCTCTGCCTCTCACAGCCCTGACACTTGAACCAGCGCTTCCTCATCCACGGCATCTGCCTCTCACAGCCCTGACACTTGAACCAGCGCCTCCCCATCCACGGCCTCTGCTCTCACAGCCCTGACACCTGAACCAGCGCCTCCTCATCCATGGCCTCTGCCTCTCACAGCCCTGACACTTGAACCAGCACCTCCTCATCCACGGCATCTGCCTCTCACAGCCCTGACACCTGAACCAGCGCCTCCTCATCCACGGCCTCTGCCTCTTACAGCCCTGACACCTGAACCAGCGCCTCCTCATCCACGGTCTCTGCCTCTCACAGCCCTGACACCTGAACCAGTGCCTCCCCACCCACTGCCTCTGCCTCTCACAGCCCTGACACCTGAACCAGAGCCTCCCCATCCACGGCCTCTGCTCTCACAGCCCTGACGCTGTGAGACGCTGACACTAGCCCCAGCCCGCACGCACTGGCTGCATCCACGTCTGGCCAGTGAGTCTCCAGCAGCTCTGCGCCCACCGTGTTTGCTCACGCGCTGGGGACCTCCACGCCTTGATCGCTAACCCACCCGTAACCCTAACTGTGGGGCTCCAGACCCCCAGGTGAACCTACTCACAGGACATCTCGGCTTCCAGCGCCATCAAATCCACAGGCTCTTAGACTGACATCACTGGCCTCCTGGACAATTTCATGCCTTTTCCTGGTTCCGATTGTGGCACAGGTGAGGCCCTCCACCTGGTTCCTGAGAAAAATCTGGTTGCCATTCCTACCTGAACCTTCCTCTCACCCTTCACCCCTACCAGTCACCAACCACCTCAACCCAAAACCCAGGACCCAACTTAGTGCCTATTTCTTCCACACTTTGAAGTCAAACAGGCACCTGATCTTTTTCTGTGGGGTAGAACATACACGAAATTCACCATTCTAGCCACGTCCAGTGGTGCAGTTCAGTGGCGTCAGATACACTCACTGCCGTGCAACCACGACCACCGTCCTTCTCCAGAACCTCCTCAGTTCTGCAAACTGCCCCTCAGCCCCCGTGCACCAGACTGCCAATCTTAATGCTGTGATGTGTGTCTCCAGGTAGCCAAACCCAGCCTTCTCTGCAGCCCCGTGGCCACTGCCCAATTCAGGGTTTCTACTCTCTGTGAACTTATTCCATTCTTTTATTTTAAATTCCAAATTTCATCTTTATACTAATTTTTCATGTATACACTTTTACAAAAATCTGATAATACTATAAAAGCCTTATGAAGAAAATCAGCAGACCTGCCTCTCAGTCTCTCCACCCTCTGCATGAAGAAGAACTCTTCCCACAGACAAGCCCTCACCTCCTCCGGCTGTTTTCTTCAATACCATCCTCCTTACTGTCAATGATCACGACGGCTCTGCTGTTTTGCTATATGATACCTGAGCTTTTCGACCACACCCGCAATACATGCCGTTATCTAGTTCCCCTCTTTTCTGGCTTACCAATATGACGTCCAATTAACATTTAGTATTAAATTTATTTTTAGGTAAACATTATTCAATGTGAATCTGCATAATGAGCTATTATTATCTATCCTCATACAACATTTTACCTTCCCTGGAGTTATTACTTTACTTTTTAATGTGCATAATTTATATCATTAATACAGTTCAAAATTCTCTCAACATAGTCATAGCATTTTTTTTCCATCAATATGGTAAAACCCATTCAAAAATCAATCCTTTTTTTCTTTGGATCTCACCTTCTTGCCGCATTCTATGCTGGTGTGGCCTGGGCTTTCCTCCCCATCCTGAGCATCTCCTCAGCTGCTAACCTGGCTGAATCCCTGGTTCCTGGATCCCCGCACCTTCCTCTGTCCAGGTTTCTTCTCTCGTTTCTGGGTCAGCACATCCTCCGAATCTTCCTGAGAGAGCGAAGGGGAGCCTCAGAGACTCTGTGTGGCTGGCCCTCTTACTCCACTCTCACATCTGGCCGGTGGTGTGCCTGTGCCTGGAGCTCCGGAGCAGCCACCACTTCTCCAGGATTCTGGAGGGAATTCTGCAGGTTCTCCCAGCTGTCCCTGCCGCTCTGGAGAAGATGGAAGCCATCTGGTTTCTCGATCTGTCTTTTCTCCCTGAAAGCTCACAGGCTCCCCTGGCAATGCTGGTGTATGGGAGTTTTCCAGGGGTGTCGGCCTATGTTGTATTCATTGTTCTGGGGAGTTCATGCACCTGCCATCTATAATCTCACCGACTTTGGGTCTGGTGATTTTTCTAGAATTGGTGATTTTTCTAGAATTTCCTTTTCCTGGATCATTTCCCCACTCTGCTTTCTCTATGCTCTTTTGAGAGCTTTGTCATCATATGTTGGAGTTTTTGCAAAGTCACTGTGAGCATCTCATCTTTTTACTCTTATTTTCCATTATTTTGTCATTTTCCTGTTTTCTGGGAGATTGTTGTTTTCAATTTTATTTTCAAAATCCCGTGGAGATTAAACCATATTTTTGTAACAAGAGATTTAATTCCTAGGAGCTCTTGCCTGGGAATTGCTCCAATCTTCAGATCTCATTGATTCCAGTATTAGGACTGTGGGTGCTGCTGGCTAGGTTGTCGTGGCTCCCGGAGAAGGGTAACTGTCCACCAAGTTCTCAGGGGCCGGGCACAGGCCGGGTAACTGTGCACCAAGTTCTCAGGGGACAGGCATAGGCCGGGGTAACTGTGCACCAAGTTCTCAGGGGCCGGGCACAGGCCGGGTAACTGTGCACCAAGTTCTCAGGGGATGGGCATAGGCCGGGGTAACTGTGCACCAAGTTCTCAGGGGACGGGCACAGGCCGGGTAATTGTGCACCAAGTTCTCAGGGGACGGGCACAGGCCGGGGTAACTGTGCACCAAGTTCTCAGGGGATGGGCATAGGCCGGGGTAACTGTGCACCAAGTTCTCAGGGGACGGGCACAGGCCGGGTAATTGTGCACCAAGTTCTCAGGGGACGGGCACAGGCCGGGTAATTGTGCACCAAGTTCTCAGGGGACGGGCACAGGCCGGGTAATTGTGCACCAAGTTCTCAGGGGCCGGGCACAGGCCGGGTAACTGTGCACCAAGTTCTCAGGGGACGGGCACAGGCCGGGTAATTGTGCACCAAGTTCTCAGGGGCCGGGCACAGGCCGGGTAACTGTGCACCAAGTTCTCAGGGGACGGGCACAGGCCGGGTAATTGTGCACCAAGTTCTCAGGGGACGGGCACAGGCCGGGTAACTGTGCACCAAGTTCTCAGGGGACGGGCACAGGCCGGGTAACTGTCCACCAAGTTCTCAGGGGACGGGCATAGGCCGGGGTAACTGTGCACCAAGTTCTCAGGGGACGGGCATAGGCCGGGGTAACTGTGCACCAAGTTCTCAGGGGACGGGCACAGGCCGGGGTAACTGTGCACCAAGTTCTCAGGGGACGGGCATAGGCCGGGGTAACTGTGCACCAAGTTCTCAGGGGACGGGCACAGGCCGGGGTAACTGTGCACCAAGTTCTCAGGGGCCGGGCATAGGCCGGGGTAACTGTGCACCAAGTTCTCAGGGGACGGGCACAGGCCGGGGTAACTGCACCAAGTTCTCAGGGGACGGGCATAGGCCGGGGTAACTGTGCACCAAGTT
This sequence comes from Homo sapiens, assembly GCF_000001405.40. NCBI lineage: Eukaryota > Metazoa > Chordata > Mammalia > Primates > Hominidae > Homo > Homo sapiens. Next base: position 1,384,899 of record NC_000008.11, on the reverse strand, counting down.
CTCAGGGGACGGGCACAGACCGGGGTAACTGTGCACCAAGTTCTCAGGGGACGGGCATAGGCCGGGGTAACTGTGCACCAAGTTCTCAGGGGACGGGCACAGGCCGGGGTAACTGTGCACCAAGTTCTCAGGGGCCGGGCATAGGCCGGGGTAACTGTGCACCAAGTTCTCAGGGGATGGGCATAGGCCGGGGTAACTGTGCACCAAGTTCTCAGGGGACGGGCACAGGCCGGGGTAACTGTGCATCAAGTTCTCAGGGGACGGGCACAGGCCGGGGTAACTGTGCACCAAGTTCTCAGGGGCCGGGCACAGGCCGGGGTAACTGTGCACCAAGTTCTCAGGGGCCGGGCACAGGCCGGGGTAACTGTGCACCAAGTTCTCAGGGGCCGGGCACAGGCCGCGGTAACTGTGCACCAAGTTCTCAGGGGCCGGGCACAGGCCGGGGTAACTGTGCACCAAGTTCTCAGGGGCCGGGCACAGGCCGGGGTAACTGAGCACCAAGTTCTCAGGGGCCGGGCACAGGCCGGGGTAACTGTGCACCAAGTTCTCAGGGGCCGGGCACAGGCCGGGGTAACTGTGCACCAAGTTCTCAGGGGCCGGGCATAGGCCACGGCAGAGGAGAGTGCAGCGACTGTGCAGTCACAATTCTTGCTTTTTCCAGGAAAGAAATTAAATTCTGAAAATGGCATCCAAGGCCACTTCATCCCTTAACTTTTATGAATCCTTTGGTCACAGTAACTTTCACTTTAAAAAATACAGACCTGGCCTAGTAACCTAATGAATTCTGACCTAATTCTTCTATTAATTGATGCCTAAATAAGTGTATACTGTTTCCCAACGTCTGAATGAGCCAGTGAATAACGAAAACCCCTTTCTTGTTGGGGTCACATATTTTATCACTAAGTACAGACACCAAAACCCCAGACATGCATTTGTGGGTCTCCTTCATGAATGTAACACATCGGAGAAGAGAATGGGAGTGAAATGACCTTCCTGTCAGAGTCCACCGCCAAAGACATCTGCCGCTCTCTCACCCATGAAGAGTGAAGAGATTCATTAGTTTACTCTGCTGGAAAGTGCTCGCTGGGAGCTGCTGGTGGTCATCTGACCAGGAGTTTAATTCATGCTTCTTGTTAATGTCAAGTTAATATAGGCTCTGACGTGGCCATTCTAATACTGCAAAGTTTTCACTGACCTTACAGAGAAGAGCCTCAGCCCTGGGCCAGGTGGACGGCACCTGTCCCAGCCCCAGCCACTAAGGGGAACCATGGAATTGGGATCTGGTCGTTAATCAAGCAGCCTTTGAGCCTCCCCAAAAATACAACACAGGCAGGAAGGCTAAAGCTCCTCAGACCGGTAACGTCGCCAACTGTGTGTCCCTAAACCATTTGCCTCCTTGAGCGAAGGCCTATCAGCCTCCACATCCGTGTTCTTGTGTGTACAAGGCAGGGCTAACACATACCGTACCATTTGACAGAATCTCTGTATAAAAGTCTGAGATTATTAATGCATTTCTCATTCAGGATTGCTGCCCTTTATGTTTTTAGCATCTGGCATGAAGTGGCGGCAGCAGCACTTTTCCAACACCTTTTCCATATTTGAGAATTTGAAATACTGTAACATATTCTCCAAACCTTAGAACTTGATGACTTTCCAGAAAGCGTGTAATTATTTTTTTCAAAATAAAAATCCCTTATTTTTCTCGTTACAAAATTAATGAATATACCTGACAAACTTAATTATAAATTTGCCAAAATAGATAAAGGGGATGATCCCTGCAATGTCACAACATAGATATGGCACTGCCCACGTGGCGATGCACATCCACCTGAGAATACTTACGTCCAAAGATCCTTCGATTTGCGTTCCACAAAAATAAGATGACACCGCATATGCTAATTGTATCAGCCTGATTAATTAACATAGTAAGTATAATTTCTCATTGATTAGGGTCTCTCTCTACACACACACACACGCACACACACACTTTGTATACATACATCCCTTCCATAATTTTAATTGGCTATAGAACTTTTTTGGGGGGGATATACTAAAGTTTATTCAACCAGTCCTCTTTGATGAAGCATTCAATATGGCTTCTGATTTCTTGCTATAATCAATGTAAACTATACACATTTCTTTTGTTTTTTTCCCCTTTGAGACAGGGTCTCACTGGGTTGCCCAGGCTGGAGTGCAGCGGCACGATCATGGCTCACTGCCGCTTCCATCTCCCAGGCTTACACAATCTTCCCACCTCAGCCTGCAAAGTAGCTGGGACTGCAGGCACACACCACTGCACTGCTAATTTTTTAAAAGTTTATTTTTTTGTAGAGATGGGGTCTCACTGTGTTGCCCAGGTTGGTCTCAAACTCCTGGGCTCAAGCAATTCTCCTGCCCCTGCCTCCCAAAGCGCTGCAATTACAGCTGTGAGCCACTGCGCCTGACCGATGATACATATTTCTGCACATATATTCACGCACACTTGCCCTTGAACAACATTGGTTGGAACTGCTGGAGTCCACTCACACGGGGATCTTCTTCCTCCTCTGCCACCCTGAGACTGTGGGAACAACCCCTCTTCTCCTCCTGAGCCCACTCAACGTGAAGACGGGGATGAAGGCCTCTGTGGTGATCCATTTCCATTTAATAAACAGTACATGTATTTTATGATTTTCATAACATTTTCTTTCTCTAGCTTACTTTACTGTATGAATACAGCATGTAATACATGTAACAAACACAATGTGTGTCAGTGACTGTATTATTGCTTAGGCTTCTGGTTAACAGGAGGCTATCAGCAGTAAAGTCTGGGGGAGTCAAAAGTTATATGCGGATTTCTGACTGCATGAGGGGGTTGCTACCACTAAGCCCTGCTTTTTTATGAGGGTCAACTGTGTATTTATTTGATTTTTTTCAAGATTGCATAAATGTAATCTAAAAAACACTGTGTAGACTTTATCATTCTTGGTGCTGGGGTTCAGACAAGAAACGTACATTTTATATTTCCTTAATGTAAATGTGTAGACATGGAATTCCTATCTGAATGGCTACGCTCACTTTGAAAATGTGATACAAACACACACACACACACACACACACACACACACACACACACACTAGAATAACCCTCAGATTTACTAAGGAAGAAAATCCCAGCATTCACGGCAACGCGATGGAGCTGGAGGACATGATGCTGAGTGAAATAGGCCAGGCACAGAAAGGCAAACACTGAGTGGCCTCACTTACTTGTGGAACTAGAAAAACCCAGATTCCCAGAAGCACAGAGTAGAAGAGTGGGCGCCAGGGCCCAGGGAAAGCGGAACGGGGAGATGCTAACCAAAGGATATAAATTCAAGTCACAGGATGGGCAAGGTCTGGGGCTGCACCGTCCAGCCTGGATGAGGACAGGTGTGTTAATTTACCCAGTTGTGGTCATCACTGCACAAGGTGCACAGACATCAAATCATCATGTCGTACTCCTTGAGTACAAAAGAGTTACGCTCAGTTCAAATTGCCAAACTGGCCCACAGAAATGTTTAATAAGTAAGCAGGAACCGTAACGGCCCATTTTTTCATGTCTTTGCTAACATTGGCTAGTATTAATCTTTGCCAATCTGTCAGCCAACAATGGAATCTTGTTTTCATGGGCACACATGGAATTGGTGGTGAGGTTAAATGTCCTTCACGGTCTCTGCTTGTTTCTGGACATCCTGGGGAAGCACCTGTTCTGGTTGCTTGTCCAGCCGTGTTCACGTATGAAGCCTTTTCCGTCGGTTACGAACAGCAACTCCTCACCATGCGCCGTGACCTTTATTTTTAATTGGCCTCTTAAGTCTAATTTTGATTTAGAAAGGAACTCCTTATATTATTTAAGTAAAATATAAATATAAAAATATCAAATGTAAAGAATAACCTTTTTCCTTTTTGGCCTTTTGGGTGTTTTTTTTTTTTTTTTTTTTTTTGAATCATGTTCAAAACATCCTAACCGGTTCTGAGATGATACAAATGGTCACCAAAATCATATTTTGCAATTCTTATGGCTTTATTTTCTTAAGTTTAAACTTTTAGTCTCCATGGAATTTAATAAGATAAGGTATTGTGAGTTCAATGTCACTTTTTTCGAAATAGCTATCCCTGTGTCCCAGTTAATACCAATAGTCATGACTTTCGCAAGCGTGTAATTAAAGAATTTTTCAAAGTAGCTCAGTGCTACAGAGAGTCCCCAGTGAACATGACACCTCGGCGAACTTTTAATTTCAGAAGCAATTTGGAGTAAGATGTGGTCGGGTGTTCATGCTGATCCTTCATGTGGACTTTAATTCACGTCGCTTTGTAACCAGGTGAGATGCAAAAGGCCCGCACACTTTCTCAGAAAAAAGCCTCGCTTATCACAAGTCTTTTGTGCAGCTGAGCATCTCTGGCAACTGGAGGGGTGAGTTTTATGCACGAATTTGTGCTTTTCCAAAGTCTCCTTAGTTCAACTCAATGGTGACTGAAATGCTTCTGAAGTAACCTGCGATTTATTTCATAATTTCTGGAGACGGCTGCTTCCGTTAACCAGGTGCAGGTAATTTGCGGTGCAGGAAGTAACAAAGCCTGAGCTCCCGTCGGTGCCAGCAGCCCCACACGCACAGCAAACACTCGCGTTCATGTCTCTGCAAAGCGCTTTGCTGCCTGAAGTGCTGAGAGACACCCTTTTGCACATTCGAGTACTCTTTTCAGGATTCCTATGTATGTTCATTTGAAAGTGTTTATTGAACTACTGTTACAAACCAGCGGCTTGGCTGGGACATAAAAGAGAATGAGACCCAGAACAGGCAGCCCCTGCCCCAAGGACACAGCAGTGGGCAGAGCAGGCATCTCCTGACCAGGGTGCAGATGCTGGGATGGAGCCGGGCTCAGAAGAGAATTGAAGAGAGCACCCCCAAAAGAGCAGGCCCCCACCGAGCAGGAGGGGAGGGAAGGGAGGGCACCCCAAAATCAGGCCCCCACCGAGCAGGAGGGGAGGGAAGGGAAGGCACCCCAAATCAGCAGGCCCCCACCGAGCAGGAGGGGAGGGAAGGGAGGACACCCCGAAATCAGCAGACCCCCACCAAGCAGGGAAATGGGGTTGTTGGCCACTCTCTGTCAGCCCCTGCACAACCTCCCTTCTCCCAGGCACGGTTGCCATGCCAGCCTCAGTCACTCACGGCACTGGGGGCTCCTGACGTTAAGTGCGGGGTCCCTGCCAGTTAGAAAGTAAACTCTTTCAGGGCCTGGACTGAGTTTTCCCAACTCTATGTGACAAAGACTTCCAGGGACCTGGTTAAAAATGATGACAGCGGTTACGGTTCTTACAAGAAGAGACTGAATATGACGCCTCAGTATACACAGCAGGGCGCATGGTGGCTCGGTGAATGAGTGAAGGAAGCGGGAGGAGGAAATTCGCCATGAGGAGAGGCCTCGGCAGACGGAGGCTGCCTTGGTCTGAGGTATTTAGTCTCCCTGCCCGTTTCTCCACCTCCTAGATAAGGGATGTCGGCGTACGTGCCGTGTGGGGCGGCTGTGCCAGGGACATGACTTAGCAAAGACGCGGCTCTTAGGCCCATGCCTCGCACTGAGCTGGTGACTTAGCGAAGATGTGGCCCTCGGGCCTGTGCCTGGCACAGAGCCGGCACTGCATGGACGTGAGCTAAAATTTGCGAAGGCAGGAGGACTCGGGCTGATGGCAGCGGGTGGCCCCGTGAGGCTGACGTGCCACAGTCTAGGCAGGGCTCAGGGAAGAACTGGCCTTGTCTCCTCACCTAGCTGTGCATTTCCTGGTCTTGTAGCCATAGAAGCTAACTAAGCCTTTTTGGGAAAGAAATTGAATTTTTTCATTTTAATTTAAAAAGAAGCTTTATCCATAGCCCAATGTCAGCCCAAGGGGACACATGCTGTGGTGGACCCTATGGGGCTAAGAATGAGCTACCCTGAGCTAGAAGTGATTGACTGTTTTAACAACTTGGAGGCCAAAGGACAGGGAAGCATGAGTGTTGAACCCGCCGACCACACTGCCCTGAAGGGGACGGCACAGACTCCTCAGAGAAGAGAATCAGGATTTGAAAGAATCTGGGGAAATGAAGGAAACGCCAGAAACTGCATAAGGAAAGACTGAAAAAGTGAGAATGTAAATTAGAATGAAAGCAAAACGTGTGACTTTCCAAAAATGAGGGTGATGAAAGCACAGAGGAAGATGGAGCCTGTCCCCGCCCAACCCATGTGTGCAGGACGGACAGATGAGGCCAGGTGTGCGCAGGACAGACAGGTGAGGCCAGGTGTGAGCAGGATGGACAGGTGAGGCCAGGTGTGCGCAGGACAGACAGGCGAAGTCAGCTGTGTGTGTCAGGGACAGGTGAGGTCAGGTGTGCGCAGGAAAGACAGGTGAGGCCAGGTGTGTGCAGGATGGACAGGCGAAGTCAGGTGTGCGCAGGATGGACAGGTGAGGTCAGGTGTGTGCAGGACGGACAGGCGAAGTCAGGTGTGTGTGGCAAGGACAGGTGAGGTCAGGTGTGTGCAGGACAGACAGGTGAGGTCAGGTGTGTGCAGGACAGACAGGTGAAGTCAGGTGTGCGCAGGACAGGTGAGGTCAGGTGTGTGCAGGACAGACAGGCGAAGTCAGGTGTGTGTGGCAAGGACAGGTGAGGTCAGGTGTGTGCAGGACACACAGGTGAGGTCAGGTGTGCACAGGATGGACAGGTGAGGTCAGGTGTGCGCAGGACAGACAGACAAAGTCAGACATACGGCATACGTGCAAGGGACAAGTGAGGCCAGGTGTGCACCTGCGTCCAGATATCTTGAGACGGGTCACTTCAGCAGGAGTACAGTGCAAGTCAGGTCTTGGGGCAGCTGTCTGATTCAGTGGCTGCTGAGAGGGACCAAGCCTGAGGGTGTACGGCAGCCAAAGGCCCTGGGGGAGGCTGCGTCTGCACAGGGGTGCGTGAACTCCATCAGCTGATTTGGGGCTGCCACCCCCAGACAGACGAGGTGGGTGCAGCTTCGCAGAAGAGACACAGGCTCCAGGCCTCCCCTCGGGCACACTTCCGTGCCTATGCTCGGGTTCTGCACGGAGCTGGATTCTTACATCACAAAGGTGAAAAACATGAAGAAGCTGTGCTGGACCAAGAATACCAGAGCTGACAATATTATATGGTATTGGGAGGAGACAGGAGGGAGCTGCACTCAGATCCACTGACCCCCACGCTGGCAAGGCCCTCCTCACAGGCCCTCAGGGCACACTGGGTTCTGACAGGCTGGGGTATGTCCTCTGCCTCCCAGCTTCACCTTTCCTGGGATATGAAGACCTGTGCATCTTTATTTTATTTTATTTATTTTTTTGAGTCGGAGTCTCGCTCTATCGCCCGGGCTGGAGTGCAGTGGTGCGATCTCAGCTCACTGCCAGCTCCGCCTCCCAGGTTCACACCATTATCCTGTCTCAGCCTCCAGAGTAGCTGCGACTATAGGCGCCTGCCACCTCGCCTGGCTAATTTTTTGTATTTTCTGTAGAGACGGGGTTTCACCATATTACCCAGGATGGTCTCGATCTCCTGACTTCGTGATTCGCCCGCCTCGGCCTCCCAAAGTGCTGGGATTACAGGCGTGAGCCACTGCGCTCGGCCGAAGACCTGTGCATTAAGCAGCCCCCTCCTGGCTGGCCCCAAACACCTCTGCTGCCCTAACCCTACAGCTGCACACCACTGACCTGGAGGGGCCAGGTAGGGACAGGTGCTGTGGGGCTGGGCCCCGAGGACTTCCTCTCGCTGGGACGCACACGCCTATCTGGAAGCTCCCTGCAGAAGTGGCAGGCATCTCACTGCCCTATTCTAATGTAAGCAGCCAGGGACCGCGCACAGTAACTGACACTGTGGTTCTGCTGAAGCATGTGGTCCCTGATGCACTCTGTTAATTGCATGGTGTGATTACAAATCAGTTCCCATTCCTTCAGAACTGCGTCTGCAGAAGGGGCCATGACAAATCCTTCGATGTGGGCCTTGCTCTGAGGCCATTTCCTACCCGTGCACATTTCGCTTTCACGGCCAAATACGCTTGCAGTAGCAAGAAGAACCCCACCTGCGGACCACACATCCCACCGGGCTCAGGTTGAGGGTCTCGGTAGCCCTGTCCCCGCCATCCGCCGATGACCACACATCCCACCGGGCTCAGGTTGAGGGTCTCGGTAGCCCTGTCCCCGCCATCCGCCGATGACCACACATCCCACCGGGGTCAGAGTGAGGGTCTTGGCAGCCCTGTGAGCTGGCACGTCCCTGTCACCCGGCTCCCCACTGCCACCCGGCTCCCCCTTCTTCAGCAGGAGGAGAGCAGCTTCTGAAAGGGAGCGTCTTCTTCTGAAAGCGCCTCAATTGTACCAGCACGGCCTCCAGCTCCGTCGGAGCTCTGAGTTCTGAAGCGCAGGTCAGCCCAGCTTCCAGGCTGATTCACTGCCACCAGCAGGTGGGCACAGAGGCCATGCAGCGGGGCGCTTTTCAAGGAAGCTCCTCTCTCTGCAGGCCCCCGTGGCCGATGCTCTCTAGAGGGACTGCGGTGCACAGGAGCTGGCTGATGGAGTGAGAAGAAACGGCACAGAGACCTGGTTTGTCTCCTAGGAGGTGGCTCACAGCTATGAGACAGCACGTCCCGGGCCCTTCACCCACAGCTGGGCTTCAAGGACTCTTTCTGAGTTTACTGCCTCATTCTGATTCCTTTCATGGCTGATGTTTGTCTTATTTGAGAAACAGCCCAAATGTAGGAGGTGGGGGCTCAGTTCTGAGGTCGTGGAGAGGTGTCGTTAACCCAAATGTAGGAGGTGGGGGCTCAGTTCTGAGGCCGTGGAGAGGTGTCGTTAACCCAAATGTAGGAGGTGGGGGCTCAGTTCTGAGGCCGTGGAGAGGGGTCGTTAACCCAAATGTAGGAGGTGGGGGCTCAGTTCTGAGGCCGTGGAGAGATGTCGTTAACCCAAATGTAGGAGGTGGGGGCTCAGTTCTGAGGCCGTGGAGAGGTGTCGTTAACCCAAATGTAGGAGGTGGGGGCTCAGTTCTGAGGCCGTGGAGAGGTGTCGTTAACCCAAATGTAGGAGGTGGGGGCTCAGTTCTGAGGCCGTGGAGAGATGTCGTTAACCCAAATGTAGGAGGTGGGGGCTCAGTTCTGAGGCCGTGGAGAGGTGTCGTTAACCCAAATGTAGGAGGTGGGGGCTCAGTTCTGAGGCCGTGGAGAGGGGTCGTTAACCCAAATGTAGGAGGTGGGGGCTCAGTTCTGAGGCCGTGGAGAGATGTCGTTAACCCAAATGTAGGAGGTGGGGGCTCAGTTCTGAGGCCGTGGAGAGGTGTCGTTAACCCAAATGTAGGAGGTGGGGGCTCAGTTCTGAGGCCGTGGAGAGGTGTCGTTAACCCAAATGTAGGAGGTGGGGGCTCAGTTCTGAGGCCGTGGAGAGGTGTCGTTAACCCAAATGTAGGAGGTGGGGGATCAGTTCTGAGGTCGTGGAGAGGTGTCGTTAACCCAAATGTAGGAGGTGGGGGCTCAGTTCTGAGGCCGTGGAGAGGTGTCGTTAACCCAAATGTAGGAGGTGGGGGCTCAGTTCTGAGGCCGTGGAGAGGTGTCGTTAACCCAAATGTAGGAGGTGGGGGCTCAGTTCTGAGGTCGTGGAGAGGTGTCGTTAACCCAAATGTAGGAGGTGGGGGATCAGTTCTGAGGCCGTGGAGAGGGGTCGTTAACCCAAATGTAGGAGGTGGGGGATCAGTTCTGAGGTCGTGGAGAGGTGTCGTTAACCCAAATGTAGGAGGTGGGGGCTCAGTTCTGAGGTCGTGGAGAGGTGATGTTAAGAATCTAATTTCCTGGAGATGAACAGCACCTCAGTAGCATGCTCCCCAGTGACCACCTGCTGTCAGTGAGGACAGCGCCCCGGCTGTGGTATTGGGCTTGAGATCGACCACCTGCTGTCAGTGAGGACAATGCCCTGGCTGTCGTATTGGGCTTGGGATCCCACTCGTGAAACAGGCGAGTCACGGAAGACGAAGTGCCAGGCCGTGCGGCACCGGAGTCCCACGCACAGTTGCTTTCCTGAGTGGCCTCTGCTTGGACCGATTCGGACTGAAGCCTTGACGTTAGGTGCCTCGGTGCCCTGCAGGATTTCCACCGTCCAGTCTCCACTTTATGCATTTTGATAATGCAAAGTAAAACAAAGTCAAAAAGGATGAATAATTACAGAATCCAAACGACTCAGAAATGAACTTGGAGTTCAAATCTTTAACTCCTACATTGAGGCAGATTCTCCGTCTGCCACATGGTTACATCACAGGAAGGATTTTTAATTTTCAGAGAATCATAAAGCACAGCCTGAACAAATCCACCTGAATGCCCTTTGTTAAGTAAATTGGAGCGAACAGAAGCCTCAGAACTCCTGCTGCTTTCAGAATGACTCTGGTGACCTTTTGCGCAATCATCCTACAGAGAAGGCAAAATCAGCTTTGGTCCAAGAACAAAAGTTGGTCTTGTAATCAGGGAGCTGCCTCCCTGCTGAGGTCACTGGACCCGTGCCGAACATGGGTGTTTTGCGGGCTGCATGGGACCACCGTGGGGCAGGGAGAAGGCCCCACCTCCACCACACAGCCTTCTGTAAACCTAACGTAACCTCCATTACACAGCCCTCTACAAACGTGACCTACCCTCCACCACAGCCTTCTGCAAACCGACCCTAACCTCCACCACAGCCCTCTGCAAACCTAACCTAACCTCCACACTACACAGCCCTCTGTAAACCTAACCTAACCTCCACCACACAGTCCTCTGCAAACCTAACCTAACCTCCACCACACAGCCGTCTGCAAACCTAACCTAACCTCCACCACACAGCCCTCTGCAAACGCCCCACCCCTCAGCTTAAACCTCAGGTTGCATTTTGTGATCTATTGGGTTACAATAAAGAGAAATTACCGACTATTCAATTGGGATAACTTTTTTCAAACAGAGAATGCCCGTTACACTCATTCCATTTGTACCGCGCTTCATGTACTGTGGAGAGCATTCTCTGCGGGTCTGTGATACACATATGACCTCCTAGCGGGCAGCAGGGTAGATTCCGTGCATTGAACCTGACCTTCCTTGCAGGCTACGTTTGTGTGTGAGAAGAAGACACGGGAAAGGCACGTCCCTGAGCTGGAGAGGCCACAGCGTTGTGTTGATTAAGCTCCTAGTTGGTGGACGCCCCATGGATGTGGAAGGACTTCACTGATGATCGAGACTGGAACCCCTTCAGCGAGAGGAAGCGAGGTTTGGGTAGAGAAAGCGCCGCTGTGGCCACCTCACTGGTGAAATGATCTCACTGAACGTTGACAAAAACCATTCTCTGGTGAAGAGAACAATTGCCCACTGCCCTCTTTGTGGGCAGACGTGTCCACAGAAACACAAACCTGATCCCGGATTCGGGTCTCGGCCGACACGGCTCTCTGTCCGGCCCCCCGTCCTTGTCGGGCAGGAAGCCCGGGGACGCAAGCGGCACAGGGCTCTGCGTCTGGCGCTGCCCAACCTGCGGCCACGGTCCAGGCGCGGCGCCTCCGGAAGGGCCCGCCCGTCAGCTGCCGCCCGCGGCCCCTGCTCCCGACACCCTCCGGGCCGCACGCGCGTGGCGGCGGCGCCTCCCCCCGAGGGGCGTGGCTTTCTCCAGCACAGAGTCTTGCTGCGCAGTCACTCAAGCAAACGGCAGCAAATGCAAACGCTCCAACGGCCAAAGCAAATGAGACCCATGAAGACGCCCCCGCCCCACATGCTGGCGCCCCCCCAGGCACGGAGGTCTCGGGGTCATCACTCACCAGCGAAGCCTCCGCACTCCAGAAGAAACAACAGGAGGAACGTGGGTGTTCTTCAAGGACGGCTCAACTATGAGCGAAACTGTCATCTTGCATAGGTGGCCACGTAGGTGGCCATAACCCCACATCCCTTCACTGACACATGGAATAACACACTCAGAGTGCCCCGTACGGATCTTTAGACTGAATCCCTAAGATTTCACAAGGAAGAATGAAACACAGCTGAAGGAATTCTGGCATTGAAATGAATTTGATGTGGCTGTATCTAACGCCATGTTCGCTTGGGAAAATATACTGCCTCTATTGCAGTACAATTAATAAGAGTTTAATGATGAAACACTGGAAATATATCACAGTTTTATCTCTCTCTGATCTTCCTCTAGCCCACGCCGTCCATGTCCAACTTATTGAAGAGCATTGAGATAACTGGCTTTGAATCATCAGACAGGTCACTCTGGAGAGCGGCTTAAAGTCTTTGCACCTCTTTCACAAAGAGCTCCTGGCATCTAGCAGGCAGCAGCCAGTGATGCTCCTAAAACCCTGCAATACACAAGACGGTGCCCATGAAGAGGAATTATGCAGCCCGGACGTCAGGAGAGCTGAGGGTGAGAAGCCCTGCTGTGGAGGGGACTCGCACGACATTTGTCTTCCCCACACCAGGAGAGGGAGGAGTGAGGGCAAGACGGTGTCTGCTTTGCTCGCCTGCAGAGTCGGCCCTCGGTAAGTGTTGGAAGCACATTAAACAGTGTCCTAGTGTTGGCAGCACGGTGACCAGCGTCCCAGCGTTGGCAGCACGGTGACCAGCGTCCCAGCGTTGGCAGCACGGTGACCAGCGTCCCAGCGTTGGCACCACGGTGACCAGCGTCCCAGCGTTGGCAGCACGGTGACCTGCGCCCCAGCGTTGGCGCCACGGTGACCTGCGCCCCACCCACCCTATCACCTGTGTAGGTGCCTGCAGGTGAGGGCCCAGGTCCCAGAGCTGTCCCCAGCTGCCCACCCCATCACCTGGCAGGTGCCTGAGCAGTGTGTGCCTCAGGCCCCCCACCTGCACAGACAGCAGGCTGCACCACTAAGTTGACCTGCAGCATTGAAATGCCAAGTCTATGTTCATAAGAAACTCTTTTCTGTTCTCCCTGGCTCTCTTTTCAGAGAAAAGTGGCATATTGAAAAGGGCCCTGCACTCTGTCGCTGATCTGTGTGATGCCAGACTCTGTGGGGCCCAGCTTCCTCATCCTGAAATGCAGAATAGTCAAGCCCACTTCCAGGGTGAGTGGACAGTTCCACGATGCACGTGGAATATGAGAAATGCACAAATATCCACTTCCCCTCTCAAGTGGCGATGACATGTGAGCTAAAAGCCCTGCCACAATTCTATTCTTCCAGCTCAGCCCTGAGATGTCCTGTTAGCAATGATTTATTCACCTCAAATTTCAACATCCAGTTTCATTACCATCAAATTTAAGAAAACATAAAAGATCTTCAAATTCCTTCTTTTCCAATCAAGTCACGGGAAGTGAGAGGATAATAGAGTTCTGCAGAAGAGATTTCCAATTACAGAAGCCACAAACCACCACAGCATATTAAACCTGCAGTGACTGGGCAGCAACGCGCTGGGCAGAGCACCAGCCTGAGTCATCCTGCCTTTCTGTCCATCTCCCATGCCTGGAGTCCAGGAACCACGCCTGACTTCTGCCAAGCGGACAACTGCTCTGAACCTCTGCCCTGGCGCAAATGCCATCCACGAGGATACAGCACCAGCCAGGTCCAAGTCAGGAAATGAGTGAGTTACTAGAAATAGAGGCCGAATGAAAGGCTTACGGCTAAAGACAGCATCCGTTTAGTTCCCCTCAATGCCTGTCTGAGGACTGCTGACCAGGTGCTGAGACTGTTAATGCATACAGGACGGAGGCAAAAGAAAGACGTGTCTTACTCTCTTCCTCGAGGAGCTGACACATGCATCTGGGAGGCAAGAAACATGCAGGATGGTTTATAAAAGCAATGACAGTGCCTCAGCCAGGGCTGCTTCCAATGACAATTAATGCAATCATATTACACGAATGGTATTAGAAGTGGCTGACACATAAACTACTTACTATCCATGGTGTAAAGCGCTGTTCTAGGCGCCTAACATACAGATGAACTTATTCAAATTCTATCCATGGTGTAAAGCCCTGTTCTAGGCACCTAACACACAGATGAACTTATTCAATCCTTACAACAGTCCTGTGTGGTGCGTTACTCATCTTTTATGCCCAATTTAATGATGAAGAAACAGAGGAGTGGAACTTGCCCCAGGCCAGGCAGTGGTAACCCTCAGAGCCTGGGTGCCGAGTCCGGCTCCTACATACACCAGCAAAGCAGAGAAAGAGAATGCAAGAGTGGAGCGGTTGTCTGGGGTGATCCCAGGAACAGGTGCCTTCAGATGGCTTCTAATCCTCATTGGGTGTGACAGCTCCCCGTGCTCCCTGTAGCAACCAGAGGGTGATAAAAGACAGCTTTTCTTCTTTTGTAAAATTGACTTTTCAGCATTTTATTTTAAGCAAATGAAACACAAAAGAAATGTGACTTGTTACTTAAGTATAGATGCTTTAAATAGAAGATAAAGGAGAGTGGAATGCCCCAACCTATTTTAAGTTCATTTTCCACCTCACTATTTTGAAAGCATGAATGGTAAGATAAACAGTGAGAAGTCCTGGAGGGTATTAAGGTGGTGACGAGATGGTGCAACCCCACCTGCCCAGGGAGAGCAAGGGTTTGGCTGGGATGAATCACGCCGTGTGACTGCTGCCGACCTTCGGGGAACTGCTGAGAACTTGTCAGAGCCAGGCACCGTGGGACATCACCTCCATTTTCTACCTGCCTTCAGAGTCGGCCACTCTGAAGGGCAGTGCTGAGGACACTGAGAGAGAACTCTCAGGGAAAGACTAGGGCTCAATTCGAGGAAGACCTTTCCAATTGTCATAAATATCCGAAGACCTGTGGGAGAAAAGCTGCCTAGGGACAGTGTTAGTCACCCCGAGAAATGGCCAATGGGGGCTGGACCGCAACTGGGGAGGATGCTGCTGAACTCAGGTCTGAGGGCAACTGCGTGAAGAAGCCCTAAGGCCCCCATCACTCTGAGATTTCAGGGCTCATACGTTCTCTGCACACTCGGCACCTCCTCAGGCTGCAGCGGCTGCCTCTGCACGCCCCAGGACGGCGTCTTCCCGCCAGGCTTGTGCCTTGCGCCTCGCGCCTCCAAGTCTCTACTGTGGATCCGTGAGAGCATCAGAGAACCACGGCATTTTCCTACATCACTGCTGTGTGCTTTGCACAGATGCAAAATGTTAAAAGAGTTCAGAGGCTGCAGGACTTGGCAGGGCTAGGGTAAGTTGGAAAAGCCTTCCTAAGAGCCTAGATATTTGGACAGGGCGTGCAAGGTGGGTGTGATTTAGATGTGAGAATGGAGTTTCATGCATTCCACCTAAAGGAATGTAGCAGAATGGGACGTCCTGTAAGATACAGGCACATCGAGAATTTACACTGGAGGCCAAATGAAGTAGACAGGGAAACAAGGGGAAGGAATTCTTGGTGCAAAACCAACTGTGAGGGGCTGAAATGTGGCCCCCAGATTCCTAACCCCCAGGACCTCAGAATGTGACTGCATGTGAAGATAGGGTTTCATCAAACAGGACTGGGGTCCTTACAGGAAGGGGTGATCACGACACAGACACACACACAGAGGGATGACCATGTGAGGTCACAGCAAGAAGACAGCGTCTGCCAGCCAAGGGGAGGCCTTGGGAATCCAGCCCTGCCCACATCTCCATCTGGGACTTCTGGCTTCCAGGACTATGAGAGAATAAATGTTGTTGAAACCACACTATCTGTGGAATTTTGTAATGACAGCCCCAGCAGAGGAACACCAGCCTTGAAAGCTTTGATCAAAAGCTGTCCATTATTTTATAACATAGAACTGTGGAATTCCAATGTGGATTTAGGGTTCTGCATTCTCTGCTGTGCTGTAAGCTCCAAGCAGGAAGGGGCTGTGTGTGCGGGAACTAGCTCAGTGTCTACCTGTGTCCCACTCCGGGCACCGGGCGTCACGTGCACAGAGTTGAGGGTGACACCTAGTATGTGCGGAGGACCTGCGTTTGGCACAGGAACGGACGATCAGTTGTGGATGCTGTATTACAGGAAGACGCCACTTAGAGCCATCGCAGTCAATTTGACCTTTGTGCTGGGAGAGCATCAGGAATAGATGGTTCCAGGCTAAGTAAAAGTTTACCTACATGCTGCAGAGATGCCTTGGATTTCAAGCCAGCACGGGCTGCTGCGGCTGTATTTCTGGAGTCAGCAGATAATGAATTATTAGATCACCAGCTAATGAGGTAACGCTGTAGCATACCACATGCTTTATGCCAAAAATAAAAAATTGATATACGGCACCAGACGCACAAAAAGACTCATAAACATCTTAGTCATCTTGAAAGATTTGCCTTTATCCATTTTTAATTATTAATCCTCCCCAAATAGGCCCATGTTTAATAAATGGAGGTCAGGCTTGATGGTATATTCTATAAATATTTACTGTGATAGACCTCATTGTATTTCTACATTTTTCAGAGCACAGCATAGGGGAGAGCTTTGCCCACAGCTCCCCGTGTGGCCACACAACTTGCACACATACATACATGCACACACACATACCCACACACATGCACATATGCACATGCACCCATACACATATATACACACGCATGCACACACACATGCATGCACACACACAGCTATGCACATGCACATACACATAATACACACACATACACACATACCTGCACACACGCACACACATGCTCACACATACATGCATACACACCTGCACACAGATATATGGACACACACGTACACACACGTGCACATACACACACACATGCACACGTATGTGCACTACAAATACATACACATGCATACACGCACATGCCTACATACATACAATCAGCACTCAACACAACAGCAACACAGGAGGCCGCCGTGATAGGTATGCACGTTAAAATGTGAAAGCAGAGTCAATCCCCAAAATAAAACCAATCAGTCCCCATCTGGTGACTGAGGAGGGAGGTGAATCCTGACGGCAAAGCCTGTGCTGGCTCCATGCCAGGCACTAAAGATCATCCGGAACAACTGAGCTTGTTCGGGTATCTGACTTCTCTGCCCCCTCTTCTCTCTCTTACCAGTTTATATATGATTTATGTCTAGATAAAGGCTAAATAACTTGCTATTTGTGATACAATCTTGATATTTAATCCAAATACACCGTAAATACACAACAGAGTGATTTTCTGAACTGCAGTGAAGGACGTGCTGCAATAGGGAACCGTTTTAAATGAGACACGCATTAAACACTCTTTGTTACAAAACTAAGACGTAGCATAGTTTCCATGCATAGCAACCACAATTACCTTCCAAAATGCTTTTTCTTAGCAACATGTGAGCTATGCCTTTCCTGATGTTTTAGAATGGTGAAAGCAGCTCTAGAGGGGAGGTGACAACGATCCCACTGTCCTCTGCGGCCCCCAGCAGGGTGTGCCTGGACTTTTGGAATTCCGCCTGCTCCACAGGCACGTGCTGGGCTTGGGAGTTATGAATGAGGCTCTGAGCCACAACGCCCATTAGTGTGTGCTAATTTTTGTGTGCTAGTTGGTCTGTGGATTTTCCCAGAGAGACAGGAACAAGTTTTCAGCAGAATCTTAAAAGGTTTGAGATGAAAAGGAGAATCCAAAAGAATCATCTTCAGGCATCAATTCCTAGAGAAAGCTTTTGAGTTTGCATGTTCTGTGTTATGTCACCTATGGTGACTCCTAGGAAGTCACCAGGCTATGGTCAAAATTCTTGCATTTTGATTCAATGGCCAACCCCCCATTCCTAAGATAAACTGTTTCTCAAAATATGATCTGCAGTTCATAAGTCATATAGTCACCGGGGTCTGTGGTCATGTGCATGTGTGTTGGAAAGGTTGCTACGTAAATGTTAACAGTGTTATTTACCGGGGTCTGTGGTCACATGTGTGTGTGTTGGAGGGGTTGCCATGTAAATGTTAACACTGTTATTTACCGGGGTCTGTGGTCACGTGCGTGTGTGTTGGAGGGGTTGCCATGTAAATGCTAACAGTGTTATTTACCGGGGTCTGTGGTCACATGCATGTGTGTTGGAGGGGTTGCCATGTAAATGTTAACACTGTTATTAGCATTTCTTGCATCTCTCAGTAACTCACTTCACCACAGACCCCCTTATTACATTTTTCTTATTCTGAGCAAACGTGCTGCGGGGACCCGAGACAGAAGGTCCAGCCTCCTGGATGATGCCTGCTCTCCATCCTTGTGGGGTGCAGGCATCTCTTTCCACTTCCCAGCTCACCTCCTGTCCTGCCCCTTTCTTCTGCACCAAGTGAATTCTGCCACCTCTCCACGCCATTGGGTCCCCTGCTCTGTTCCTGTGCCCCTGTACACTGCTCTGCCGGGGTGCCTCTGCCCCATCCCTCCCCTCACACCTCTGCCTTGTCCCAGGTCAGCCGCTGAACATCCCCAAAGCCTCAGCTCAGGAAGACCAACTCCAGGAAGGCCTCCTGGGCTGCCCCCCACTTCAGATGGGGACCCACGTCTGTTCTTGCTGCCCTGAGGACACAGTGCGCTTGGTTCTCTCACAACATGCCCTTGCAGAATGACAGTTCTCTGTCCCTGGGTGTGCAGCCCCTCCAGCCTGGGAATTCCTAAACAACAGGAGACATGTCTCATGCACCTGTATCTCCAGTCCTTAGCACTGGCTATAGTACAAATGGGTGATAAATGTTTACTTTATGAAGGAATAAACAAATGCATGAATATTGACAGTACAGAAAGCAGCACATTAGAATTCATTGTTTAAATGGAGGGAAAAGGAGAGAAAGAAAAAGAAAATAGGAAACTTTTCAACTTGTAAAAACTTGATGAATCCCCAGCACAGTGTCTGGCCTTCGGGTGCACAGTGACATAAGGCACATCTGCCCCTGCCCGGCTGCGGTTCCTGGGATGGCACCTCTGTGGCAGAAGCCAGGCTGGACGGTGCCGTGAGGGGAGGTTTCCCAAGGATGATGGACATCTGAGCAATTTCTCCACAAAGAGACGTGAAGCTACAGGCATGTGGCTTCTGCCATCACCTGTTTTTCCTCCTGGGCAGATGTTTATTCTGGGGAGTTAGAGAGAGGTGACACTGTGTATTTACGTCTGAGCTGCGGCCCCCCAGGGCCCCGACATGAGACATGGCACAGCTCTGGTCCCCCACGTGCCTTCTCACAGGCTCGCCCTCCGCGTGGGCCTCAGAACTCCCAGGAAATTTAGAAATTTAGTGACATTGGCTGCAGCGGCTCCATCTACTGGGACCCGAGATTGATTTTGCTTGGCTCGGCACACTTGGATGCTTGGTTTTGGAGACAGGTCAATGCCATTAATAGCTAGAGGACATCCAGGTAGCAGCTTTTAGTGTGGCAAGAATTATTTTATCTCGGCGAGCAAACTTCCCGAAGCCATCCACATTCTGCCGGACCTGCCATCCTGGACCTGGGAGGGCACCTGCTCAGTAACTGCAGTTTCTTCTTCATTAGGAGTGAGCCCTGTGGATTCCAGTGAGCTCCATCTGCCCCTTCCCCCTCCACGGTTGGAGAGGAGAGCCAGTGGAGAGGCAGGAATCCAAGCATCTCCCTGCTCCCCTGTGCCTGTTTCCCAGCATCTGGGGACCCTGGGCCACCTGCAGCCTCGGTGCGGAGATCCCAGGCTCAGCACCTGAGCCACACATCCCCGGAGCTTGAGGCTCTGGGAGAGTGAGGGGTCCCTAAGGAGTGTCTCCCAGGTGCAGGTGTGGACCGGGTAGAAGTGACCACCCAGGTCCTAACACACCCCTCAAATGCCCCGAACCACAGATGGCTTTGTCTTGACTGCAGGCCCCTGACCTCCCGCTTCGTAGAGCATCTACTTTATAAAAACGTGTCCTTGCGGGGTTTCTCTATGGTCATCTCAGTCGTAAATCTTCTGCCAGGCTCTTCCTAGCTGTGCGTGTCTCTGAGGGCCCGGTTCCCATCCCTGTGAACACAGGCATGGAGGGAGTGGGGCCCTGTGCCCAGTCTCTGAGGAAGGTGGGAGCTTCGCTGCTGTTCCAAGTTTTAAAACTACCCCCTGCCATGAAGATAAGAGAATTTGCTCCTCCTCTGGAAAAGGCTGATCAGCAAACGCAAAGCCCTGGGAGCCTCCCCAACTCCGACGTAAATGCACAGCGTCCCCTCTCTCTCCAGCTCTGAGAAGCCCTCTCGTCCTTCGTTCAAGGGGAGCTGAGCTCTGGCTGAGTTCGGGCCTGTCTCCCCCACGCAAGCTTTAATTGGAGTCCTCCTTGCCAGTCGAGCTTTGCCCAGAGCAATTTTCACTTTGACACAATGCATCTGTGTCACTGACAGAACCACTGAAGAGGCGGCACGCCGGCCCCTGCTGCGAAGATGAGGGAATGGAGTTGAGAGACGCTTCCCGCCAGCCCCAGTCCTCCAGGGAAAATGTGTCTGCTTCGCTGCACCCCCCCCGCCCTTCCCATGACCGGCGCCCGCCTCCCTCTCGCAGCGGTGCCCTTTCACCAGAATCTGGGGTTCCTGAAGGTCGGGGTGGAGGAGGCCCCCAGGCCTGCCCACAGCAGGAGACCACTCCTCATTCCGCACGTGGCAGCCCTTGACGATCACGAGAACGATCCTATTCTGAGTCTGGGTTCTCTCACCCCAGCTCTGTCCCCACCTGGAGCACAGGGCACCCCTCCTCTGGGGGCAGCTGGCTTCAAGGCCACCTGAGGCAAAACCCACAGCTGGGATCCAGCCCGGGGGCACCGTCCGCCCCTCCCCTCTGTACAGGGCTCCTCGATGCAACATGTCATCCAGTGGGAGGAGGCACGGGAGACGGGCTCAGGAGGGAAGGTGGGTGGGGCCGAGAGCTGTGTTATCCCAAAGGTGGGGTCTGCACCTGAAGGCGGCAGGAGTGAGGAAGACCCCCATATGGGGTTCCATGAGGATCAGTGAGGGGTACCACCTGGTGCACCTGACAGAGGATGAGGGGCTGGGGAGGCATCCTGACTCCTACTGTGCCATGGCCAATAGCCTGGCTGTCACTGTCAGGGAGGGACCCCCCAGCCGGCACAACCTCACGGGGAGCAGGTGGTCAGAAGAGGCCTCCCAGAGACGTGGCAGGCCAAGGCCAGGCCTGCCACGGGCAGCCGGGCTCTGTCACACCCGCAGCCTCTGAGGCCTGGCTCAGTCGCCCGTGGTTCCCACACAGCAAGGATGCATCTCAGCCACCAGAGAGGAGCTGCCAGAGCGTCGGGTTCTCTTTCCTTCTCTCCAGCTTCTCTCCATGTCCTGACTGTTGTCCCCACCCAGAAGCAAGGTCAAGAGGGCCAGAAGACAGAGGAGATTTGCAGGTCCAGATCCCAATGTCGCCTGACAGGGCTGTGAGAAGACAGCCAGGACCAAGTTCCTCTGGAAATGCCGGGGACCCCACCATCCCTGCAGGGAAACGTGCCCTGAGCTCCTGCCAGGATGGCTTTTTGTGGACAAGGCCATCACTGGGTGGTGGAGGAAACGCGTGTGGGGGACGGAGGGCTTACAGGTGCCTCTGTCCTCCTGACCTGCGACGTGGAGGCAGGAGAGGCAGCCGCAGGTGTGCCACGGACGTGGGACCGGCGAGGCAGAGGCAGGAGAGACAGCCGCAAGCATGCCACGGGCGTGGGACCTGCAAGGCAGAGGCAGGAGAGACAGCCGCAAGCATGCCATGGGCGTGGGGGCGCTTTCGGGATGCTGCCTGTGCTGCCCGTACCTTCGTGTGAATCTCCATTTCTTTCCCAGAAAGGAAGGCTGGTGCCCGCAGCCTGGCAGCCAGCTCCACCTGCAGATGGTTTTGTGTGGCCCACATGGTATTTTCTTTTTATGAATTACTTGCCAACTTCTAAAAATGAGAAGACTTCAGACAGAAACCAGATTTTTGGCTTCTCTTTAAAGCTTAGAGGATCTGGTGGCTCAGGCCTGTGTCCGGCGGTGGGGCTGAGATGTGGCTTCCTCCATGGCTGCCCCAGGCCCTCAAATCCCCTGAGGGTGCTGCCCCGAAGTGAAGAAAGCCAGCAGGACAGACAGACAGACGGGAAAGACGAGAAGAGAAGGGAAAAGACAAGAGAAACTAGCCACTGACTTTGAAACGTTCAACAAAATTCACCAGGAGAAGCCCAGAAGCCCAGGCGGTCGCGCCTCCTAATCCCAAATGCATGGGGTCAAAGAAGTACAGAAATGGACGCTGTTGCTTGACACTAAGGCTTTGGCTCTTGAATTAAAAAGCAAATGGGCGGAAAATAGATTTAGGTTATTTCGGGGCTCAGCACTGCCTGCCACTGTAAAATGCTTTCAGAGAAAGCTGAGGACGGTGCTGGTGTTAAGGGGAGAGATGGCCTCGCGTCAGAATTTTCCATGGTGACTGTGGCCGTGAGAGATCAGGGCTAGACCATGGTTAGTGTGGAAGCCAAGGCTCACGGGGACCACACAGTGTAAGGGGAAATGAGGACACTGACGGGTGTCCCCGCCGGAGGCTGCACATGGACCACGCCAGCCCTTACCGAGCCTCCCGAGGGCGCTGTGACGGCGGGACTGCTGTCCGCATGGGACATGGGAAGATGGAAGATCAAGAAGGGGCAACCTACCTGAGGTCAAGAGCTGTAAGTGGCAGGACCTGGGTCCAAACCCAGGCCACATCCCTAAGACCCAGGATTCGACCCGTTTACCTGCCTGGCCCTGAGTGGAGCTGCCACTGTGGGGAACACCAGGTCCCACCCACAGTTCCCGAGGACTCGCTGCCACCTCGGCCGCCCCTGCCCTCCCCTGCCAGTGCCGAGACGGCGCTGCGGATGCCTCAGAAGGCTCAGATCACAGAATTGGGTTTGAAGTACGCTAACTCCCCGAGTCCCAGCTGTACCGCTCTCCTTGAATTCTCTTTCATTCTCCTAAACTTTAACCCCAGACACCGAACTTGCCACCGTAGCACGGAAGGGGCCATTCCACCTCTGCAGCCAGGAGGTGCCAGAGAGGTGTCCTGCAGCCAGGAGGTGTCCACCTCTTCCCAGGAGACCTGCCAGGCTGGGGCAGCACAGTTAGTGCCCAGGAGAGCACAGAACCAGCGGAAATGAAACCGTGGGAGCCGGGCTCAGGCCTGCACTAGAAGACGCCGCGAGCACGTTTCTCTTAGAATTTGACTCACGGAGGTGGATTCTTGGAGGGTTTTCTCCTCCACTGGATTTTTGTACAAATTTCCGACTCACTCGCAGCTTCCTCATAGCTCAGTTACCGTGTAGGGCCTTGCGCGAAGGTGCTTGACATCAATTTAGTAAATGGAGAAAGCTAATAGTCAGACCCAGGGGGGCTCCCATGCTCCGTTTAAACGATGCAGTGAGTTAAGAATGTATCAAGCTCAGTAACATATTTAACATCATTTTTCTAAAACAATCACGAGCAAGAAGAAGCTGAAGAAATGTTTATGCAATTCTCAGCACCAGACGGCTACCTACAGAGCCGTGTGTTACCTTAGTTCTGAAGATAAGGGGAAAAACTACAGAGATTAGAGTAATTTTTAAAGGCAACACATAGATTTCTGTTTGTTTTTATTTGTATAAAGCACTAAGAAAGATAAATCCAAGTCCTATAAATAGCATCTGAAGTAGAGACTGTGGAGGGATAAAAGTCTACTCTAAAGTTGTGTGTTGGGGAGAATGTGATCCATGAAATGTCGACTGGAGAAGCAGGATCTCTGCTGTCCTTGGGGAGTCACCTTGCCGCAGGGACCATGGTCAGGGCTACACATTTGCAGTTGGTGGTTCGACCCCTGCAGACACTGTTGCAAATCTGGTGTGGTGAGGCCCCAGGCAGTCACCACCAAGGACCATCTCAGCTCGTCTGCACCATCACTGTGAACAGCCTGGGGCTGGTCCCGGCCACTGCCCACACAAAGCTTAAAAGGAAAGGATCACAGAAGAGTTTCCTTCCCCTTCTCAGGATGAAATTTTAAGCCTGGAAACTTTTTCTGTAATCACCCACTTCCCTTTTAGACACTCGGCACTGTGCTTCTGAAACACGTGAGCGATGAGAGGCGAGAAACCGTGTTCACGTGTCCGGTGGGGCCAGAGCATTCCCGGGTCTCTGTCTGGATCTCACCGTCGTGTGCAGACGGCCCACGCCCTGCCTCAGGGCGACTGTTTCCTCGTGCCTCTGGGCAACCGTGTCAGGCCACACAAGAGACAGACCATCATGATCAAACAGGAGTTTGGAAGCTACCGGAAGAACGAGGCCACCGATCTCCATGGTGGGGGCGGTGTGGTGTGTGTTTCTCGGTCTCTGAGAGCTGCAGTTGCCTTCAGGATGTGGGGGGTGTGCATATGTCCCTGGCTGAGGTGGATTTCCTGTGGATTCCCTGTGTGCTTTTCGGGGTACCTGCCAGCCCAGCTCACCCAGATGGCACAGCCGTGGTCCCGTGCTGCCCCTCGAGGGCAAACAACCAACCCTGAGCCACGTCCGCATGCAGTGGGGCAGGGTCCCTTCAATTTGCTTCCTGGAGTGGGCAAAACACTCAGGGCACCTGGAGGACACCCATGCACTCTACTCCAACACAGGCTCAGACAGACGCAGCGCAAAGCCTCTAGCTGCACCCTGGGCTGGTGATTTGTTGAAAGCACCGTCCTGGAGAAGCCCCGCCCCGGAGAAGCCCCGCCCCGGAGAAGCCCCGCCCCAGAGAAGCCCCGCCCCGGAGAAGCCCCGCCCCGGAGAAGCCCCGCCCCGGAGAAGCCCCGCCCCGGAAAAGCCCCGCCCCTGAGCACACCCGGGAAGCAGCAGGAGTCGCTAACCCTTATGCACCTGCACCAAGGTCACACCCAGAAGGCAAGTCCCTGCAACCCGCTCTCCTCCGAACCCCACACAAAGGGCTTCGGTGGATTTCCTCAGTGGACGGGGATGAAGAGGCGGAAAGTGGCTCGCGATGGTCCTGTTCTTCTTTGGATTCTTTGCTGAAACACCGGCGATGCTGAGGTGTGCTGGCAGGACCCGTGGACTCGTCCACGAACTCAGGACGGTCCTGTTTAAGTCACTCTCCAATTGCCTTAGCAAAATTCCAAGAGATTTTCTTTAACAAATTTATGGACAGAAAAACACTGTATCTTCATCTAGCAAGGCTTATAGAGTGACAGAAACCCTAAGGAGAAGTCCATGAAGCCCATTTAGTTTCCAAATCACAACAAGGGAATACTAATGCCCTCCCTCCAATATCCACAGTCCCACGCTGCGCAGGGAACGCGCGGGTTTTATAAGAGCTGAGGCCAGCGTCTACCGTGGGATTGGGAGGGGATGGCTATCTGCCAGCGCCACCGCATCACCCACAGGGACAGCCGCCGACAGCATCAGCCTCTGCACCAGGGACTCCACAGCACACACTCCCGCTGAGCGGCCTGGGCTTCAGCCCAAATCCCTCCAGGCCTTCGGGTGGTCCCCACGAACCAGCTTGCCCCTTCGCCAGGAGGCTAGGCCAGTGGCAGCTCTGCACCACCCGTGTCCCCACGCCCACGTTCCTGGGCTCCAACCTGTCCTTACTTCCTGTTTTAAAAAAGAAAACTGTCCTCCTCTGAAGCCCAGGGCAGCACAGGCTCAATTTCCTTTCTCCTAAACTGCGCCGGAGTGCCTGGCCTCTCTTTGGGTGAAGGCGTCTAACCAGGGCGCATGGACCGCCTGAGGACAGGGTCTTCCCAGCAGGGAGGGCAGCGAGGAGAAGGGGATGCGTCCCGGGAGGTGGATTTTCCTGTTGAGTTTACCAGGAGGTGTCTGTCCTCCAGGGTGTCCTGGGCCCTCCTTTCTATGGTGCAGGGATACGTGGCCTAGAGGGGTGGTTCTCCACGTGCAGTCCCCGGACTGATGACCTCAGCAACCCCTGGGAATTTGCTAGAAATGCAGAATCGTGGGCCCCACCCCGACCTGCCGAATCCGAAGCTCTGGGGGCAGGGTCCTGCACTCTGTGTTTCAGCAGCTTCTGATGTGCAGGGAAGTTTCAGACCCGCTGGCCCAGAGGTTCTGCTGCTGACCAGCTAGACTCTCTCCCTTTGGGGCCTCTGCACCGAGAATTCCCGAGTCTCTGGACCTCACCCTCGTGTGGCAGACAGCCCACGCCCTGCCGCAGGGCTCCTGATTTCTGCCTCTGATGACAAACGTGGCCTGATCAGGCAGTTCGGTTCCAGGCCGCCCAGCCCCGCTTAGCCCACCGCAGAAGAATAGGCCAGGGTTGCCCCTGTCTGCGCAGCATGGTTCCAGATTACACAGTGGGGATAACACGTTTCTCCTAAAGACACTTTGCCCATCAGAAGCCTTCTTCACCACGGCCAACCCTCAACACCAACATCAAAGAGCCGTCCAAACGCTGCTTTCACTGCAGGCCTCTTTCTTGCACTAAGTTTTATTGAATAGATTTGAGGTCTCCAGCGTGATGTTAAGGAATGCAAAGAGGGAAATGGTGACTATGGTGAAGTGGGTGAACGCAGCCCTTGCCTCACATGGTTACGTCTGTGAGTGTGGAGAAACAGCTAAAATCTACCTCCTTAACCAAAACCCCGATCAATACATTTTTAGCCCCAGGCCTGGGTCCCACACCAGATCTCTTGAGTTGTCCATCCTGCCTTTTTCCCGTAATCTACGATTGAACCTGACATATTTGCAACAAAAGCTGCTGATCGGAAATGAAGACGTTAAGATAATACTTCAGTGAAATTACTTAGATTCTCACCTCATTCCACTCACCAAACCTTTCGCAGCCCCTTCTCCTTTGTGCGTCCACATCCTTTTGAATAACTTTTCACCTACAAAGCTACTTCAGAAAAGGATGCACCTGGATTTTCTCTTTTATTTTACAATCTTCACTTCTACCCAACTTCCTCCTGGGAGGGGGCTGCGTTCTGACGCTGCCTGTGCCCCCACTCCTGGAGCACCTGCCAGCTGTTCCCCTCCTTCCTCCATTTGGTTTGTCAAGGAGTCCTGAGACAGCTCTCTAAGTCGATTGGGTCTGTCCTAAATTTCAGCAGTAAAGGAGCCAGAAACACCCAGGTGCTCACAGTGTGGGGAGCCAACATCCATGTCAGTTAGATGCAGGTGCAGGGGCAGCTGCTCCTCCCCATGGGGACCTGCCCCCTCCCTGTGCTCTGAGGCCCACAGCCCTGAGCCCCAGCGTATGTCTGAAGAGCACTGCATGGCACTACGAGGCTGCTCAGAACCACAGCAGAACACAGCGCTTGCTGGAGGCTTCTGGTGTGGTGCTGCGTATCGCAGCAAGGCTGACGTCTCATGTTATGAGACTTAAAATCCGTCAGAGACAAAAAGGTTTATTTTAAAAAATCTTTATTTTGAAAATGTGTAAGAGTTTATAAAGCGTGCTTTCCAGGGAACTGTAAGAATATTTTCTGCACTAAAATACCAGGGCACCTGTGAGGCGGGAAATATTTGCTGTCTCACTACTACAGATGGTATTAATATTCTCACTCACCAGCAATAGGAATAGCAGTCACTGTACATTAGACGACTCCTGATAATTGCAGTGACTGTTTTAATAATAAAAAGCTACAAAAAAAAAAAAAAGATTTGGCACCAACAGATGCATCAGGAAGGGGTTGTATCTGGTTTAGGTGAACAGGGGTGTCAGTGTGATGAGTCTGGCCATCCACTAGCCAGTCTGTGGCATCAGCCAGAGAAGCACTGCCCTGAAGGACACCCCTTCTCCGAGGACCGGCACACTCTGCAGTCTGAGAGCTGTGAGTGTCTGCACCAAGGCCACCTGAGCACCCTTGCGACTGAGATCCCCAGCGGCTCGTTTCCTGGTCCACAGACTGGTGAAGAGCACACGTCTTCTGCAGTAGACACTGTATATTAGTTTTGGGTGGCTCATCTGCTTTAATGTCATTGGATCAAAGTCTGCAAACAGAACAGACGTTAACAGGGAGGATGATTTCTCCCGCCAGATTCTGAGCTCTGAGCCCTACCCCGCTGTGTGTTCCAGGTTATGAGCACAGCCTCAGCCCTCGCAGCTGCTCGCGGGTTTGCCGAATGAACGTGCGCTGTAGACACGGGCACTGTAGACACAAGGGCACACCCTGAAGACGAGGTGTTTCCTCATTGTGCGGGCTTGGCTGTTATCCTTACTGTAGTGTTACATCGTGGCAAACGGCCCTTTGCTTATACTCACCTCATTCACTGACTGTCATGGTTTCACCATATCCCACTGTCTGTTTTTCATCCATACTTGGCCTTGCCTGTTACCCTTTACTGTAGGGTTACATTGTGGCGAATGATCGTTTGCTCATACTCACCTCATTCACCAACCGTCACGGTTTCACCATATCCCACTGTCTGTTTTCCCCTCGTACTTTGCCATTCCTGCGCATCTCCGTCATGTTCTGCCTGGGGGGCCACAGGGTAACTCTCACAGTGTGGACCCCGAGGGAGGAGCGCTTCCTGGCTTCCCATCCCAGGCCACCAGCACAGACAGAACCAGGACCCAGAGTCCGCAGCCCTGGAGACGCCCACTGCAGCCTCTGACGGGCATTTCCCCTGAAAGCGCTTGTGGTTTCACATGGTTTTATTTTTCTGGTTGGCATCCTAAACTTAATGAGCTTTAAACATCTAGAAAATGAGGATTTGTTTTACTGCCTGTAAACGTTGAAACCGTAAGGTGAGGGGAGTGATACAGCTGCAAAACCAGAGGACAGCTGACAGCAGGTGAGCTTTCTGCACCATGGCTCCCCGGGTCCCATGTCCCTGAGCAAAACCTTTCAAAGGGAGCCTCTCCAGGGGGCCACAGAGCAGCATCAACCACAGGGCAAGAGCCATGCAGGGGCTGTGAGGTCCACACGAACCGTCCGTCAACTCCCAGTGGGGCCCACCTTGTCCAGGGACCTGCACTGGCTGGCGTAGTGTGAGGGCCGCCCCATACTGACCGACAGTGCAGTGGCCCCGATCATGCAAGGCAGGGAGGGGGGAAATACACAAACACCCAAATGCGGAGCCTTGGGTGAGGCCACCGGTGCTTCCCAACACGCATGTACTTGAATTGCCTGTGCATGGAATGTGCTTAATTTGAATATGAACAGGTGATTATAATGCAGACAGGGACCCTAGGGTAGGAGTGAAGGGGACTAGCTTTGAGGGACTGGCTGGTGGGCATGGCCAGGACCGTGGGGTGGGGGTTGTGGGAGGAGACAGGGAGCCACACAGCTGTGGGGCACTTGTCCACAGGGACAGGACCAGTCTTGTTCAGAGCTCTGTGGCTACCAGTCAATCAAGCATTTGTTTTATTTTTTCATTAAAAAATACTCGTACTTGGCCAGGTGCGGTGGCTCATGCCTATAATCCCAGCACCCTGGGAGGCCGAGACAGGTGGATCATGAGGTCAGGAGTTCAAGACCAGCCTGACCAACATGGAGAAACCCCGCCTCTACTAAAAATACAAAAATTAGCCAAGCATGGTGGCACACACCTGTAATCCCAGCTACTCAGGAGGTTGAGGCAGGAGAATCGCTTGAACCCGGGAGGTGGAGGTTGCAGTGAGCCAAGATTGAGCCACTGCACTCCAACCTGGGTGACAGAGCGAGACTCCATCTCAAACAAAAACAAAAACAAAAAACCACTCATACTTGCTTAGATAAAAAAACAAAAACAATCTCCGACAATCTCACCACCCAGAGACAACCCCTGTTACTGCCTGTTAACACACAGGTGCTCTCTGCCTGTGCTGTGCACACTGGCACGCAGGTGTCACCGCTGTCACGCCAGCACGCGGGTGCCACCACTGTCACGGGCATGCAGTGTCACCGCTTTCACGGTGCTTTCTGCTCGGCTTTGCCACTTAAAACATACAACGCACATTTCCGTGACTTTCCACCTTCATCCACAGAATCATCCGTGACTTTCCACCCTCATCCACAGCATCATCCGTGACTTTCCACCCTCATCCACAGCATCATCCGTGACTTTCCACCCTCATCCGCAGCATCATCCGTGACTTTCCACCCTCATCCGCAGCATCATCCGTGACTTTCCACCCTCATCCGCAGCATCATCCGTGACTTTCCACCCTCATCCGCAGCATCATCCGTGACTTTCCACCTTCATCCGCAGCATCATCCGTGACTTTCCACCTTCATCCGCAGCATCATCCGTGACTTTCCACCTTCATCCGCAGCATCATCCGTGACTTTCCACCTTCATCCGCAGCATCATCCGTGACTTTCCACCTTCATCCGCAGCATCATCCGTGACTTTCCACCTTCATCCGCAGCATCATCCGTGACTTTCCACCTTCATCCGCAGCATCATCCGTGACTTTCCACCTTCATCCGCAGCATCATCCGTGACTTTCCACCTTCATCCGCAGCATCATCCGTGACTTTCCACCTTCACCCACAGCATCATCTTAATGGCCCCACAGTCTTTCATTCCAAGGTATTTTCTTTTCGTTCTTTCTTTTTTTCTGAGACAGTGTCTCGCTCTGTTGCTCAGGCTGGAGTGCAGCGGCTCAATATCAGCTCACTGTAACCTGTGCCTCCCGAGTTCAAGTGATTCTGGTGCCTCAGTCTCCCGAGTAGCTGGGACTACAAGCACGCACCACCACACCCAGATACTTTGTATTTTTTGTATTTTTAGAAGAGATGGGGTTTTGCCATGTTGCCCAGGCTGGTCTCAAACTCCTGGCCTCAGGCAATCCACCCGTCTTGGCCTCCCAAAGTGCTGGGATTACAGGTTTGAGCCACCGTGCCTGGCCTCCGTAAGTATTTTCTTTTTCTTAAATTACATCCCACTGGTGAGCAGGTTGTTTTTAACGGTTCATGCTGAGAGAATATCCTTTAAGGTAAATTTCCAGAATTACAATTTCTGGGTGAAGTTAATGAATATTTTTAAGGCTTCTGATACAACATTGCCCCCCTGAAGCCTGCACCTATTCATCCTTCTATAAACAGCACTGGCCACTGCCACTCCATCATAAATAGAAGAAGCACTAGGTTTTTAAAAAAACGTCCACTTACTTCATAGCTAGTGACGCTGGAAATTTTTCTTGGGCTAAATAACTGCTTTTTTCCCCTTCGCTGATTTTTTTCCCCTCTAGGGATATTAACCTGCATTTTTCATATTGATTTGAGATATTTTTCCCGTATTAAAAATTTTGTGTCAATGTATTGCAAATATTTTTCCTGTCGTGTTTTTGCCTTCTAATTTTGTTTACAAGGTTCTTTGACCTATAGAAATTTGAATCTTACGTTAAGTAAATTATTTTTCTTACTATTCCTAATTCATTTTCATGCTTCTAAAAGCTTGCTAATCTAAGATTTGCCTCTATTTTTATCATAGTACAAATACCCCTCACCTTATAATGGGGTTATGTCCTGACAAACCATCTTAAATGGAAAGCATTGTAAGTCAAAAATGCATTTAATACAGCTAAGCTACCAAACATTATAGCTTAGCCTGGCCAACCTTAAACGTGCTCAGAACACTTAGATGAGCCTGCAGCGGGGCAAGATCATCCGGCACAAAGCCTATTTCATCATAAAGTGAATACCTTACATAATTCATTGACCATGGTACTGAAAGCAAAAATCAGAAGGGTTGTGCGGAACTCGAAGTACAGTTTCTAATGAATGTGCATTACTTTCACAGCATCATAAAGTAAAACAATCTTATCGCACTGCTGTGAGCCAGGACCGTCTGTCCCTCTGTTCACATGTGTCTAGAGAAAGCCTCCTGTGCACACACAGCCCTGTGCTGGGAGCTGAGATGGAAGGAAGCTAATGCAGGACATCCTTACCTGCCTCTGAAAATCAACAGCACACGTGGGTGTGGGAAGCAAATGGACACCCTTAGGGATTTGCAAACTCCTCCAGATCACTGACCTCGGGGGGGTCCTTCGTCGTTTCTTGCTGTTCAAGGCAGCTCATGCCAGTTCAGGACATTGCTGAATCCTAGCAGGTTCTCCCTTCGGCTGAGTCAAAATCTGCCTTCAATCCTGTCTACACATGGGTATGGACTCAGAGCTCTGGAACAGTCAAAGAGCACCCCAATGGCAGGCTGAGCTGGAAGACCGGAGGCCCCATTCTCAGGCTCTCTCAGCCCTTCTCTCTCCTTCCTCCAGGATCTCCTGCGTCTCCAGAGAATGACTTACTATGGGATGAGCAGACCTTGGGTAGGGGCTGGGGAGTGGCATCCAAGGCTGGAAAAGTACCAACCTCAGAAAGGCAGGAGAAATGCATTTGCAGGGCACAGCGAGCTGTAAAACTCAGGGCAGAGAAGTCATGTAAAGAAGGAACGTGGACAAGGCCAGCCACGCCCCAGTCAGGGTTCGAGTCTTTACCTCAAAGCTTATTCAGAGAAATGGGCCAACTTCCAGGAATTGACATACTTACTAATTATTACAAACTTGGATGAATTAAAATGATATTATAATAAACACTCTAAGAATATTAATGTCATGGTGGCACTTAAGACGTCTGTCTGGGGTGGGAAGAGTTTTTAGGAAGTGATAAGAGCTGAGACCCAGCGGTGACCCCAGGAAGGGGAGGGAAGGGCAGGTACAGGGAGAGTCGCTGGGGAGAGGAAGAGATGGCCCCATGAGGAAGCCCCAGGGGGAGTCGCTGGGGACAGGAGGAGCACAGCCTTTCCACACACACTCAGGACCCGCACGGCCTTTCCACACACACGCTCAGGACCCGCACGTCCTTTCCACACACGATCAGGACCCACACGGCCTTTCCAAACACAGTCAGGACCCGCACGGCCTTTCCACACACAGTCAGGACCCGCACAGCCTATCCACACACACTCAGGACCCGCACGGCCTTTCCACACACAGTCAGGACCCGCACGGCCGTTCCACACACACTCAGGACCCGCACGGCCTTTCCACACACAGTCAGGACCCGCACGGCCGTTCCACACACACTCAGGACCCGCACGGCCTTTCCACACACAGTCAGGATCCGCACGGCCTTTCCACACACAGTCAGGACCCGCACGGCGTTTCCACACACACTCAGGACCCGCACGGCCTTTCCACACACAGTCAGGACGCGCACGGCCTTTCCACAGTCAGGACCCGCACGGCCTTTCCAAACACAGTCAGGACCTGCACGGCCTTTCCACGCACACTCAGGACCCGCATGGCCTTTCCACGCCACACGCAGGACGCGCACGTCCTTTCCACACACAGTCAGGACCCGCACGGCCTTTCCACACATAGTCAGGACCCGCACGGCCTTTCCACACACACTCAGGACCCGCATGGCCTTTCCACGCACAGTCAGGACCCACACGGCCGTTCCACACACAGTCAGGACCCGCACGGCCTTTCCACGCACACTCAGGACCCGCACGGCCTTTCCACGCCACACGCAGGACGCGCACGTCCTTTCCACACACAGTCAGGACCCGCACGTCCTTTCCACACACAGTCAGGACCCACACGGCCTTTCCACACACAGTCAGGACCCGCACAGCCTATCCACACACACTCAGGACCCGCACGGCCTTTCCACACACAGTCAGGACCCACACGGCCTTTCCACACACAGTCAGGACCCGCACAGCCTATCCACACACACTCAGGACCCGCACGGCCTTTCCACACACAGTCAGGACCCGCACGGCCGTTCCACACTCAGGACCCGCACGGCCTTTCCACACACACTCAGGACCCGCACGGCCTTTCCACACACAGTCAGGACCCGCACGGCCGTTCCACACACAGTCAGGACCCGCACGGCCTTTCCACACACAGTCAGGACCCGCACGGTGTTTCCACACACACTCAGGATCTGCACGGCCTTTCCACACACAGTCAGGACCCGCACGGTGTTTCCACACACACTCAGGATCTGCACGGCCTTTCCACACACAGTCAGGACCCGCACGGTGTTTCCACACACACTCAGGATCTGCACGGCCTTTCCACACACAGTCAGGACCCGCACGGCCGTTCCACACACAGTCAGGACCCGCACGGCCTTTCCACGCACACTCAGGACCCGCACGGCCTTTCCACACACACTCAGGACCCGCACGGCCTTTCCACACACAGTCAGGACCCGCACGGCCTTTCCACGCACAGTCAGGACCCGCGCGGCCTTTCCACACACTGTCAGGACCCGCACGGCCTTTCCACGCACACTCAGGACCCGCATGGCCTTTCCACGCACACTCAGGACCCGCACGGCCTTTCCACGCACGCTCAGGACCCGCGCGGCCTTTCCACACACACTCAGGACCCGCACGGCCTTTCCACGCACACTCAGGACCCGCACGGCCTTTCCACGCACACTCAGGACCCGCACGGCCTTTCCACGCACAGTCAGGACCCGCACGGCCTTTCCACGCACAGTCAGGACCCGCGCGGCCTTTCCACGCACAGTCAGGACCCGCGCGGCCTTTCCACGCACACTCAGGACCCGCACGGCCTTTCCACGCACTGTCAGGACCCGCACGGCCTTTCCACGCACAGTCAGGACCCGCGCGGCCTTTCCACGCACAGTCAGGACCCGCACGGCCTTTCCACGCACACTCAGGACCCGCGCGGCCTTTCCACGCACAGTCAGGACCCGCGCGGCCTTTCCACGCACAGTCAGGACCCACGCGGCCTTTCCACACACTGTCAGGACCCGCACGGCCTTTCCACGCACGCTCAGGACCCGCACGGCCTTTCCACGCACGCTCAGGACCCGCACGGCCGTTCCACACATGCTCAGGACCCGCACGGCCTTTCCACGCACACTCAGGACCCGCACGGCCTTTCCACGCACACTCAGGACCCGCGCGGCCTTTCCACGCCACAAGAGCATGAAGTAGTCGGGGATGTTTTTATTTCTTCCTGCAGTTTAATAACCAGCTGATTTTACAAATATGAATAAATTATTGGCACCTTATAAATGGTTTAATATCGAAACGGTTTCTATATTAAAGTCATCAATTTGCTCCCCTTTATATTAGTTGTAAGGTTATATGTGTTGTTTTGGTTGCTGAAAAAAAATAGAGCCTCTGTAAAGTACAGCATATTTGTAAGAATCTGCCTAGAGATATAGGCAAATGTGTTTGTTTTCAATATTAAACAAAGATAAACAGTCTATACAATGTAACTGAGGTACAGAATTTATTATATAGCAACAAAAGTTGTTAGAGCAATTCAAGGTGTCTGATGAGTTTGCACTTCTCTGTAAAGTCACCAGTGGTCTAATGGGGAAAGACACCATCCTTCCTCTTCCTACCTGTGTGTGGATGTGGGCGGGAGGCTCATGACATGCGTGGATGTGGGCAGGAGGCTCATGATAGTCTCCCTCAAACACCCCTTCCTACCTGTGTGTGGATGTGGGCGGGAGGCTCATGACATGCGTGGATGTGGGCAGGAGGCTCATGATAGTCTCCCTCAAACACCCCTTCCTATCTGTGTGTGGATGTGGGCGGGAGGCTCACGACAGTCCCCCTCAAACACCCCTTTCTACCTGTGTGTGGATGTGGGCGGGAGGCTCATGACATGAGTGGATGTGGGCAGGAGGCTGACGATAGTTCCCCTCAAACCCCCTTCCTACCTGTGTGTGGATGTGGGCGGCAGGCTCATGACATGCGTGGATGTGGGCACGAGGCTCACGATAGTCTCCCTCAAACACCCCTTCCTACCTGTGTGTGGATGTGGGCGGGAGGCTCATGACATGTGTGGATGTCGGCGGGAGGCTCGTGATAGTGCCCCCTCAAACACCTAGTTTAAGTATCTCAACTACATTAATACCACATTTTAATATTTAATGTGAGCGTACGACACAGCTGTGTTTTGTAAAGCTGTGTCTGTTTAGGTGAACGGGAAGGGAAAGAGACCTGATGGGCTTGCTGGCCCCTTAAAAACGGCAGCACTCTCTGAGCAGCACACTGCTGAGGTGACTTGGCAGGAGCAAGTGGCCGCATCTCCACCCTGCAGCTAATTTATCTCACCATGAGTTCCAGAAAGATAAATGAATGCTAAGAATATTTAAAAATATCTCTAAGGAAGGCGACAGACCATGGTGACCATTCTTCAATATAATCCAGGTCACATCCAAAATCCAAACCTGAGATGATGCCACAAGATTCCAAAGGCACAAGCAGGACATGGATGGGGAAGCAGCCAACGTGAGGTGGGGACTGATACTGGCTGGTGCTGAATCCATCAACACGCTCCACCGCATACACAATGGGTTGGCTCCTTTGCAAAGCCATCATGAGTGTAAGACAGCAGAGCATGGGCACTCAACCTCCGCACAGCGGCCATGAGAGCAATGCAGCTCTGCTGGGCACTCAACCTCCACACAGCCACCATGAGAGCAATGCAGCTCTGTGTGGGAACTCAACCTCCACACAGCTACCATGAGTGCAATGCAGATGTTAATGGGAACTCAACCTCCACATAGCTACCACGAGTGCAATGCAGCTCTATGTGGGAACTCAATCTCCAAACAGCTATCATGAGTGCAATGTAGCTCTGTATGGGAACTCAACCTCCACACAGTTACCATGAGAGCAATGTAACTCTGTATAGGAACTCAGCCTCCAGACAGTTACCATGAGAGCAGCGCAGCTCTGTGTGGGAACTCAACCTCCACACAGCTACCATGAGTGCAATGTAGCTCTGTGTAGGAACTCAATCTCCACACAGCTACCATGAGTGCAATGCAGCTCTATGTGGAAACTCAACCTCCACACAGCCACCATGAGTGCAATGTAGCTCTGTGTAGGAACTCAATCTCCAAACAGCTACCATGAGTGCAATGCAGCTCTATGTGGAAACTCAACCTCTACACAGCTACCATGAGTGCACTGTAGCTCTGTATGGGAACTCAACCTCCACACAGCTAACACGAGAGCAATGTAGCTCTGTATAGGAACTCAGCCTCCAGACAGTTACCATGAGAGCAGCGCAGCTCTGTGTGGGAACTCAACCTCCACACAGCTACCATGAGTGCAATGCAGCTCTGTATGGGAACTCAACCTCCACACAGCTACCATGAGTGCAATGTAGCTCTGTATGGGAACTCAATCTCCACACAGCTACCATGAGTGCAATGTAGCTCTGTATGGGAACTCAACCTCCACACAGCTACCATGAGTGCAATGTAGCTCTGTATGGGAACTCAATCTCCACACAGCTAACATGAGTGCAATGTAGCTCTGTATAGGAACTCAACCTCCACACAGTTACCATGAGTGCAATGTAGCTGTGTATGGGAACTCAACCTTCACACAGCTACCATGAGTGCAACGCAGCTCTGTATAGGAACTCAGCCTCCAGACAGTTACCATGAGAGCAGCGCAGCTCTGTGTGGGAACTCAACCTCCACACAGCTACCATGAGTGCAAAGCAGCTCTGTATGGGAACTCAACCTCCACACAGTTACCAAGACAGCAATGTAGCTCTGTGTAGGAACAAAACCTCCGCACAGCTACCATGAGTGCAATGTAGCTCTATGTGGGAAATGAACCTACACACAGCCCCCATGAGAGCAATGCAGCTCTGTATGGGAACTCAACTTCCACATAGTTGCCATGAGTGCAATGCAGATGGGTATGGGAACTGAACCTCCACACAGCTACCATGAGAGCAATGCAGATGTGTATGGGAACTCAACCTCCACCCAGCTACCATGAGAGCAATGCAGCTCTGTGGGGGAACTCAACCTCCACACAGCTACCGTGAGTGCAGTGTAGCTCTATGTGGGAACTCAACCTACACACAGCCACCATTAGAGCAATGCAGCTCTGTGTAGGAACTCTACCTCCACACAGCCGCCATGAGAGCAATGCAGCTCTGTACAGGAACGCAACCTCCACACAGCCGCCATGAGAGCAATGCAGCTCTGTGTGGGAACTCAAACTCCACATAGCTACAATGAGTGCAATTCAGCTCTGTGTGGAACTCATCCTCCGCACAGTTACCATGAGAGCAGTGCAGCTCTGTATGGTAACTCAACCTCCACACAGCTACCATGAGTGCAATGCAGCTCTGTATGGGAACTCAACTTCCACAGAGCTACCATGAGAGCAATGCAGACGTGTATGGGAACTCAACCTCCACACAGCTACCGTGAGTGCAACGCAGCTCTGTATGGGAACTCAACCTCCACACAGCTACCATGAGTGCAATGCAGCTCTGTATGGGAACGCAACCTCCACACATCTACCATGAGTTCAAAGCAGTTCTGTATAGGAACTCAACCTCCACACAGCTACCGTGAGTGCAATTCAGCTCTGTATGAGAACTCAACCTCCACACAGCTACCATGAGTTTAAAGCAGCTCTGTATGGGAACTCAACCTCCACACAGCTACCGTGAGTGCAATGCAGCTCTGTTTCAGAACTCAACCTCCACACAGCTACCATGAGAGCAATGCAGATGTGTATGGGAACTCAACACCCACACAGCTACCATGAGTGCAATGCAGCTCTGTATGGGAACTCAACCTCCACACAGCTATCATGAGAGCAATGCAGATGTGTATGGGAACACAACCTCCACATAGCTGCCATGAGAGCAATGCAGATGTGTACAGGGAACTCAACCTCCACACAGCTACCGTGAGTGCAATGCAGCTCTGTATGGGAACTCAAACTCCACACAGCCGCCATGAGAGCAATGCAGATGTGTATGGGAACGCAACCTCCACACAGCTACCATGAGAGCAATGCAGATGTGTATGGGAACTCAACATCCACACAGCTACCATGAGAGCAATGCAGATGTGTACGGGGAACTCAACCTCCACACAGCTACCGTGAGTGCAATGCAGCTCTGTATGGGAACTCAAACTCCACACAGTTACCATCAGAGCAGTGCAGACGTGTATGGGCTTTTGACTTCCACACAGACACCATAAGGGAAATGCAGCTCTGCCGGGCACTCAACCTCCACTCAGCCACCATGAGCACAGTGCCCATGGCGTGGGCATTGAGCCTGTCCCATCTGCACTGGACACAGGAGCTGGTGCCAGAGTCTGGACCCTGTTTCTATGGGCAGCTCAAGGGCTCGGAAGTTAAGCGCTGCCTTGTGTCTTTCCTGCCTGGAGTCACTTCACGTCCCCGAGTTTGCTTCCTTCCTATAGGGCAACCACTAGCGATAATGACAAGCAGTGCACTCTAAGCACGCTCAGTTAATTTTACAACAATGCTGAGGTAGGTGTTACAAGCATCATTACACTGATCAAAGAAAAAAAGCCTAGAAAGTTTCAATAACTTGTGTTTGAAACAACATCTGTCTGATTCCAAAGCATGAGCCCTTCACCACCCTCTGTGCATTTTCCTGAAGTGGGGTCATTCCCTGTCCTGCCCATCCCTCAGGGCTGCTGTGCACTGATCAGACGTGTTAACACACATGAAGGACTATGACAACCAAGGAATTACATCCACACAATGTGTTTTCTTAAGACAATAAAGATGGCTTATCAGATTAAAATGTGTACAACAGAAAAACTTATGCCAAGTAATATCAAAAACTATTTTCAACAAAGGGAGAGAGAGTGAAATCATTTGTTTATTTTGTC
This sequence comes from Homo sapiens, assembly GCF_000001405.40. NCBI lineage: Eukaryota > Metazoa > Chordata > Mammalia > Primates > Hominidae > Homo > Homo sapiens. The sequence goes on along the minus strand of NC_000008.11, from coordinate 1,345,441 downwards.
ATAGACGTAGTTTATTTAGATTTGGCAACTCGGGCAAAATGGGGGAAACTACATGCAGTGTACTTATTCTCAACAGCAGAGGAAAGAAATCTAACAAGTGTGTTTGGCGAAGAGAAACAGAACAACCGCACACTCTGCTCTGAAGGAACTGAACCTCCATCTTAAGCAGAGAAACAGACCGCACACTCTGCCCTGAAGGAACTGAGCCTGCACCTTCAGCAGAGGATACAGTAGTGCTCCTCAGAACTCTACTTCACAGAAAATGTACTGGGCCCTAATGAATTTCCTTGGTCTCAACACTGTACCAAAACCGAATTATGTCATTTATATAAGCAGCTAAGCTAATTGTTCCCGAGTCATGAACTTTGCAAAGGGCCAGATAACTGAGCTTTCAAATGATTCCTCTGAAAGATGAATGGTCCCAATATCAAATTTGGAAGGACTTTTATTGAAAGTGATTAACTGGCGGTCTAGCCCTCTGGTAGTGCCTGGTGATGTTGAGTCCTCTTCACCAAGACCCTGTCCTTTGACCGGAAGTGGAATATTTCGGTCCAGGAGGGAGGCCAGCCTTCATAGTCCAGTCTCTCATTCATTAGTTCAACAAACATGTGTTCTGTACCTGCTGTGAGTCAGACACACGCCCAGTCCTGCACAGATGCCTCAGTTACCAGTGATCCCCAAGGAGGAGTGCAGAAAATGGAGCCGAGCACAGCGTTAAGATGTAGCGGATAGACCAGTGTGGGGTTACGGAGGAGCGCGGGAGACTGAGTGGAGAATGAGTGGAGCCCAGCGTTAGGATGTAGCAGATAGACCAGTGCCGGGTTTTCCTGAACACAGAGGTACATGCACTCTTAGTCTATCATAGGAATTACTCCATAGAATCTCTGTGACATCCTTATGGAGAAAATGTGAATATTCCGATTTTACAGATAGGGAAACTGAGGCACAAAGTGCTTCAGTAACTAATGTCAAACAGGTGAGTCTGAGTCCCGACTTTTACCCACATGGCCACCTAATCTGGAGAGCAGCTGCTCAGAGAAAGTGACACTAGACCTCTCTGGAGGATTCACAGCTGTGTCCCGGCCATGTGCGAGGTGTGAGGGCAATGCAGGTGGCACCCTGAAGGCTGTTGTCTGCACAGACCCGCCAGCCACCCACAATGCCTGGGCACGTAGCTCGAGGGGAGACTGGGCGAAGTGTGCAGCTACAGATTCTACACGGCACAGGCCCCACGACAGGGCCCCGAGTACACGGACCCACGACAGCGCCCCGAGTACAAAGACCCACGACAGGGCCCCGAGTACACGGACCCACGACAGGGCCCCGAATACATGGACCCACGACAGGGCCCCGAGTACGACATTTGCAGGCATTACTCCATTACTGTAAAGACAGGACCTGTTTATTCTGTGAATGAACCGGAAACATCTGTGAATAGGACGTTGGTAAATGCAGGTCTCCTCTGTCCGCCATGTTTCTCTGTACACCTGCCCTCGGCCAGGAGGGAAAGCCCTGATATACCTCACCTGGCAGGGAGCTCGCACCCGTGAGAAGCGTGAGAGGGCTGAGCTCCCCCTACTCCCTGGAATTGGAGCATCATCTGCTCTGTCACGGGTGGACGTGCAGGGAGGATCTCGTGCCACAGCAGGCGTGAAGCCCACAGCACTGCCCCCGCCTCTTGGAGAGGCCTCCGTTCCACTGTCGTGCACATCGGAGCCTCTAACACCCCCCACGACCCCCCAGATGCAAACTGCTCCAAAAGCTGACTGCGGAACCATTTCCCTGTTTTTATCAAGGAAAAACAGGACGTGCATTTACTTGGCATGCAGTAAAGGGTTAATATTTCCAAGAAAGTTCTGGTTTTGACCAGCGCCTCTGGGGTAACCTGTTGGCCTTTGGGGCTTCCAGCCTGAGAGAGTCTTTGCTTACCTGGGCCCTGGGCCATGTGGTGCCAGTTTTCCCTCTGAGGGAGCTGGAGACCAGGCATCTAGGCTCAGTCACTTGGGCACCCCAAGCCTACATGATGGACCCCAAGAAAACCCCAGGACACAGGCTCGTGGGCAACTCCGGTTGGCCGTGTCTGTGAGTCTTGTCCTATGTATGTCACCGGTGGGACATTAAGCACTGCCTGTGTGACTCCACGGGAGAGACACCTGGAGGCTCAGGCCTGGTCTGTCCTGAGCCCTGCCCTGCGCACCTCTCACCGTGGCGGACTTAATCGGTGCCCTTTTGCTGTGCTAGACCATAACCATGCACACTGCTTTTCTGTGTCCTTCTGGCATATCCTGAGCCTCCAGGTGGTCTTGGGGACTTCTGCACGCTTGGTGAATAATTAAGCACCATCTACTAAGGACTGGCCAGTGTTTGTGTCTCCGGTTTGTGAAAATATGAACAAAAAGTACAGAAATTAATGTGGCAAGAACAGATTTCTCAATAATCTCTGTGCTCCCAGCACCCCGCACCCATGCACGACCATGTGCCAGAGGCTACAATTACGGAAAAAGAGAAACAGCTGGTGCCTGGCACCTGGTCTCACGGCAAAGACGGCAGAAAGCAGTTTAGAAGGAAAGCAAAAGGTAAGGGAAAGAATTGTGACTTGGAACTTAGAAATACAGCGCTAAATCACAGGAGAAATGACAAATAGGCACCACATGAGTCTTTCCGGCACTTCAACACACACACCGCATTTCACAAGCTTGTTAATTTTCGTTTTGAAGTTCTGCTTAGTCATTTTCAATTAATGTTAAGAGAGGAATATAAAGTTAGGGATGAGAAATAACAGAAAATTCAGCATTCGCATGTGATAACGCACTTGCTGAAATGCCAGCACGGTGCACAGCCAGCCTTTGGCACTTGTACCTGTCAGGAATCGAAACTTACCCTACCACAAATGTACAGCAGATGCGACTGAGCCGCACGGCCCACAAACCCAAACTATTAACTACTTGGCCCTTCACAGAAAAAGTTAGCTGAACTGTGCTCGGTACCATTCAATAACAACAGAGTGGGTCAACACTATGTACACTACAATGTATTACATGTAACTTAAAATCGGAAGACCTGCCATACATCACAAATTAAACGCATCATCTGTGGGACCCAGCAATGCACTAAATTGCTGGAAATAATATGTGAGGTTGGGAGGTTTGCAATCCAGTCTCTGCCTGAAACAAGTCACTTAAAACCTCACAACCTGGCCAGGTGCGGTGGCTCACACCTGTAATCCCAGCACTTTGGGAGGCTGAGGTGGGCCGATTGCTTGAGACCAGGTATTGAGACCAGCCTGGGGAAGCAACATGGTAAAACCCCATCTGTACAGAAAAATCAGCTGGGGGTAGGGGCACCTGCCTGTTGCCCCAGCTACCTGGGAAGCTGAGGTGAGAGAATCACCTCAGCCCAGAAGGTCGAGGCTGCAGTGACCTGAGATCACACCATTGCACTCCAGCCCGGGTGACAGAGAGAGATGCCGTCTCAAAAAATAAAACAAAGCAAAACAAATCAAAACAAACACAACAAAACAAAACCTCAGACCTCAATTGCTTCACCCGCAGGCTAGAATCCCACAGTGCATGAACTGATTTCAGCTCCCATAAGCTACAGGTCCATGTTCTGTAGGCAATGTGCCAGGGCCTGCAGATGGAGGGACCCTGCGGACAGCATTCCTACTGCAGCTGGGAAATGACACCTGCTAGCACACCCTGCTAACGTGCCCAAAAGGGCGGGCAGTGATGGGAGACACCAGAGGGTCAGGGGCTCATCTCTGTTTCCCTAGGAGCCCCTCTGGTCAAGACAGCCCACAAGTTCATATTTACCTGCAAAGATTATGGGGAAAACGACACAGAACTAACTTTTGTACGGGGTCAGCCACAGTCATCTCCTTCCCATCTCTGATTTTTTTGAGACATGGCTTCAACTAACTCATCCAGCCCATACTGTAGGCAGAACTGCTGATGTGGGTATTCCATTAAATACGCCTATATGTGTTTCAGAGAGGAGTGATTTATGAAGCTAACGTTCAATAACAATTTGGCTATGAATAATTTCTGGGTAAGATCTAATAAAATTAAATGTACTGCAAAAAGAAAGTATGCCAAAAGGACTGCACGTCTCTGTTGAAAAATGCTGGGGGATATGAAACACGCTTATTTTTCAAACAAAAGGAGAATATTTGAAAACTTATTTGATATGTATCTCATTTTTTAACTTTGATTTTACATTCAGGGGTCCATGCGCAGGTGTCTTTCATAGGTAAACTTGTGTCATGGGGATTTGTTGTACAGATTATTTCATCACCCAAGTATTAAGCCTACTATCAATTAGTTACTTTCCTGATCCTCTCCCTCCTCCCACCCTCCTCCTCCCACAGGTCCCAGTGTGTGTTGTTCCCCTCTATGTGTCCGTGAGTTCTCATCATTTAGCTCCTACTTACAGGTGAGAACATGCAGTATTTGGTTATCTGTTCCTGCACTAGTTTGCTAGGGATAATGGCCTCCAGCTCCATCCATATCCCTGCAAAAGACATGATTTCATTCTTTTTTATGTCTGCATAGTATTCCATGGTGTACATATACCACATTTTCTTTATCCAATCTACCATTGATGGCATTTAGGTTGATTCCACGTCTCTGCTATTGTGAACTGTGCTGCAGTGAACACACATGTGCATGTGTGTCTGTGCATGTCACAGAAGGGTTTCTATTCCTTTGGGTCTATACCCACTAATGGCATTGCTGAGTCCAATGGTGTTTGTCTTTAGGTCTCCAAGGAACCACCACACTGTCTTCCACAGTGGCTGAATTACTTTACACTCCCAGCTAACAGTGTGTAAGCATTTCTTTCTCTCCACAACCTCACCAGCATCTGTTATGTTTTCACTTTTTAATAACCGCCATTCTGACTGCTGTGAGACGGCATCTCATGGTGGTTTTGATTTGCATTTCTTTAATGGTCAGTGATGTTGAGCTTTTCTTCAAACGACTGCTGGCTGCACATATGTCTTCTTTTGAAAAGTGTCTGTTCCTGTTGTTTGTCCGCTTTTTAATGGTTTTTTTCTTACAAATGTGTTTAAATTCCTCATAGATGCCAGATATTAGACCTTTGTGGGATGCATAATTTGCAAAAATTTTCTCCCATTCTGTAGGTTGCCTGTTTGCTCTGATGCTAGTTTCTTTTGTTGTGCAGAAGCTCCTTAGTTTAATTAAATCCCATTTGTCAATTTTTGCTTTTGTTGCCATTGCTTTTGGTGTCTCTGTCATGAAATCTTTGCCAGTTCCCATGTCCAGAATGGTACTGCCTAGGTTTTCTTCTGGGATTTTTATAGTTTTGGGTTTTAAAGTCTTCAATGCATCTTGAATTAATTTTGGCATATGGTGGAAGAAAGGGGTCCAGTTTCTGCACACGTCCTGCCAGTTCTCCCAGTACCATGGATTGAATAAGGAACCCTTTCTAAACATAAGGTATTTGAATGATTTTCTCATGTACATTTAAGCAAGATCACGATACTAGCTGTTTGCACAGCTTCCTGTCAATATACACATATTTTGTCTTTGAATCACAGGATCCCAGAGATAAAAAAATAAGTTCCACCTTTTATCTATTATCAGAGCTTCTCCTAGAGAATTCCTTCCAGCAGTGCTGAGCCATCGCCTTCCATGCTATTTGGAGTATCTGGATCTAGGAACACACAGCGCAGGGCAGGTGGCTCCTCTGCCCTGATGCGCCCGGGTGAGACTTCGCCTCTGAGACTCCGGATCCCCCTATTAAACGAAGGTCACAATGGCCAAAAGAATGCACAGGATTACATGAGATAACCCATGTGAAGCTCCTGTTACAGATTCTACATCAGAAAACATGGAAAAAAATAATACACTGAGAAATACTGAAGACTACTTACGTGACACGGAAGCTTGTTCCCACTGGGGGTGTCAGGGGACAGTGCTGCGGTTCCAGAATGGAGCTCACCAAGGGAGGGTCCCTGTGTGCTCCAGGCTCCCGAGGCTGTCCCAGGAATCACCTTCTTGCTGATGCCTCACTGAGGTCACTGCATTCCCTCCAGGGTCCTGACGCCTTACTGAAGTCACTGCATTCCCTCCCGGGTCCTCATGCCTCACTGAGGTCACTGCATTCCCTCCCGGGTCCTGATGCCTCACTGAGGTCACTGCATTCCCTCCCGGGTCCTGACGCCTCGCTGAGGTCACTGCATTCCCTCCCGGGTCCTGACGCCTCACTGAGGTCACTGCCTTCCCTCACACGTCCTGACGCCTCGCTGAGGTCACTGCCTTCCCTCCCGGGTCCTGATGCCTCACTGAGGTCACTGCATTCCCTCCCGGGTCCTGACGCCACGCTGAGGTCACTGCCTTCCCTGCCAGGTCCTGATGCCTCACTGAGGTCACTGCATTCCCTGCCAGGTCCTGACACTTCCCTTAGGTCACTGCATTCCCTGCCAGGTCCTGACGCCTCACTGAGGTCACTGCATTCCCTGCCAGGTCCTGACGCCTCACTGAGGTCATTGCATTCCCTGCCAGGTCCTGACGCCTCACTGAGGTCACTGCATTCCCTGCCAGGTCCTGACGCCTCACTGAAGTCACTGCATTCCCTGCCAGGTCCTGACACTTCCCTTAGGTCACTGCATTCTCTCCCAGGTCCTGACACCATGGTACTTCCCGTTCAGTCTCCACAGGGTGCGTACCTCATCCTGCAACGTGTCCTGGGCTCACTCTCTCCCCATTATGGGACCGTATGCTCCTGATACTGTACAGATCGTGTCTTTAGTTTTTGGTTTGTTTTAGATTTTTAAAATAAAGACATAATTAAGATATAAAATTTACTCTTTCAAGGTTTACAACTTGGTGGTTTTATATATTCACAAAGGTGTGCAAGAATCACCGCTATGTAATTTCAAAGGATTTGCATCACCCCAAAACATATTCTGTATCAATCAGCAGTTACTCCTTCCTTCCTGCCCCCAGACCCAGGCAATTTAGTTTCTGTCTCTACAGATTTGCCTGTCCTGGACATTTCATATAAATAGAATCATGCAGTAGGTGGACTTGAGTCTGGCTTCTCTCATTTCACATAATATTTGCATCTGTATGTGGTGTGGGCTCCATCATACGTGTGGCCTGCACTTTATCCCTTGGCCAGCAGATGGGCTAATGGGGAACATCTGCTGTTTCCATTTTCTGGCTAAGCAATGCTGCTGTGGACACTTGTGTGTGAGTTTCTGTGTAGACATACGTCTTCATTTCTCTGGGATGAATGCTTAGGAATACACACACTGGGTCATAAGGTAACTGTCTGTTTAACTTTGTGTGGAATTTCCTAACTAAACCACATGGCTGCACCATTTTACGTGCCCATGGGCTGTCTCTGAAGGGCCTGGTTTCTCCAGTCCTCAGCAATACTTGTCATTGTCCATTCTTCAGTGACAGCCGTCCTAGTGGGAATGCAATTGCATCTCATCTTGGTTTTGATTTGAATTTTTGTAACGACTCATGATGTTGAGCTTCCCTGTACTTAGTGGAACATTTGCAGGCCTTCTTTGGAGAACTGTTTATTCAAGTATTTTGCCCATTTTTAATTTGACTGGTCTTTTTCACTGAATTGGAAGAATTCTTTATATAACCCAGACACTAGAGTCTTCTCAGATAACTGATTTGCAGATATTTTCTACCATTTTATCGGTTGTATTTTCACTTTCTAGATTGTGTCTTTTGAAGCACGAAAGATGTCAATAAAGTTTGTCTGTTTTTATCCTTGTGTTGCTTATGCTTTTGGTGTCACATCTAAGAAACCACTGCCTAACCATTTTTTGGGGGGATGAATTAATGCATGAATCAATGAGGAACCCAAGCATGCCATCTTCCTCCTCCTCTTCATCACCACCACCATTATGATCATCATCATCATCATCACTATCATCAGCATCACCATCATCATCCTCATCACCACTATCATCCCCATCCCCATCATCCTCACCATTCTCACCATCATCACCATCATCATCATCACCATCACCATCATCCTCACCATCACCATCATCACCATCATCCTCACCATCACCATCATCATCACTGTCATCCTCACCCCCATCATCCTCACTATTACCATCATCACCATCATTCTCACCATCACATCATCCTCATCATCACCATCGCCACCACCACCATCATCCTCATCATCACCACCATCATCACCATCATTCTCACCACCACCATCATCCTCATCATCATCACCATCATCACCATCATTCTCACCACCACCATCATCATCATCACCACCATCATCACCATCATTCTCACCACCATTATCATCCTCATCATCATCATTATCTATTTCTTCTTCACCTCCTCCTCCTCTCTATCTTCTCATCATGTCACACACTGTCATTACTGGTTACTATGTACTGATCACCAATGACTATTCTAGAGACTCATTGCCTCTGCTCCTCACTCCCATATGGTCAATAATATCTTCATTTTAGGGTGGGATAACTTGTACTTAGAAAATATGAATTGCTCAATGTCATTTTGCTAGTGAAAAGCATGTTTTTCTGATTCCAGAATCAATACCTTTTAACTACTCCTTAAATTCCTTTGCAGTAAACATTAGGAAAAATGTGTGTATGTATTAAATGAACAACAGCTCTTAAGTAGTTTATTAAAAGAGGGTGAGAGGAGCCCACTGCTTTCACTAGTAAGCTGAGAGGTCACTGAATGCATCTGTCTTATTTAGGGGTGAGAAAAGAGTGGCTCAACAGAAGCAAGACACGTTCCTTGAGGGGCCCCAGCCTGTTCCAGATGCATCGGAGGTGCAGAAGCCACAGAGGCTGCTGGTGTCCAGGCCCCTGTGACTAGTCTGAACCAGTTGTGCCAAGCCCAGACCCCAGCCAAAGTCCTTCCTGTGCTGGGAAAGGCTTCCGGCACAGAGTTGCGTGTGTTTCAGTGGCACACTGGAACGTCCTCATAACGGACGTCTGTAAAGACGAGGGAAAGAGCCCAGACTTCTACCGGCCGGTTCTTGACAGCCTGTGGATGCACGGTGCCTTTCCTCCTCCTCCTCGCCACTTTTCCTCCAGCTCTTTCCTTCCTTTCTCTCACCACCCCTCTCCCTTCTTCACTTCCACCCTTTCTTCCCAGAACGAAGGTGCTTCAGATCTCAGAGTTGCTTGACTGTTTCCATGCTAGCATTGAATCAGCATCTTCAAAATAAATCCAGTTAACAAAAATAGTTACATTCAAAACCATTCATTGAATACATTATTTAATGCTCAGAACGAATCCACAGAAAGGAGGGACCCATGGGGTCACCAATGTGGGGAGGAACAGGGTGGTCTTGGATGCAGCAGCCAAGACTGCACATGTGGAGGACCAGGCTTGACATGAGACGGGCTGAACGCCCAGCACCGCTCAGAGTTTCTTTATATTGTGATGTTTTCCCCCCTGGAGCTCTTTACCGGAAAAAGCACAAAGCCCCAGTTCTATGGGCCCTGATGCCTCCCGCGTCACCACGCGCAGCCCCGGCTCTAGGGTCCTGATGCCTCCCGCGTCACCACGCGCAGCCCCGGCTCTGCCACACTTTGCTTCCCTTAGTTTCCTTTTAGCCACATTTTCTTATTTATCTGAAACTTGTTTTATTGCACCACAATAAACCCACTCTGGAACAAGGAAGGACATAAATAAACATAGCAACAAAACACATAAATCATACTCAGGGTTCCCTGGGCGTCCTGCGTCCTGCACAGACAATATGTGTTCTTCCTGGATTGCTCTCGACTTTTCCTCCATCCATCAAACTCCTACTCATACGTCATGACCAGTCCAAAGCTTCCCTGCTTCCAGAAACTTCCACCCAGCACCGCACCCTGCCCTACCAACAATCGCCCTCCTCCTCTGAGCTCATTTAGCAGTTGGCACGTCTTTCTGGGCCATCATGTCCGATATTGCAACGTGATTATTACCCATTCCTCCAGAGGAAGCACACTGTCCCGTTTGGTTTTGGGTCTCTGGACACAGCATAGTGTCAGCCCACAGAACACACTCATGTGTTGCTGAGTGTGAACAGGACTGTCTTAGAGTGAAAATGTAATGCCAAACTCGATTTTCTAAATTCGTTGTCCACAGTGACCAGCTGAAGGTTGTTTCTCCAGCAGCATCCTCATTAGGCCGCCCTAAAGAGTCCAGCCTTCTGGTCACAGCTGGTTTGGAGCTCGAAGCCTCCTGATGGCTTCGGTGTAGACTGAGAGAGAAAGGCCACACTACCTCTGCTTTGTCGCTCCCAAGAAATCCAGAAATTATCTGGGCAGTGACTCAACCACCGTGTCTTGGATGAGGAGTTCCCTTCTGCAGAAACGTCAGACCATGGTTCCTAGAACTATGGTTTGCCCTGAATTTCTAGACAATGCAGCAACAGCTACGATTTACTTAGATGCTTATAAGATTTCTGTGTTTTTAAGGCCTGCTGGAAGTGCCTGCGAGGGCTGGGTCCCGGGATACTGCCTGATGGGAGATGGCAAACTTGTGCCCCGCAGGGAGGGCCAAGGCGGGGAGGAGAAGAAAGAACATTCAGAGGAAAGAGGCGAGAGAGGCAAGACAGCCGTGTTAGTGAGGCAATTTCGTGTCTCTTCCTTTACAGCGTGTCAACACATGTATCATGTATTTACCATGTTACATTATGGCTTCTCGGTGGTATGAGAAATAGCTTCCATGTGGTGCTACAGAAGGCACACGGCCTGGCTGCTGTGGAGGTGTTTACCCTGGAGTGCCGAGAATGCCGACGTGGATGCCACACTGGTCATCCCACCGGAGTCCATGCATGGCCCACGGTGGGTGCATGTCTCCACTGGGGGGGTCGAGGGCAGGTGGGGAAGGGCCCACCTCTCACACTCACATCTGCGTGACTTCCTCACTGGAAGCAGCTTTAGGAATCATACCAGTGGCTTTTACAGAAGATTTAGTGGAACGAAAAGTAGGCCTGAGAAATCCACAGCACGTTCCCACAGCACATATTTACAGAAAATTCACCGACTCCTTGACATATCCACCATTTGATGTGGTTGGTTTTGTTGATGTCATTTTTGGGTTGGTGACAGGTGGATGAGGGCCGACGCCAGGAACGCTGGGTCACAGTGATGGCTCTAAGGGAGCTGCCAGGGCTGCATGGGGTGGCAAATGCTGACTGCCATGGCTTCTCAGCTTAACCAGCTCAGGTGTGCAGCCAAAAGCTGTTGATTTTCATCACAGGAAACATTTCCTTTGCTTTCAAGGCAGCCCATCAGAATGTCCAGAACCTCACTGAGGAGCTCTCAGACTCACTGGCATCACTGTGTGTCACTCTTTCCAGTCCAGGCATGAGCTGTTTGGGGCTCTCAGGGGCACAGGGGTCTCTCAGTGAAATCTGGACTCTGTGGGCCTTCCTCACGCAAGGAAGCCTCTTCCCCGGCATGGTGCCCTCAGTTGCGGAGCACGTGGCTCTCGCCGTGTTGGCCCCTGTGCCACCGCATATGCGCCTTCAGCAGCCCAGGGCTGAGCCTCAGATGGGAGGCAAGGATGCACCTGGGATCTGACTTTCTGTTCCCCCTGCTCTGCTAGATCTGAGCTTCTGTTCCACCTGCTCTGCTAGATAAGTTCGGGTGGAGATGGACCACCCTGTGTCTTACCTCCTCTAAAGAAAGTTCCCCATTAAAATTGGGTATGAGAATAGGTGAGAACCATATGAAACTGAATTTGAGACGAGTCTCACATATGCAAGTCCAGACCTGCCTGGAGAGCCCGCGGTTACATCGGCACACAAATTACCTCCGAGTGCCTTTCTCACGCCACAGTCGCTGCCTATTATGAGGGCTTGATATGGGCTCCACAGTGCTCAGGCAATGGAGGTGTCCGGATGAACAAACCCTGCACACAGGACTCACGGGAGGAGAAACGGGGTGTGAACCCCTGTCTGTGGAAGAGCTCACAAAACATCGCTATTTAGACAATCTGATGACGGGATGGGAAAGTGTCAGGGACGAGATCACAGTTGGATAAATGAAGACGGCCCTGGACATTAGAATATGGCAGCAAAACCTCTTCAACCTCTGCTTCCTCCTCCCCAGGGAAGGGAGACAGGGAGACGCCCACACCCCAGCCCTGCCCGTCCCCGTGTCCTGAGACTCGAGGTGCCATGCTCTGCATGGCCTACCATGGGCTCTGCTCCCCTGGCCAGGGTAGCAGTGGGTTTCTCCTTCCTCCATCTCTGTAATGTGCCAGAAGACAGTCTGCGGAGGCTTCTGGATGGTCCCTGATCTCTCTCCTTGTGCTCACGCCTGCAGCCGGAGGTCCATCTGCTTAGGAGGAACAGACCGCCCGGAGGCATGAAGAGCCTGACCTCCTCCAGACACCATCGCTTTCAACACCTCGGGCGGTGTCACAGGGCTGCCCCTGCCCTGATGCTCCACACCATTCGAGGAAGGGGGGCCTGACGAGGCGGCCACATGCTTGTGGAAGGGAGTAGGCTTGCTGCTGGGGGCTCTCTGAGGAAACATCAGCAAGTGGTCCCACTCCCAGACACACCCAGAGCTTTCAACACACGTGTCTGCTGCACCCAGCAAGAAGCCCACGTATTTTCATTCATCCCGGCTACGCTGATCTGATGCTTGGTTATGAATGGTCCAGGACCCTAGAGAGCTACCTGCAGCCTCAATGGCTTTTCCAGGTCTGGGGCGTGAGAGGTGAGGCTGAGCTCACCAGTGACTCAGACGTGAATTCTGAGTGCTCCTCGCGGCTGCAGGTTGAGCCTGTGGAGGCCAAAGGCCAGCCAGTCACTTAGACGTGTGACCTGGAGGGGGTGAGTGTGCTTCTCAGGGCATGTGTGACAGCCAGGGGCAGGGAAGCTCCGTCATAGCAAGTGTGTGTGCATCTGTAGGAGTGTGTGCACAATGACACACACGTGCAGATATGAGTACACAGATGTATCTACGCTCACACACACACATGCATATACTCATGCAGACACATGTGTACACAGACATATATACACTGACACACGCATATACTCACACATGCAGACACACACTAACACACATGTGCAGATATGTGTACACAGATGTATACACACACACAATACATGCATATACCCTCGCATACAGACACACACACACTGACACACGTGCAGATATGTGTACACAGATGTATATAAACACATATACACATGCATATACTCACATATGCAGGCACACTCACACAAACCATCACAAGCACACAATGCAAATAAACGCAAATACGCTCACATTCGCACACACACACTCACACACACCCCCATTTCTACACCAGGACACATTGACTGCAGCAAAGGAAGGTGGCTGTTGGGGATGGGCTGTGCCAGGCCATGGAAACCCCTCACAGAGGGCTGCACCCCAACACTGGTTCACCAGCAAAAGAAAGAAGGCGCTGCCGTGTGCTGCCAGCCCTGGCCCACCCTGGGGCTGTTCAGGGGGTTGGCAGGAGGTGGCTGTGCCCTCCCCAGTGGCTCCCTAGGGATTGTTTGCTGACACATGGCTCCCTGACCCCAGTGTTGCTCTACTGGGAAGGTTGCAGGCCTGAGAGGAGGGATCCACAGCCACTCTCCCTCTGCTCCTGCCTGTTCACAGATCCCAGAAAGGTGCTTGGATTTACACGTATCTCAGAGATATGAGAGAAGGTGTGCCCAGCCCATAAGCAAAACAAGACACGTTTTAAACGTCGGAAGGACCCTTCTATAAGTGGGTCATCTTTCACATCCGGGATATTTTTACCACGTTTGTCGTATACCCAAGATGTTGACACCAAACTGAGATTAACACAAAAGAAGCATCCAAGAAAAACACAAGACGGATTATATTATTAAACACCGAGGTGGATGAACAGCAAAGACTCTAAACGCAAAGAGTTTACAAACACTGCCCAGATCCGTGTCCCTAAAAAATCAGAAAAGGCTTCCCTGGGCAGGAGGAGTCTGTTGTTTGCCCGGCATGGTGCCTGGAAGGAGGGCAGGTTTGCAAAGGGGAGGGACGGACACATTTCAGGCTCGAGTCCGTAGGAAAGGCCAGCGACCTGCCCACTAGCCCACCCTGGGCTGTGAAACGGGTGTGTGAGGACACTGTGCAGCCAACCCACCCAACCAGCATAACCCCAGACACTGTGGCTTCCAGGACCTCTGAAGGAATTTGCGGCCTTAGTTATGGCACACAGTATGGCTTCAACTAGCACATCAGTGCCACATCGCTGCATTTCTACCTGTCGACTAAGAATCCACTTCCCCCAGTGCACTGTGACGGCCATTTGATTATTAACACAGATGAAAGAAAGCGTGCATGAGTACCCAGCAGGCAGCTAAGCCAGCTAGGAGCAGCCCGTCCTCCCTGGCATTGCAGTCTCTTCACGCTCCTGTGAAGCGGTGCTCCCACCCAGAACTCAGTCCCCATGAAGCGGTGCTCCCACCCAGAACTCAGTCCCGGTGAAGTGGCGCTCCCACCCAGAACTCAGTCCCACCCAGAACTCAGTCCCCATGAAGTGGTGCTCCCACACAGAACTCAGTCCCCGTGAAGCGATGCTCCCACCCAGAACTCAGTCCCTGTGAAGCTGTGCTCCCACCCAGAACTCAGTCCCACCCAGAACTCGGTCCCCGTGAAGCAGTGCTCCCACCCAGAACTCGGTCCCGATGAAGCGGTGCTCCCACCCAGAACTCAGTCCTGGTGAAGTGGCGCTCCCACCCAGAACTCAATCCCACCCAGAACTCAGTCCCCATGAAGCGGTGCTCCCACCCAGAACTCAGTCCCACCCAGAACTCGGTCCCCGTGAAGCGGTGCTCCCACCCAGAACTCGGTCCCCGTGAAGCGGTGCTCCCACACAGAACTCAGTCCCTGTGAAGCGGTGCTCCCACCCAGAACTCAGTCCCACCCAGAACTCAGTCCCCGTGAAGCGGTGCTCCCACCCAAAACTCAGTCCTCGTGAAGTGGTGCTCCCACCCAGAACTCAGTCCCACCCAGAACTCAGTCCCCGCGAAGCGGTGCTCCCACCCAGAACTAGTCCCTGTGAAGAGGTGCTCCCACCCAGAACTCAGTCCCACCCAGAACTCAGTCCCCGCGAAGCGGTGCTCCCACCCAGAACTCAGTCCCTGTGAAGTAGTGCTCCCACCCAGAACTCAGTCCCACCCAGAACTCAGTCCCTGCGAAGCGGTGCTCCCACCCAGAACTCAGTCCCTGTGAAGTAGTGCTCTCACCCAGAACTCAGTCCCTGGGCGTCAGCACCACGGCCAGCACCTGTTGGCTCCTGCCACCACCTCCTCACTCCCACAGCCACACCTCTCGCAGGGGCAAGATACAAAGAAACCTCGACCCCACATGAGGGACTGTGACCCACCACAAACATGGGAAATGGAGCAAAGCCACTTTAATGGACATCCGTTCTGTCCCTGGGGTCCGCAGCTCACTCAGTCCCAGCCACAGTCAGACAAGCAAGTGAATCGGATGGGGAGAGGAAGCTCTGGGGTTCTACTGCACGGCAGGGCGGCTGCAGCTTGCAGCAATGAGTTGTGCACTTCAGCAGAGCTAGAAGACAAGGTTCTGAAATATCCTAGGCCTGTTTGGTATGAGACACTTGGTGGAAAATCCAGCCCCAGTTTGATAGGGCTCACAGCAGTGCTAACTTGGGCTCAGGCAGGTACAGCCGGGGCTAATGCACCCCAAGCCCCAGGGTCTCTGCTGTTAGAAGGTGACCTCACGCACGGCTCATCTTCATTCACCCCCATGGTCTCTGCAGTTAGAAGGCAACCTCACTTAGGGCCCATGTTCATTCCCCTCGGCTACCCCAGGACCCGGCACAGAACCAGGACGGAGTAGTCAGTAAGCATCTACCGAATTGAACTTCCCCAAATAGAACTCACTTGCTCTTTGAACATGCACACACATGCACACACTCTCTAAATGAAACTCTTGGGAAGAAATGATAGATTTGAAAAATTTCAGAAATCATAAAAATAATATTTTGGTCTAAAATGACCTTCGAAAAACGGATCTAGCTGAATCTAACCAATTAATTAATAAAACATTGAAATGGAGTATGAATTCTAAATGAAATGCCATTTAATCTCAATCAGCCAGAAATTTCAGGAATGCAGCACTCTCTGGTGCACTTGTGCGATTACTGAGAGTAAACTTCATTCCATGAAACAATTTCAGAAATTAAAGATACTTTTAAAGACTGACTAAAAGACATTGTTTTTAATCCATAAAGGTTTCTTCACATCTCTTGAGAACTCCAGGCTGATCTGGGCCCAGTTTGGTGCATACATTTGAATCTGTCACCTTCTGAAGACTTTTCTTCCCACTCGTCGCTTGTCGCTTGTCACCTGTCGCCTGTCGCAGTTTAGCCAAGTCATCACGAGAGCAGCACACATGTGCCCAGCATGTGGACTCTGCCTGCAGATCTAAGGCTGAAAAGTGCCTTCCACGCATAATTCATAACACAGCTACTCAGAGTGTTAGTGCTGCAGAGGATCAGACCCTTCATTATTTCATGCCATTTCCTGAAAGCTTCTACCACATTTCTCAGCAAACCACCGAAGTGTGTACATGAGCATCTGTGTTCGGCCTTTCTCAGAAACACAGCTCTGCATAAACACCCCGATACGTAAGCGGCATCCCGACATTTCCGCCGTCTCCCGTTATTATGGGAAGCTTAGTTCATTTTGCTGTGGTTGTTGTTCTGTCTTTACTACGAGTTTTTAAAAAGAATGAATAATGACGATCACTAAATTTAAGAATATTAACTGTAAGGCCAGGTGCAGTGGCTTCCGCCTGTAATCCCAGCACTTTAGGAGGCCAAGGCGGGCAGATCACCTGAGGTCAGGAGTTCAAGACCAGCCTGGCCAACATGGTGAAACCCTGTCTCTACTAAAAAAAACCAAAAAACAAACAAACAAACAAAAAAACAAAAAAACACACACAAATTAGTCAGGCATGAGCCTATAATCCCGCTACTCGGGAGGCTGAGGCAGGAGAATAGCCTGAACCCAGGAGGCAGAGGTTGCAGTGAGCCAAGACTATGCCACTCTACTCCAGCCTGGGCGACACAGTGAGACTCCATCTCAAAAATAATAATAATAATATTAACTGTACAGCACTTTGGGAGGCTGAAGTGGGTGGATCACGAGGTCAGGAGTTTGAGACCAGCCTGGCCAATGAGGTGAAATCCTGTCTCAACTAAAAAAATAAAAAAATTAGCCAGGTGTGGTGGCACATGCCTGTAGTCCCGGCTACTTGGGAGGCTGAGGCAGGAGAATAGCTTGAACCTGGGAGGTGGAGTATGCAGTGAGCTGAGATCACACCACTGCACTCCAGCCTGGGAGACAGAGTGAGACTCTGTCTCCAAAAAAAACAACTATAAAAAGGCCCTTGTTACAGAAACACAGTCTCAGCCTCACCCATGAAGTCTAAAGGGCTCTGCTCTGCCTCCAGGGCCCAAAGACACAAACCAGCAATCCCTGTGGTCTTGTACAGTCTGAGGAAGATCCATCAGAATTAATGAAAAAGTGGAGAATGGATTCATTTACAAGCACGTCATTTTATTTATTTATTTTTTTGAGACGGAGTCTCCCTCTGTTGCCCAGGCTGGAGTGCAGTGGTGCCATCTCTGCTCATTGCAAGCTCCCCCTCCTGGGTTCAAGCCATTCTCCTGCCTCAGCCACCTGAGTAGCTGGGACTACAGGCGCCCGCCACGACGCCCGGATAGTTTTTTGTATTTTTAGTAGAGATGGGGTTTCATGGTGTTAGTCAGGATGGTCTCGATCTCCTGACCTCGTGATCCACCTGCCTTGGCCTCCCAAAGTGCTGGGATTACAGGCATGAGCCACCATGCCTGGCTCACCATGTTTCTTTACACTTGCAAGAGATTTAAACTTTTTAAAAAGGTCAAGTTCAACTTCTCTGGATCTATTTTCCACAAGCTATAGCAAGCAATAACTAAATGACGAGAAGTCACTAAACCAATAAAAGACAAAGGAAGAGATGGAATGATGACTCAGGCATACATCATTCTCATGAGCCCAAAATACTCTACAGAGACTAATGACCTTTTACATGAAACCCACTGCAGTCCCCGTGGAGCCACAGGTGTGGAGCTCTGAGGCTGTGCAGTGGAGGGTGGGCCCATCACATCCGCCTTGGCCAAGGGACCCTGGTTGGTCACTTAGCTCAGCCTTACCTGTAAAATTGCAAAGAAATACACAGCAGTGTTAACGTCCTAAATGGTGAAATGTGAGACGCCTCGGAACTGTAATCTCGCTCAGTGTCAGGAGGATGGAAGGCAGGCTCCGCTCTCAGGAGACGGCTGGGCCACGTGGAACCAGGGCTCTGCCTCCAGGGGCCTGCCCGGGATTTTCGCAATGGAAACATTTGCTTCAGAATCACTGCCTAGGCCTTAGTTCACCCTCATAGCCCAAGGCCTGTGTCATTGCTCAAGACATTTTATGCTGGCTAAAGAGCACGGCTGATCTTATGTAACAGTTTTTTCCACTTTTTCTCTTCTCCCTGTATTGTCACTGTGTTTACATGTTTCCACAACAACATATACTACAACACCAAAGGGAGGAAGGTACTGTGAAAATGGGATAAATCAGAGTCATGTGAAGAAATGAGAGATGGAAACAGCTGTGAACTTAGTCTCTCCAGTTGGAAAAACAGGAAGAAGAAACTAAGGTTCAAGCATGTTCTTTAAAGGTTTTAATTTCCCAAATGGAAAGCTCCTGTTCACTTGACAAGCCCAGACCAAGACTAAGAGCTCGCCGTGTCCTGAGTGACAGGCCCAGACCAAGACTGAGACCGAGCACGCGCCGTGTCCTGAGTGACAAGCCCGGACTGAGACCGAGTGCGTGCCATGTCCTGAAAGACAGGACCGGACCGAGACCGAGTGCACGCCGTGTCCTGAGTGACAGGCCCGGACCGAGACCGAGCGCGTGCCATGTCCTGAAAGACAGGGCGGCCCAGAGCTCCTTTCCTTACATTTCTTCCTTGCTCATCAGTGAGTCAGTGGGAGAGAGTTTTGTTAGAATGTGGTACACTGTGAAGTGATATTAAAGTACTTTTTTAGTTCAATATTTCCACTGTTCCAGGAAGAACAAAATATATGTGCAATAGTGAAATACAGATTGTCTAATTTCACTGATTCTGCATACAAGTTAAATGCCCTTTTATTTTTATTTAAAACTGCTGTCACACAGTATAAAGACAAATGGTAAAAGCATGCTAATAGTTAGACTTCCAATCTTTATTCAAAATAGCATTAAGGAGCAAACAAAAAATACCATAGCAAGTCAAGAAACCATCGAAGAAGAAAAAAGCTGTATAGTTGAGTCCACTTATGGCCATTTTTCCTGCTTATTGAACAAATGGCCCATCTTTTCATTCTACACTGGGTCCTGAAAACCAGATGGCTAACCCGGAGGCAGAAACTCACATTCCCATGGGCCTTATAGCTTACGGGGGAAGATAATGATTAGACCTGTAGTTACCACTACAATAAAGATTACAAAATAGAAAAAGGAGATCAAAACAGAAGACTGTGGCTGGAAAGCCATCTCCATGGACGGTCCTTGCAAAAAAACGATCCAAAAGGAGCTGACGACAACTCTTGATACAGTAAATTAACATTTCACCCGTCTCAGGAAAACAGACCTGAGTCTGTCATTTTTCTTTGGCAAGCGGTACCAAAGTTGCTTTAAACTCTCTAGCAGCACACGCGAGAGGAATAATGAGAACCCCGCCAATCACTGCTGGAGGCTGCTCCGTTCAGGCCCTGTAGGGTATGCTTGTGTCCCCTTAATCCTTTCAGGGGAGATCCCTTTTGCATCCCAAATAAAAGCAAACGTTAACTAGATTTAATTTGGCCTGAGCTAGCAATGTATGCGTACAAAGTTTTTTACAGATAAATCCGCCGAGCACCCCAAATCTTGAAACCATGGGAGGCAGTGAAAGCTCACTTCAAAAACGCGCTACAGCAGCCGGGCTGCAGGGTCGGGGGACCACACCCAGGGACCAGGGCTGCTGGAGGTGGGAGGACGCCCCCTGCAGGCAGATGGCTGGACACACAGGCAGCTTTAACTCTAAGATGCTAAGTTGTTTGGGAACTTCCTTGGTCCAGGAAAGAAAGCTTGGTGAGACCATCGGACATCTCACTCTTGGGGTCGTGGAATGACTGTCTCATTGCGACATTGAACATCTCAGGACAGCCTCGCTGAGAAGACCATCCGCTACACCAGCTCTGGGGGACTGGGGGAAAGTGACCCTGCAGAGGTGAGTTTTAAACTAAGACTGGAAGACAAGAAGGTGAGTGTTGGGTGAGGTGGAGGCCAAGGATGCCAGGCAGAGCATCCATCGGTTCAGGTTGAGAGGTCTAAACTGAGAGAATGATCTGGCCTGGGGAAGTACAGGGGTGGTTTCGGATATTTGTGAATCCGTAATTCTCATCCCGAGTCTGCCTCCAGGGCAAGGCTGAGCCAAGCAGGTCAGCACGATCTGGAAGACGAGGCTTGTGGAGTCTTCCTTTATTCTTGTGCTCTCTGCAGCAAGAAAACAAATCAGCTCCGTATTTCACGGGACTGCCAAGATGAGTTTCATTTTAGATGCTGTGACTCCCGCTCCTCTGATATTTTAGGAAGAAAGACAGGAACATGGAAGTCGTGCCTGCCCAAATATCTCATATATGTTAAGTCCTCAACAGTTAAGGAATTGTGAAATGGCTGAAAAGGACATGGCTCAAGGACACAGGAATCAATTCCAGTCCAAAGGCGCTTTTGAGAGGATAACACTTGTCCTTACATTGCAAACCACGCAGCTTAAGAAAACCCTATGGAGAATGGATGTAACACTGTGTCCTGGACAGTTTTACATCCTGAGCAATGTGTTAATGGGTAAGATGATCTGGGAAGAAGGTGCCTGCTCTGCCTGTGGAAACATGTCGCTTGAACGCTGTGGAAGAATTTCAGACAGTAACGCAGACGAAATCATGTGCATTTTATAAAGGCCAGCTGAAACATCAATCTAACTTTCTTACAGTGTTGTAAAGTCAAACTCAGGACTAAGTTGAGTCAGTACAGAAGAGATAGGATAGGAATGTGCTCTCTGGGACAAAATGGCCTGGAGCTCAATGAAAACTCTGTTGTTATTGAATTACAAACACCATTCTGTTCTTATGGGGGCAGAGACAGTGGTTTGTCCTAATTTGGGAAAGACTGAATCATGTTTGAAGCAACTTAAGAGCAAACAGTCCATATTCAAAATACAGACTTTGGGGGTCGTCTTCCTCCCCCTTCAATGGACGCTTCTTATTTCACTAAGCCAGAGGCCCTAGAGACATAGCTTCAGCCTTTCCGGTTGGATATCACAGCAGACCAGACGCACACTTCAGTTGCCAGATGAATCTGGTGTAAAGAAACAGCAACTTCTTTACTGTGTCGAAACGCGCCACATTAATCCTATTAAATAACAGCTGGGCTTTCCGAATGAGGCAGAGCATAAATAATAAACAAATAATTAGGAAACGTGATCCATGAAATGCCCTGGTTTCAGCTAGTAGTACAGCCAAGCCCTCAGCTCCAGGAACAGGTGGTTAGGAAAGGAAACACGATGTGAAACTCTTTCTTCAAAGATCCAAATAAAAAGGTGTCCTGGGTGGCACAGGCAGCGACCAGTCATTGGAGCGGAGGCAGGGCTCCTGTCTCACCTGGCAAGTTTGGGATTGTTCTAGAATAGGGTGCTAAGGATAGCTGCCCAGAAGAGGCCACAGGGCATTGGGGCATTGCTGCCCGCTCCGTATCTGCATCCCCGTACAGCAGGAGCTGCTGCTGCCTGCCCCACGTTCGAATCCTGGTTCAGCAGGAGCCATTGCTTCCCGCACTACACTCGCCCTGGTACTGCGTCTGCAACCTGGTACAGCAGGAGCCACAGTGTGGGGTGGGAGGAAGAGCTCCCTTGCCATGGTTGTCACGTAAACTTACTACCGGGGCCACCCAGACTCAAAGCCAGAAGCGGTTTAACCACCTTTCCTCCCGGAGGATGTGCATCGTGGTTGTTTAAAAAGCCTTAAAACTTGTGAGTTTCAGGCCGGGTGCAGTGGCTCATGCCTGTAATCCTAGCACTTTGGGAGGCTGAGGCGGGTGGATTGCCTGACCTCAGGAGTTCAAGACCAGCCTGGGCAACACAATGAAACCCTGTCTCCAGTAAAATACAAAAAGTAAGCCGGGCGTGGAGGCTGGTGCCTGTAGTCCCAGCTACTCAGGAGGCTGAGGTAGGAGAATTGCTTGAACCTGGGAGGCGGAGGTTGCATGAACCGAGATCACGCCATTGCACTCCAGTCTGGGTAACAGAGCGAGACTCTGTCTCAAAAAAAAAAAAAAAATTGTGAGTTTAACAGTGTCAACATCTACTAAGCACTTATTCTATGGGGCATGGAGGGGACAAAGGTGAATTTTAAAAATAAGACAACTTACAAGGAGTTAATAATCTACAAAGTGAGGCAGACACTCCGATAATAGTACACAATGATTATAATAATTATGCACTGTGACAAATGATACATCATAGAAACCTACAAATATAGGACCATTAAAGAGGAAATTATTAACTCGGCTTATCAGAGAAGGCCCTGATGCAGGGGGGAGGAGCCGATCTGATCTATGTTTCCCAGGGCAAGAAACGCAGGGAATCATCTTAGGCTGAAGGAACAA
The DNA here is from genome assembly GCF_000001405.40 of Homo sapiens. Lineage (NCBI taxonomy): Eukaryota > Metazoa > Chordata > Mammalia > Primates > Hominidae > Homo > Homo sapiens. The sequence continues at coordinate 1,322,704 of NC_000008.11, read as the reverse complement.
CATGTGTGAAGTCACAGAGGCAGGACGCAGCACGATGGGTGGGTGCATGCATTTCCATGGAACAATACACGTGAAATCACAGAGGCAGGAGACAGCACGCCAGGTGGGCGCACACATTTCCATGGAACAATACGTGTGAAATCACAGAAGCAGGATGCAGCACGCTGGGTGGGTGCATGCATTTCCACAGATCAACACGTGTGAAGTCACAGAAGCAGGACGCAGCATGCTGGGCGGGTGCACGCATTTCCACGGATCCACACGCGTGAAGTCACAGAAGCAGGATCCAGCACGCCGGGTGGGTACATGCATTTCCATGGACATTTCTCTATTAATACATGTCCTGATTTGCCTTTGTTGTATTTATTGTGGTAAAGAATGAACATTTTAAGTTTGAGATTTCGAAGTTTTTTCAGTATGCTTGGCTTTTAACTAAAATTGTATTTTTGGAAAATATGAAATACTCGAATTTCTATTAAATGATGTACATCTGAAATATTTAGTGGCTAATTAATTCAAAATTAAAGAATTCACCTATGTTGAAGGAACAGTTTGCTAGAAAAAAATAGGTATTCACTTAATATCAAGTTGGGACTTTTTTTTAAATCATTAGTTCACTGTTATCTAGGGTTTCTGCTAATCTGTTGGCTCACTTACAAAATTAAAACCCATTGGAGATTACAAAAGATATAAATTCTAATCTCTAGAATTTAAGCACGCTTCAGGGCTTAAGCTAGATTTTAAACCACAACATAAAATTAAATGCCTGTATTTACTGAATCAGTTTGTTTGGTTGCTCTGTAAGCTGCAGAATGGGTCTGAGAATATTAATTCCACTAATTGGAAACAAAGAAAGGAACCCTTGTTTATCCAGAATCCAAATAATCACCAAGCACATTCTTTGCCTTAGAATTCTAATTACACATTTTCCCCTTTAGAATTCTAAAGTCAGAGAATCACTAAATTTTGGATGTTATAAATGGGGAAGCCGAGTTCTAGAGAAAATCCATTAGTTCTATGCATGTGATTTTAAACATCCTGATAAGAGCTTCAATTCCTTTCTAATACTAAAGGTGAAAATGAAAAAAAGTATCCTGATGTAAAAGCAATTATCCGCTGAATTCCTGTGAGCTGTGGAGGAAAGTCAGCTCAGGACTTAGAAGGCAGAGGCAGTGAACAAGTCCTCCCATGACAGCCAAGCAGCATGGTGGTCACGGACCATGCATACGCACATGGATGCGGATGCACGCACACATGCAGAGACGCATGGATGCAAGCACACACAGACACATGGATGCATGCACACATGCAGAGACACACGGATACACATGCACGCACATGGTACGGATGCATAAGCACATGCAGAGACACACAGACACACACGCACACGCAGAGACACACAGATGCACACAGAGACACACAGATGCACGCACACGCACATGGCACAGATGCACGTGCACATGCAGAGACACAGATGCACACACACATGCAGAGGCACATGGATGCACGTGCACACGTAGAGACACATGGACGCAGACACATACGGGCACGGATGCATGCACACATGCAGAGACACATGGATGCACACACACACAGAGGCACATGGATGCATGCGCACACACAGAGGCACACAGATGCATGTGCACACTTAGAGACACATGGATGCCTGGGCACAGAGGCACACGGATGCCCACACACACGCAGAGGCACACGGATGCACGCACACATGTAGAGGCACAGGGATGCATGCACACACACAGATACATGTATACACACAGATACATGCACACACATGCCCCTACACACCTGTGCATACAGACATGTGCACACACACACGAATGCAAACACAGAGAGAAACACACGTGCACACACAGACACACACAGGTGGCAGCACCTCCAGCCTTGGCTGTCACAACACTGTTCTTGTGGGGCTATGGCTTGGGGGAAGACCGCAGGAGTTGGAGAGGTCTGGCCATGACTGGGGTGGGTGTGCACAAGGTGCTGGGAAGTGGCAGCTGGTTCAAAGCTAAGAGAGGTGAGAATGTCGTGCTTGGGGACACCTGCAATTAGTCCCATATGACCAGAACTTAGAATATGTTCGAGAAGTTGAGAGAGCTGAGCATGAAGCACCAGGCTGAGCTCAAGCACAGGGGTGGTTATCACATCACGTGGGACCCACGGCTCTGTGCCCGTATGTTGCCCGTTCACCCGTCTGCCCGGCTCCTGATGCCTTCCCAGCCTCGGCAGACAGACACCCTGGGCTCCACGCACCCACCCTTTTTCACTGTGTCCCGTCCTCCTCCTCCGGTCCGGCTCCAGGGTTCAGTGTCATCTGTAGGATGCGACGCTACGGTTCCCTCGAGTCCTGGCCTCTTTCCTGGACTCCAGGCATCTCCTGGTAGCTGCCACCTTGTGTCTGCTTGGATCTTTACTACACTCAGTGGGGCTCAGGAAGAACACATAACTTTCCCCTGCAAATCATTTCATCCTTACCCTTCCCCATTTCCGGAAACAGTGCCACCATGACTAAGGACTCAACACTCAGCTGGAACACAGGCCGTCCCCTTCAGCCCTCCTCTTCCTCACCTCACTCTCATGGTCTCTACTTGCAGAATGCACCCAGAGCCCAACCACTCCCGAGTTCCTCAACTCCCTGGGCCCAGAGGCCGCAACACCTTTCGTCTTCATGTGCGCTTACCTTTGTCTCCTGCCCTATTCTCCCCCACCCCTGTTACTCCACCAGCATCTGGGTTAAAGCTAAGTCCTGGCACATTCTCAAAGGCCCTGGGTCACCCATCGTCCCCGTCTCTTCCCTCTGCCTTTGTCTCCTGTGGTTTTCCATGCTGACTGCAGTGCTCCAGCAACCTGACCTTGCCATTGTCTGGCATGTGATCTACGTTTCCTTCCGGTCTCTGGCCCCTTACAGACAACATCTCCCTGCCTGGAAACTGTCCCCCAAAGCTGCTGATGTCCTGCCTCTTCCCATCGTTCTGACATCTTTTCCAACGTGCACTCCTCAGAGAGGCTTTCCCTTAACTGACATGAGCCCCTCCCCAGTCACTCTCCAGGCCCTTTTCTCATCTCATCACAGCTGATGGACGTCCAGCAAGCCTACCTTCCTAGGAGAATACAAGCTCCTTGAAATCAGTGATTGTGACTTTTAACTCATGCTGTATTCCCATAATGAACACTCTGTTGGCTCCACGTCAGCTGCCTCCACACCCACTCCAATCTCTCCGAGGGTGCAGAGCTGGAAGACAGAGGATGGCTGAGTGAGTGGGCAGACACACTCATTTCCTAGAATCCTGCCAGGAGGTTTCCACACGTGGCCTCTCTCCCAACACCTGCATGAACCTCTGATCTGGGATTTGAGTCAGAGAAGGTTGGTCTCAGGTTTCAGGGGATTCATTTTACCAGCACACATTGTGGCAGAGGCGGTGGTAACAATTCCAGAGAGCTTAGCTGAGAACTTAGCAGTTCACTGGGGTGGCAGCAGACGCCCTGACCAGGGAGGAGGGAGGGGAGCCATGGGGGCCCCAGGCACTGCAGGGAGGCAGCGAGCACAAGATCCCAGCTGAGCTTGGCCCTCCAGCCCTCGGAGACCTCAGAGGCCGCTAATCCCGCCAAGTCTCCATTCTGCTTCAACGAGCAACAGGGAGCCCATTGTTCGCCACCGAGCTCGCACTGATACACCACCTAAATCTCCTGAAAGCCCCATAAAACAGAGACTATGTCGATTCCCATCTCACAGGTGAGGAAAAACCATGCTGAGCGTTTTGAGTTAATCCTAAAATCTATGGGGACCCACTGGACCCTTCTAAGTGGTGAAAGGACATCATTAACTCTGCCTTTTAGGAAGACCATTCCGGCAGCTGTTGGGGAACACATTGGAGGCCCCAAGGATGGGCGAGGGGGCGGGGGGGGGGCTGATCACTGACAATGGATTAGTTACAATGAAAACAGTAAAAATATATTAAGTACGAATAGGAACCACTCAATTTTCATTTTGAAAGTGGTAACTTAGTATGTTGCTTGGCAGTATTTAACTTATAGCCACAGATCCCATTTTCGTAACATGAGAGAACTGCCTTTCGACATCGGCGGGGGAATCTGTTCCCCTAGGTGATAAACTGGAGGTAACGAACCGGCCCTGACAACAGGCCTCCTGTGGAGGCCTAAACTTCAAAGTCAGGAACAGCCTTTTCTAGAATCCAAGGCGTGAAGAGGGCTGCCATTTTGCTAACTGGCATATACTAGATACGAAGAAACGAAGGTCACTAACAATCTGGGTGAACTAGATATGGACAGTGGGGAGCCCTGTGGGAGAAATACAATATGAAGATGGTTTTGAAAATAAATCCAGGAAAGTAAAGCTGAACTGATAAAGCTATACATTCTTTGACAACCTAAACACCAACCTTTTTATTTCATGTTGTTGCCACGATTTGGAGAAATCAAAGTTTGAAACAGGACCCTTCAAGAGTTGCAAAGAAATGAAAAGCAGCAAAGCCATTTGTAGACTGTTGGAGAGACGCTGCACTCACACACGCTCTATTTTTAAACGCTGACGAGTGTCTCGAGTGTAGACCACTGTTGGAGAGACGCTGCACTCGCACACGCTCTATTTTTAAACACTGACGAGTGTCTCGAGTGTAGACCACTGTTGGAGAGACGCTGCACTCACACACGCTCTATTTTTAAAAGCTGCCGAGTTTCTCGAGTGTAGACCACTGTTGGAGAGACGCTGCACTCGCACACGCTCTATTTTTAAACGCTGACGAGTGTCTCGAGTGTAGACCACTGTTGGAGAGACGCTGCACTCACACACGCTCTATTTTTAAAAGCTGCTGAGTGTCTCGAGTGTAGACCACTGTGGGAGAGACGCTGCACTCGCACACGCTCTATTTTTTAACACTGACGAGTGTCTCGAGTGTAGACCACTGTTGGAGAGACGCTGCACTCACACACGCTCTATTTTTAAAAGCTGCCGAGTTTCTCGAGTGTAGACCACTGTTGGAGAGACGCTGCACTCGCACACGCTCTATTTTTAAACGCTGCCGAGTGTCTCGAGTGTAGACCACTGTTGGAGAGACGCTGCACTCGCACAGCCTGTATTTTTAAACGCTGCCGAGTGTCTCGAGTGTAGACCACTGTTGGAGACACGCTGCACTCGCACAGCCTCTATTTTTAAACGCTGCCAAGTGTCTCGAGTGTAGACCACTGTTGGAGAGACGCTGCACTCGCACAGCCTCTATTTTTAAAAGCTGCGAAGTTTCTCGAGTGTAGACCACTGTTGGAGAGACGCTGCACTCGCACAGGCTCTATTTTTAAAAGCTGCCGAGTTTCTCGAGTGTAGACCACTGTTGGAGAGACGCTGCACTCGCACAGCCTCTATTTTTAAAAGCTGCCGAGTTTCTCGAGTGTAGACCACTGTTGGAGAGACGCTGCACTCGCACACGCTCTATTTTTAAACGCTGCCGAGTGTCTCGAGTGTAGACCACTGTTGGAGAGACGCTGCACTCACACACGCTCTATTTTTAAAGCTGCCGAGTTTCTCCAGTGTAGACCACTGTTGGAGAGACGCTGCACTCGCACAGGCTCTATTTTTAAACGCTGCCGAGTGTCTCGAGTGTAGACCACTGTTGGAGAGACGCTGCACTCGCACACGCTCTATTTTTAAAAGCTGCCGAGTTTCTCGAGTGTAGACCACTGTTGGAGAGATGCTGCACTTGCACACGCTCTATTTTTAAACGCTGCCGAGTGTCTCGAGTGTAGACCACTGTTGGAGAGACGCTGCACTCGCACACGCTCTATTTTTAAAAGCTGCCGAGTTTCTCGAGTGTAGACCACTGTGGGAGAGACGCTGCACTCGCACAGGCTCTATTTTTAAACGCTACCGAGTTTCTCGAGTGTAGACCACTGTGGGAGAGACGCTGTACTCGCACACGCTCTATTTTTAAAGCTGCCGAGTTTCTCGAGTGTAGACCACTATGGGATAGACACTGCACTCACGCACGCTGTATTTTTAAAAGCTGCCAAGTGTCTCGAGTGTAGACCACTGTTGGAGAGACGCTGCACTCGCACACGCTCTATTTTTAAACGCTGCCGAGTGTCTCGAGTGTAGACCACTGTTGGAGAGACGCTGCACTCGCACAGCCTCTATTTTTAAACGCTGCCGAGTGTCTCGAGTGTAGACCACTGTTGGAGAGACGCTGCACTCGCACACGCTCTATTTTTAAAAGCTGCCGAGTTTCTCGAGTGTAGACCACTGTTGGAGAGACGCTGCACTCGCACACGCTCTATTTTTAAAAGCTGCCAAGTTTCTCGAGTGTAGACCACCGTTGGAGAGACGCTGCACTCGCACAGGCTCTATTTTTAAACGCTGCCAAGTTTCTCGAGTGTAGACCACTGTTGGAGAGACGCTGCACTCGCACACGCTCTATTTTTAAAAGCTGCCGAGTTTCTCGAGTGTAGACCACTGTTGGAGAGACGCTGCACTCGTACAGGCTCTATTTTTAAACGCTGCTGAGTTTCTCGAGTGTAGACCACTGTTGGGGAGACGCTGCACTCGCACACGCTCTATTTTTAAAAGCTGCCGAGTGTCTCGAGTGTAGACCACTGTGGGAGAGACGCTGCACTCACACACGCTCTATTTTTAAAAGCTGCCAAGTGTCTCGAGTGTAGACCACTGTTGGAGAGACGCTGCACTCGCACAGCCTCTATTTTTAAAAGCTGCGAAGTTTCTCGAGTGTAGACCACTGTTGGAGAGAGGCTGCACTCGCACACGCTCTATTTTTAAAAGCTGCCAAGTTTCTCGAGTGTAGACCACCGTTGGAGAGACGCTGCACTCGCACAGGCTCTATTTTTAAACGCTGCCGAGTTTCTCGAGTGTAGACCACTGTTGGAGAGACGCTGTACTTGCACACGCTCTATTTTTAAAAGCTGCTGAGTTTCTCGAGTGTAGACCACTGTTGGAGAGACGCTGCACTCGTACAGGCTCTATTTTTAAACGCTGCCGAGTTTCTCGAGTGTAGACCACTGTTGGAGAGACGCTGTACTTGCACACGCTCTATTTTTAAAAGCTGCCGAGTTTCTCGAGTGTAGACCACTGTTGGAGAGACGCTGCACTCGTACAGGCTCTATTTTTAAACGCTGCCGAGTTTCTCGAGTGTAGACCACTGTTGGAGAGACGCTGCACTCGCACACGCTCTATTTTTAAAAGCTGCCGAGTTTCTCGAGTGTAGACCACTGTTGGAGAGACGCTGCACTCGCACACGCTCTATTTTTAAAAGCTGCCGAGTTTCTCGAGTGTAGACCACTGTTGGAGAGACGCTGCACTCGCATAGGCTCTATTTTTAAACGCTGCCGAGTTTCTCGAGTGTAGACCAATGTTGGAGAGACGCTGCACTCGCACAGGCTCTATTTTTAAACGCTGCCGAGTTTCTCGAGTGTAGACCACTGCTGGAGAGACACTGTACTTGCACACGCTCTATTTTTAAAAGCTGCCGAGTTTCTTGAGTGTTGGGAATTATCGCAAGTTATTTCTTGACTTTCTCCAGGAAGCTTTACTCTTCTCAAAATGTTACTTACTAAATACGGTTCTATGGTGTCGCCGCTTCTGAAAAAACCTCTTTTGTAAAAAAGCGTCACTTAGAAAACCACCGCCACGGAGCGGTGTTCTGGAAGTCCTATTAATAACTAAAAACACGCAACGGCGGCTTAGAACTGCTGGGATAGGTCACCCTTTCAGAGGGCATCTTGCGCCTTCCCCGGTAGGGCACATGGGAGCTGTAAAAGGAAACATGTAGTATTTTTCTTCAAAAAGGTTTAGGATTTACCCATGGAAATTCAGAGAACACTTAGGTTGGTGACAGGTTCAATCCTGTGTGTATCCTTCATAATGAACAAGTGAAACTTCCACGAAAATTCAGAAAAGAGAGAGAAGTGGCACCATAGGGAGACCCCCGAAAGTCCTCGACCTCCGGAGCAGGAGGCGGATAGGGGTGGGAGAGGGGCCCCCAGCAGCCCAGCCCCAGGCGGACAGACCCTCCTTACACCAGACCATGGGCTGCCCCAATTCTCCAATGAGACCCTCAATCTAATGCACACCTGAGAGGCGGTGACACAGGAGTGATGCTGGGAAAGTCAGATGGTGGCTGGAGGGTAACTCGGCCATGTCTCCCCTGACATGTTAAAAGTGTTATTTTTTGGATGGAGAAATCCCAAAATGCTTTTGTTACAGCACAGACAGCTCTAGAGTGTAATTAATTTAATGGAGTTTTAAAAAAATATTGTGTGCCCTTTAATTTCATTACTGTGACAGAATATGCACTTCCAAGGTGAACAGTGCGACGGCAAAATCACTTCAGTTGGCTGCAGTGTGAAGTTGGAATTCCAGGTGCAAAGAAAACCTCTACTTTATAAGGGTCAGTGACCAAAAGTATTTCACGTGTCTAACTCAACAGTAACTCAATTAAAACGGATAACTGAAACGTCTGTGCTGCTATGAAATCTAAAGCAAATAAACGTGTGTTTCTCATCATACAGTTTCATAGGATTTTATGAAAGGTTACAATTTTCAAAATTTGAAACCAATATTTCACATATCTAATTAAGTCAGCAGTAACTCATTTACAGTGGATAACTGAAAAGCGTGTGTTGCTACGAATTCTAAAGCAAATAAACACGTGTTTCGTATCATACAGTTTCACAGGATTTTATGAAATATTGTAATTTTAAAAATCTGATAACCAATACTGAAGTGTGATCATTTTGTGTGGAAAGCTACCGTGCGGTGGTTCTTGGGGGTCAGGTGGATTTGAACCCTTAGTCTTTGATGCTGCTGATGAATATGAGAGGGGGATGGTTATCAAGGTTCAGTTTTGGCGCCAGCTGAACTTGGATCTTGCTTCCTTCTCCCCTCCCCAGACATAATTCAGCCTTCCTACATCTGATATTCAAAAATCTGACCTTTTCCAGTCTGTGACTGAAACCCTCTTTTGTCCTGTAGTGACCATCAGGTTCAGGTGGGACTTGAGGTATCCCGGGACAGAGCCTGCCGCTGTGAAGCCTGAATCCACCCCTGACTTTGGACTGTTACTGAATGGCCTGAGGAAGTGTTATGGTGTTCCACAGGAAAAACCTTTATGAGGAACCCAGCCTCACTACTGTTTGTCCATTCTTGATTTTTCTTCAAAGGTTTATCAAAATTCCGGACTTTACCATTCTCCATAATTAAGGGGGGGAGTATAGGGGAGATTATAGGTGAGAGCATAGCTGAACGGCACATGTGCAGACAACCGGAGGGTTCTCTGAAGACTCACGGATTCCTCCAGAATCCAGTGGTGAAGAAGACAAATTTGTTTTTATTCTAAGTGTCAAGTTTTACATTCTAACTGTTAAATCAACACTGAATATATATAATGCAACGCATGCTGAACAACAACAAGATTCCAGGTACTCATGACTGAGAAACGCTGCACCCCTCTTTACAGACAACTTTTGCTACTGGGTTTCTGGCCTGTTTTGTTTTACAGTGATGTTCTATGTCTATATAAACAGACATAGGTAAATGTCACCCCCCAAAGGGGCAACATCAAATATCTGACCGGGTCCAGGGGCTCCGGCACACACCAGTCAGCACAGACAGTGGCCGGCAGGCACATGTGCGTCTCAGTCCTGACCTCATAAAACACAGGACATCTGGGGTTCTGCATCTTGCTACTTTTAAATGAGACACACTATCTTTGAGATCAGGCCATACCGCACGTAGGGCTTGGCCTCACTCATTTTATGGGCTTCATGGTGCTCCCTGCACAGATGCACAGTGAAGTGGCTGTTTTCCTACAGATGGACACTCGCGTTCATTTTCCATCTTTCATTCCTACAAACCCTGCTGCAAGAAGCAGCTCTCCTTCCACATTGGTGAGCATATGGGCACTTCTATGGGATGAATTCCAAGTTAATTAACTGAGTCAAAAGGTATGTGCATTTAATTTTATTTTTTGTAAATATTTTTTATTCTGGTACAGATGACATAAAATTTGCCATTTCACTCATTTTAAGTGTGTAATTATGCGTCATTAAATACATTCGCAACGCTGCACATGCATTGCATGTCCAAATAGAACCTCTATAATCATTCAGAAATAACTCCCGTTCCCTCTCCCCCAAGCCCCCAGAAACCCTGAATCTGTTCTTGTCTCCATGTGTGTTTTCTTCTTGTTGCTTAAGAGTTCTTTGTACATTTTGGATACCAATCTGTTACTGGATACGTGATTTGCAAAGATGTTGTCAAATCTGTGGTCTGTCATTTCATTCTCTTAACTGTCTTTCAGAAAGCAGAAGTTTTAAATTTTAATGAAGTCCAATCACTCAATCTGTTCTTTCCTAGGTGCCTTCGGTGCGGTCTCTAAAAACTCATCACCAGACTCAAAGTCACCTGGGTTCCCTCTGATGTTAAATTCTAGACCCTGTGTTTTATATTTAGGTCTGTGATCTATGTCGAGGTAACTTTTATGAAAAGGTTGAGATCTGTGTCTAGATTTTTGGCCCAGAATGTGGCCTATCTTGGCGAATGTTCTGTGCGAGCTTGGGAAGAATCTGTGTTCTGCTGCTGTTGGATGAAGTAGCCTACAGATGTCAGATTCAGTTGATTGATGGTATCACTCAGTTCAACCCTGTCATTGCTGAATTTCTGAATTTCTGCCTGCTGGATCTGTCAATTACTGAGAGCAGACACTCAAAATCTCCAGCATTAATGGTGGACTCATCTATTCCTCCTGGCAGTTGTATCAGTCTTTGCCTTATGTATTTTGACACACTGTTGTCAGGTGCATATACATTAAGGATTGCTGTGTCTTCTTGGAGATTTATTCCCTCTATTATTGCATAATGTTGGACAGGAAACTGGATGTCTTGGCTGTGGCTTTTCATAAATGCCCTTTATCATACTGAGAAATTTTCCTTCTACTTCTAATTTTATAAGAGTTTTTTTTTTTTATCATGAACAGTTATGAGATTTTGTCAGACACCTTTCGTGTGTCAACTGAGATGTGCAGGTAGTGTTAATTAATTTTCTTAAACTGAACCACTTTTACATTCCTGGAATAAATCCCACCTGATGACAAGTCTAAACCTTTTAATACACTGTTGGATTAAGTTTGCTGGTATTCTGTGGAAAATTTTAGCATCTACATTGATAAGGGATATGGTTTGTGATTTTCTCTTCTATGACCATTTTTATCGGGCTCAGCTACCACGGTAATGCTGGCCTCAAGGAATGTGTTAGGAATTGTTTCCTCCACTTCTATTTTTTTGGAAGGGTCTGTGGATTTGTGTTAATTCATCTTTACCTGTTTGGTGGAATTCACCAGTGAACGTATCTGATTCTGGATATTTCTTTCCAAGGATTTATTTTTTTATCATTATAGATTCGATCTCTTATTATAAATCTGTTGAGATTTTTTATCTTGTCTTCAGTCAGTTTAGGTCATTTTCATTGTTATATAAATTTGTCCATGTCATCCGGGTTAACTAGTTTATTGGTGTACAATTGTTCATAGTATTGTCTTAAATCCTTTTTATTTGTGTGGTCTGTAGTAATGTCCCCATTTTCCTTTCCAATTTTAGTTGTTTATGTGTTCTCTTTTTTTTTTCTTTGTCAGTGTCATTCAAGGTTTGCCAATATTTTGATCTTTTCAATCAACTGACTTCAGTTTTGTTGATACTCTATTTTTTGAATTTAATTTAATGATCTCTTTTTTACTCTGTGTTAATTCTGTCTGATAGCTTTCTTCTGATTCTTTGACCCATTGTCAAATTTCCAGTTTTCCTCCTGTTATTAATGTCACTGTGGCTAAAATGTTACTTTGACAAAAATTAGCTGGGTGTGGTGGTGGGTGCCTGTAATCCCAGCTACTCAGGAGGCTGAGGCAGGAGAATTGCCTGAACCCAGAAGGTAGAGGTTGCAGCGAGCCGAGAATGCACTACTGCACTCCAGCCTGGGTGACAGAGTGAGACTCCATCTCAAAAAACAAAAAACAAAAAACAAAAAAAAACCCAACTTTTTATGATTTTAGTCTTTTACAATTTATTGAGACCTGTCTTTTGGCCTAACATGTGGCCTACTGTGGAGAATGTTTCATGTACACTTGAGAAGAATGTGTATTTCCACTGTTGTCAGGTGGATGCTTCTGTACGTGTCCGTCCAAACCCCATGTTTATTAATCTTCTGTGTAGACGTCCTGCTTACTATTGAAAGTGGTTCATTCCAGCCTCCAGCTATGATTAGAGCTACCCCTTACTTTCTCCAATTCCATCAATGGTTGCTTCACATATTTTGGGACTCTGTTTTTGATTTTGGTACATATATATTTAAAATCATTGTATCTCCTTGTTGAATTGACCCTTCTGTCAATATATAAATAGCCTCTGTCCTTCATTTTCTTAATTATTGTCTTTTTTGTGGATTTTTTTGGAGTTAACTGTTTTGATTTCCCTTTTATTTCCTGTTGCGTATATATTTTAAAATACTTTCTTTGAAGATAAATTTATAATATTAGGATTAAACATAGAACCCTAGATTTATAACAGCTCCCTTCCTCCCTTGCTGTCGCAGGTTTCATCTTTTTTTTTTTTTTTTTTTGAGATGGAGACTTGCCCTGTAGCCCAGGCTGGTATACAGTGGTTCAAATGATTCTCCTGCCTCAGCCTCCCAAGTAGCTGGGATTACAGGCAACCAACACCACACCTGGCTAATTTTTGTGTTTTTAGTAAAGATGGGTTTTCACCATGTTGGCTAGGCTGGTCTTGAACTCCTGACCTCAAGAAATCTGCCCGCCTTGGCCTCCCAAAGTGCTGGGATTACAGGCGTCAGCCACGGCGCCCGGCCTGTCACAGGTTTCACCTTTACACATTGAGTGCACGGTAACATAGACGTACACTTATCTTTTATGCATTCATCTTTTAATTTCTGTAGCAACAAAGGTGGAGTTACAAACCAAATACATAATCTTGTTGGTTTTCCTGGTCGTCCCTGTATTCACCATCGCTGAAGACCTTTCACTTCATATAGCTTTGAGCTAATGCCGCTGTCCTTTTATGTCAATCTGCAAGGTTCCCTTTCGCATTCTTGTAGAGCAAGTCTCAAGTTCCGTTTATCTGGGAATGTCTTACTTCCTCCTTCATTGTGAAGGATAGTTTTACTGACTATAAACTTCTTAAAATTTTTTTTTCTTTAGGAACTTTATCATCCCATTCTCTTTTGTCTTCCATGGTTTCTAGAGAAATCAAGAGATAAGCTTTTTCTGGAAAATAAATAATCATCCCTTGTGTGTGATGAGTCACTTCTCTTCTGCTGCTTTTGGGATTTTCTCTTTATCCCTCACTGGTTTGATTATAACATGTCTTTTGCAAATCTCTTCATGTTTATCTGACTTGAAGTTCATTATGCTTCTTGGATTTGTATATTCACATCTTTCCTCAAATTTTGGATGTTTTTGGCTTTTATTTCTCCAAATATTCTTTCTTTTCATTTCGTTCTCTTTTCCCTTTTCGGAGACTCTTGTAATGTGTAGGCTGATCAGCCCGATGATGTTCCACAGACCCTCAAGTTTCGGCTCCCTGTTCTTCCTTTTCTTTCTGCTCCTCAGGCTCCACAATGTCATCTGTACCATATTTAACTGTAGACACTTTCCTCTACCTGCTCAAATCTGCTGCTGAACCTCTAGAGTAAATTTTTCATTTATTTTTCTCCAGAATGTCTGCTGTTTTCTTTAAAAAAAAATAATTTGGATCTCTTTAATTTTCTTCATACATTGTTTCCCAGTGTTCTTTAGTTTTGGGGCATATTTAAGAAAATTTTAAAAAATATTATTTAGGGCCAGGCACGGTGGCTCATGCCTGTAATCCCAGCACTTGGGGAGGCTGAGGCGGGCAGATCATCCGAGGTCGGGAGTTCAAGACCAGCCTGACCAACATGGGGAAACCTAATTTCTATTAAAAATGCAAAATTAGCCTGTCATGGTAGCGGGCACCTGTAGTCCCAACTAGTCAGGAGGCTGAGGCAGGAGAATCACTTGAACCCAGGAGGTTGAGGTTGCAGTGAGCTGAGATCACACCACTGCACTCCAGCCTGGGCAACAAGAGTGAAACTACGTCTCAAAACAAAACAAAACAAAAAAAGATTTCTTTTGTTGTCCTGAATGGACCATACTTTCCTGTTTTTTATATGTCTTTTAGTCATTTTGTTGAAAACTGGACACTTGGATATTAGAAGGGGCTGACTCTGGAAACCCTTCTTCTGGTTTGGCTGTTTTTGATTGTTGAAGGCTGGTGTAGTCTGTTTAGTGACTTTCCAAACTATTTTTTGAAAACACTGTATTATTTGCCGTGTGCAGTCACTGGAGTCTCTGTTTCTTAAGGTTGTTTCAAGCTAGTATGTTGACAGATATCTCATTAAATGCCAAGAGCTACAAACGAAAAAGACAAAAACACCTTTCCCATTCTCTGCAGGCGTTCTGTCCTGAGGCACTTCTTCCACACGTACCCTGGCTTGCAACGAGCCCAGGGACCACTTGAGGTGAAAGCTGCAGGTCTTCCTAGGCCTTTTCTGAACACGCACATTGACCTGGTGTATGCACAGCTTTGTGCGTTCCCCCATGTACATGGGTTCTTTTTGGAAAAACGGTGGTAAAATACTCATCTTAACCATTTCGTGTGTGTAGTTCTGTGGTGTGTTAAGGACATTCACACCATTGTGCCATTGTCTCCAAAATGCGTCCTTTTCCTCATGTGAAACTCTGTACCCATTTCTAACTACCTAGTTCTCCTTCCCTCCAGCGCCCAGTCCCCGGCAGCCTCCTTTCTACTTTCTGTCTTTATGAATTCGACTGCTTTCGTACCTCATGTGAGGGGAATCACAGTCACTCTCCTTTTGTGACGGGCGAATTTCATTTTGTGGAATGTCTTCAGGGTTCATCTATATTGTGCCATGTGTCAGCATCTCATTTCTTTTTAAGGCTAAATGTTCTTCTTTCACCCGTCTAGGCCCCATTTTGCTTATACATCCATTTACGTGTCTATTGCACACGTGGGCTGCTTCCATCTTTGGCTACTGTAACTAATACTGCTTGAGCATGAGTATACAATTATCTGAGCCCTGCTTCCACTTCTTTTGGGTGTATGGCCAGAAGTGAAATTTCTGGGGCATAGGAAAATTCCATGTTTATTTTTTGAAGACTCACCATATCATTTTCCATGATGGGAACATCTTTCTATATTCTCACCAAAAATGCACAAGGTTTCTAACTTCTCCACATCCTTGCCAACACCTGTTCTTTTCTTTTCATTGTTGTTGTTTTACAATGACCACTCTAATGTGTGTTGGCATTTCCTTGTGGTTTAGCTTTGTATTCCCTTAATAATTAATGATGTTGCTGTGCTTATTGGTCATTTGTGAATCTTCTTGGAGAAATATCCAAGTCCTTTGCCCATTTTTGAATCAGATTATTTTGCTGTTGTAGTTATTTAAATAGTGTAGGTATCAGTCCATTTTCAGATTGATATATGATTTGAATTTTGATATATGATATCTACTCCCATTCCATCCCTTTCATTCAGCTGAAAGTGTCCCTTAATGCACACAAGCTTTAATTCTGATGAAGTCTAAATTATGTATCTATTCTTTTGTTGCTTGTACTTTTGGTATCCAAGATCACTGTCAAGTCCAATGTCATAAAGCTTATCCTCTCTGTTTTCTTCTGAGAGTCTTACAGGTTTAGCTCTTATGTTTAGGTCTTTTATCTGTTGAGTATTGTTTATATGTGGTATAAGGTATGAGTTCAGCTTCATTATTTATATGTTGATATCCAGTTTCTCTAACATAAATTATTGAAAACACTGTTCCTTCTCCATTGAATGGTCTTGGCACCCTTATCAGAAATCATTTGACAATATACACCAGGGTTTATTTCTGGACTCTCTATTCTGTTCCATTAGTCTAGATGTCTGTGATTATGCCAGCACTTAACCACACTATTTTGCTTATCATAGCTCTGTAGTAAGTTTTGAAATCAGGAAGTGTGAGACTCCAACTTAGTTCTTATTTTTCAAGATTGTTTTGAGTATTTGGGGTCCCTTGTAATTCCATATAAATTTTAGGGTGGATTTTTCTATTTCTCAAAAACCCACCATTAGTAGTTCTGACATCTTAACAACAGTAAGCCTTTCAATCCATGAACACAGATGTCTTTCCGTTCATTAGTGTCTTTAATGTCTTATAACAACATTTTATAGTTTTCAGTGTACAGCCTCTCTCCTCCTTGGTTAAGCTTATTTCTAAGAATTTTGGGTTTTTTTGACACGATTATAAATGCAATTATTTACTTCCTTTTTAAATTGTTCATTCTGATAGTATTTGGAAACACTAGTGATTTTTGTGTGTTAATTTTGTATGCAGACACTTTGCTGAATCCTTTTTTATACCCTTGTGTAGGTGTGTGTGGGTGGGGGGGAATCTTCACAGTTTTCTACATATAAGATTATGTCATCTGCAAATAACAATTTTACTTCTTTCCAATTTGGATGATTTTCTATTTTTTCTCCCTCTCTCTTTTTTTTTTTTTTTTTTGCCTAATTTCTCTGTCTAGGACTTCTACTACTATGATGAGTAGAAGTGGCATTTCCTCTTCTGAAAAAGGAATTCAGCAAAATATCTGGATATAAAATTACATGCAAAAATTAGTAGTTGTTCCCTATACTATCAGAATGAACAGTATAAAAGGAAATTAAGAAAATAATCCCATTTATAAAAGCACATAAGTAGAGGGCAGGCAAGGGCACACTTGCCTTGTTCCTGACCTCACAGGAAGAACTTTCAGTCATCTGCTGTTGAGTGGGGCGGTAGCTGTTGTTACTCAAGTGCTCTCGAATGTCCTGATTTACTGAAGGAACTCTCCCAGCTTCTGCTCCCAGGCTTTAGGTGGTACACAGTATGTTTTCAGTGTAATTTTTGTCCCAGCAGGTTGATGGAGGCCTGCAGTGTTTATGGTAGGTTTTCAGTGTAATTTTTATCCTGGCAGGTTGCCGGAGGACTGCAGTGTTTCAAGCAATGTCCTTAGTTTCTCTGGTCTGAGTTTCAATTTGGGTGAAGCACAGATGAGCACCCTGCATTCGTCCTTCAGGCCACACCCAGACAGAACAGAAAGACACACAAATGTATGAATAAAGACCTTACAGACACCCAGGGATGACTATAAGCAGTTTACATCTCATGAAAACTGTAAGGACTAATTTCTTTTAAGCCAAATGTAAAATAAACACACGAATTATCTAAACCAAACAAAATAATGCTGAAGATCATAGCTTCAGTAGCCCCACAATATCCCAGAAACAACAGCCACTGAAGACAGAGAACTGCGGAAGACCAGGCACCTCACATATGCTGTCTCTCATTTTCACAACTCCCTAACATTGAGAGATGCTACTTTCATTTTTTAAAGGAGGAAACTAAACTAAGAGTCAAGAAGTCACTTGCTTAGGTCACTGAATGGGAAGTGACAGAGCAAGCTTTTTTACCCAGGCTGCTGACTCCAAAGCCCAGGCTACTCTGGTGCTTCTGAGAGAGATTCCTGGGGTCACCTCCAGGTGGGAGGTCACCTGCCAGCCACTGCAATGGTGGAAACCATGTATGATACCTCCTGCACAGTTATTCTTAGCAGTATTTGTCCAACTCGTATCTGTCTCACTTCAGCTGGGTATATATATGATTACCTTATGCACGATATGCATGAATGACAGATGATTATATCAAATGCGATTGCAGTGAACACAGACTGTGCCTTTTCAGCTTATCCTGTGCAGTATTGAAGGGTGTTTAGCATTTATTATAATTGATGATGATCCACAAAATATGGATTTACAAGTACAGGACCCCAAAATGTTCATGTAGCAAGGGGTACTTAGCTTTCGATAAATTACCCTGCTTGCTTTTGTCGATCATCTTCCTTCATTCTCTCTCCTGCCACTTCATCAGAAGCACTTCCGCACTGTATTTATCTTTAAGGTGTAGCCATATAAATTTAATTATTATTGGATTAAGAACAATTGTACTCATCTTTTTTCTCATCCTACTTTCTTCTTTTAAAACAAAGTTGGCTTCAGACCCTCTGTTGTTAACAACATGAATCATCACTGAAGCCGTTTTCCTTACATCTCCTGCTTTTGCTGAAAGTGTTTAATGTTTGTTTTTGGTACATGTGGGTTGTCATTTTTTAAAAAATCTCATGTACAACTTTCTGCATACGTGAAACCTGGGCACTTGAAATTCCTCCTCGTTCCACCAGGTTCAAAGGCTTCCGGAGTGAGACATCTGTGTCGTCTTCATCATCAGGGCCAGCTGCACCTGCCACCCTGGGTGTGGGGCCACGGTGGCCGGTGTCCTGTGTCTCCATAGCCCATGCTCAGGGCTCCTACAGGAAGAGTCCAGCGTGGACACAAAAGCTGTCAGCTCTCAGTTCCTTTCAAGGACACGCTGGCCTGCTCCCATGGAACATTCCAGTGGCTTCACTTGCAATTTCATGAATATTAAAATGGCCTCTGCCCTGAAGAATGCAGTAAAACCCCTCTCCCCCAATTCTGCTGCTGACCTTTGCAGTCTGAGAAATGAGCTGTCTGGAAAAGGCTGAGTGGCTAAGCAGCCTTCCAGGGTCTGCACTCTCCTCACAAATGGAAAAATTACCTCTTCCCTTCTGTGAGAGTGCATCAGCGGCTCCATTTACGAGGGAGGTGAATGGCCTCAAAATCCCATCTCCCTCCACCTCCCAGGCTCTGGCCAGAGGCAGGCCATCCAGACCTGCAGGGTGCCTCCCGGGAGTCCCGCCTTCTCCTCAGCGCAGCGCAGGGCTGGACGAGCACCGGATGCAGGATTAATTTAGCCCCTATGAGAAGCAAAACCCCAGAGACCAGAGGAGAAAATGCCTGGGAGGAAGCACCCGTGCCTCCCAAGGAGACCCTGGGCCTTAGGGCTTCCTGCGGGCTCCTGAGTGTTGGGGAGTTAGGAGTGTGTTCAGAGGCATGGATGGAGGACTTTCTACTGATTCTCCGTTAAGAGAGAGTTACACCTTTAAAAATAAAATAAATAACGCATTAAACCTAATGGATAAGACCAGCGCAGCGCACAGCCCAGCAGGGTCTGCGAAGCTGAGATCTTATTTCCAGGTCGAAGCTCCTTCCCACCCATGGGAAATCTTGGAGGAAAACACTCCTCTTCTCCTTCCTTTTTTTTTTTTTTTTTTTTTTTTTGTTTTTGAGACGGAGTCTCGCTCTGTCGCCCAGGCTGGAGTGCGGTGGCGCGATCTCGGCTCTGTGCAAGCTCCGCCTCCCGGGTTCAAACGATTCTCCTGCCTCAGCCTCCCGAGTAGCTGGGACTACAGGCGCCCGCCACCACGCCCGGCTAGTTTTTTGTATTTTTAGTAGAGACGGGGTTTCACCGTGTTAGCCAGGATGGTCTTGAGCTCCTGACCTTGTGATCCACCCGCCTCGGCCTTCCAAAGTGCTGGGATTACAGGCGTGAGCCACCGCGCCCCACCCCTTCCTCCTTTTTATTCATTGGCTTTTTCCTCTTCCAAGGACGCTCGCTCCCCTGCGAGGTGGAGTCCAGGAACATCCAACCATCTGTGTCCTTACGAAGGCCCATCCTCACAGCCTGCAGCCGACAGCTAAGGAATGACTCCTGCGGCGATGGAATCTCCAAGGACGTGCATGTTTTACTGAATCTACCAAAAGCACGGCAGAAGGAGGCGAGTTACAGCCAGACGTTTTGGAAAGTACCTAAGCGCTGTGAACAGCAGGAAAGAATCGACTCCAGCGGCGCCGTCAGGCGTGGGCCTCCTGGGGCGAGGGGAAGAGCCAAGCTCTGGGCAAGGTCGCTCCATGGTCCCCAGGCGGGGCAAGAGCCCTTCCCTTCGACCTCACTGCCCGTTACCCGTAACTGGGGTCATATCACAATTCTCATAGGACGATCTGATGACTAAATAGAGGACTCACGTAAAATGCTGAGTCCAGTCCCGGGTATGGAGCAGGGCTCGGGAACCTACAGAAAATACCGAGTCCGGTCCCAGGTATGGAGCAGAGCTCGGGAACTCACATAAAATACTGAGTCCAGTCCCGGGTATGGAGCAGAGCTCGAGAATTCACAGAAACTTCCGAGTCCAGTCCCAGGTATGAAGCAGAGCTCCGGAACTCACAGAAAATTCCGAGTCCGGTCCCAGGTGTGGAGCAGAGCTCGGGAACTCACAGAAAATGCTGAGTCCGGTCCCAGGTATGGAGCAGAGCTCGGGAACTCACAGAAAATTCCGAGTCCGGTCCCAGGTGTGGAGCAGAGCTCGGGAACTCACAGAAAATTCCGAGTCCGGTCCCAGGTGTGGAGCAGAGCTCGGGAACTCACAGAAAATGCTGAGTCCGGTCCCAGGTATGGAGCAGAGCTCGGGAACTCACAGAAAATTCCGAGTCCGGTCCCAGGTATGGAGCAGAGCTCGGGAACTCACAGAAAATGCCGAGTCCCGTCCCAGGTATGGAGCAAGGCTCAGGAACTTATAGAGCTTCTGCTTCCCTTTCCCTTCCCAGCTACAGGCACCCTTTTCCCCCAGCACACACAGGTTGGAAAAGAGTTTAAGAACAGAATGCCTAGTTGTTAGTAATTCATCACGACACCTGACTTAATTACCAAAGATTATTTTAATGGCCGTGCATACTACTCTCCTAGAACTTCTGTCCTTCCTCCCCCCTCCCTGGGACCTTGGCAGAACCCTTGCGGCAAATGTCGTGTTGTGTTGAGGGGGCCTCCCGCGCTGCCTCTGCTGTGGTCACAGCCCTTCCTGGAGGCATGAGGAAATGGAGCCGGCCGTGGCTCTGCTGCCGTGGGAAGGGGAGGGGTGCTGTGGCGAGAACAAGCCCAGAGCCTCCTTCAAACATCAGAGGCCTCCTGACATCCTCTGCAGGACTCATCCCAACCTGGAATCATCTCCAACTTGTTTATTTGTAAAACGTGAAGCTTATGTTGGGCCCTTCCTTATCCTCTACCCTCTCCCAGAGTCCATCAGGCAGGGACGCCCATGCACAGGCAGGATCGGGACCATCAAGATTGTGACAGCAAGAAAAAGAGTGAAAGTGTTCGTGTCACACACTTGATGTCCAGCATGAACCTCAGACCTATCTTGAGCTGATCATCTTCAAAAAAAACTTCATTAAGAAAAAAAAAAAGTGGAGGTTGGAGAGTGTTCTAAATCTCAAAGCCCATCAGTTGCTGTTGAGAGCAGAACTTGCAGCAGAGATGAGCTTTTCCATGCCTCCTAGGCCCCGGAGCTCGAGCATGATGCCCAGGCAGAGGCCTCTCATGGAGGAGACAGCAGCTTCCATGGAAGGGTGGGACGTGGTGCTGTCAGGACAGGGTCCTGCAGGAGGGCTCAGGTCCAGCTCCCACGTCAGGTATCGATGGGAGAAGGACCTCAAACTCAGAGGATCCACAGCACTGGCGGAGCCAGAAGGACTTGGCTAACCATGGGACACAGCCACGCTGCCTATGAGAAATGGCATGGCCTCTTCCATGGCCAGAGGGCGGGGGGCAGACAGTTCTGTTACTCAGCTGCAGAGGCCGCACAGCCAGGAGCTGGAAGCCACGTGGGGCCAGACAGGGACGCGTTCCGCATGTGAGGGTGGTGAGCCCCACCAGATGAGCACAGAGTGGACACCGAGCCACAGGGAGGACGCTGAGCTCGGTTCATGCAGCAGGCTGTAGGGTTTATCTACGCGGCCTCACTGGCTGGAAATACTTGCTTAGATAATAAGACAAGGATGAAATCATACATGGAAAATGAACAGAACTGCAACATGCCACACACACCGTGGTTTTAGGGGCCGCTCTCGCTGTTCCTGTGCTGTGTCCCTGGATGTGAGGCCCGTCCTGTTCATGGTGCAGTCTCAGAAAACACGAGGGATGCCACCATCCCCGTCTCCTAGGCCGACGTCCAGGAAGCTGCAGCTTAGATGTCAAGGAGGTGAACCTCAAAGCTGGACTCTGGGTTCTCACCAAAAACTGGCCCCCTCGCCTCCAACTCCGATTTGTGCTGGGTGCTGACCCCACACACGACAGGGTGTGCTTCGCGCCGGGACTGAACAGGGACAGGAGGGACGGTCAGTACTTGACAAGTACGAAGCATGGCTCTACGCCCCCAGGTGCTTCACAGAGGCAAGATGGCATTCACCTCCTGTTATGCATCTGGGGAGGGCAGAGCCGTGTTTCAGCCGTGCAAACGCCAGTGTAGGGAGGGAAAACGCATCTGGTAAAATCCAGTCCAGGGCCCCTTTCCTACCCTTCCCCTCAGTCCCCTGGAGGGTCCAAGTACCCACTCCAGGGGCCAGCCCACGTGTATGTGTATGTATATATATATGTGAGTGCATCTACACATTGTACACATATGCACACTTTGCACACAGACACACACGTATAACGGTGCTATTGGCTTTGAACATTGCTAGGGGCTGAATTTTGTTTCCCTGACAAATCGATATGCTGAACCCAATGCCCAGTGTGGCTGTGTTTGAAGTGAGGATGTAATGAAGGTAAACTGAGGTAATGAGAGGGGGACACTGATCTGAATGGATCAGGGTCTTTCAGGAAGAGACACCAGCCTGTCTCCCTGAGGACACAGTGAGCAGGTGGCCAGGAAGAGGCCCTCCCCAGGAGCCAGGTCTGCCCACGCCTTGATCAGCCTCCAGAACGGTGAGAAAATTAATTTATGTTGCTTAAGCCGCTTAGTCTATGGTGTTTTGTTGTGGGAGTTCCAGCAGATTAAGACAAAGTCATTTGGGTTGATTTTCAAATTTTACTTACATAAGAAAGTTGCTTCAGATCCATTCTTGACCTCCTTTAAAAGTGCAGTCCAGGGGGGATTGTAGATGATAATAATTACGATATCATTTGGTTTTATTCTGAGGAGCTCACAGTACTTTAAAAAAATAATTTAAAAATATTAGATAGGGAATAGCATTATTGCTTCTAATTTGCAGCCAACATCAGAAGACAAGCTTTTAAAATGAATATCCCAGCAGGAACGAATCTGCTAGTTACTGAGCCAAAGGTGCGAGTGAATTCTGAAAACCGAGTTGCAGTTGGCATGGACCGTTCCTCCCTATGCGTTTATGCTCACCTCATGCAACCTGGCATTCCTAAGATTCCTAAGATTATCACAAAGAGTATTATTAAACATCATCACAATTTTATGGAAAAACATTAGATGAGATCCACATGTGAAAGAAGGGCCATGAGAATCTGTTTCCAGATTTCACACTTGTTTATTCCCTTGTATGGTGGAGACACCACTGGAAAATCCAGGGAGGCCAGACAGACCATCCATGCGGCACCCTGGGTGGCCTCGGGTGGGGGCCTCTGTGGACGGTCAGGACTGGCATCTATGGCGGAGCCCAGAGCTGTGCCGCCCTGCACAGTACCCACCACCACTCTGAGCCCCTGAAATGCCATCTTGCATTTGGTCAAAATCATACTTAATATTGCCTGCTTCTTTGTACCATACACATTTAGATGTCAGTAATCCAAATTAAAAGTTACCCACAAGGCTCACATTCTCTGCTGGCAGCACTGGTCTAGACGGATGGCAGTAACAGCCTTTGCCCACCTTTGCTCCCTTGGGCCCCTTTGGGTCATTCAGCACGAGCCACTGAGACAGACGTGAATGCCGCAGCTCGACCCTGGCCCTGGGAAGAGGTTCTCCCCCCGGGTTCTCCCCCCGTTCCTGCCTCAGGCCTGTGTTATTGCCCATGGGAGTTCGCTGGGACATTCGAATTACCAGCACCTGTTCATGAGCTGCCACGGCCAGCGTTATATTGCCTCTCAAGACGATCTTTGCAAATAGAAGTCTTTAGTTTAAAGTTTTTATAAGGGATTGTCTTGCCCTTTTGACATTCTAGTTCCCCTCTGGCATGCATGCATGCTTGTCCTGGGGCCCTCGGCATCTACCATGGCCGAGGTGCCTGCTGAGCCGTCCCACACGCTCAGCGCCTGCCATGCTTCTGCAGGACATGTGGACGGGCAGGACTGTGGCCGAGGTACCTACTGAGCCGTCCCCCACGCTCAGCGACTGCCACTCTTCTGCAGGGTACGCTGCCTCTCAGCACTCTCCGGGGCCAGAGGAGCACACTCAGCTCCCTCCTGTGTGTCCCCATGAAACCGTATTTATACCCCAGTACAGAACGTGTCACACTGTGATCCAGGGCTTCCTGGTGTCTCCACTGAGGGACGGCGACAGTGCCAGGTGCGGGGCCATCATGTGGAAGGACGCGGCCTCTGTAGGCTGCAGGACGACAGACCAGGAAGCGGACGCATTTGGTGTATGGGGGGTTTAGATAACTTCAATTATATGACTTTTACTTGATCACTTATAAAGATGCTGAAATAAGATCACATCCTGAATCCTCCCTATCTCGCGTGGTGTCCGTTCATGCACGCCACATTTCTCCGTTCATGCATGCCACGTTTCTCCTCCCTGTCTCACGTGGTGTCTGTTGACGCCTGCCACGTTTCTCCTCCCTGTCTCACGTGGTGTCTGTTGACGCCTGCCACGTTTCTCCTCCCTGTCTCACGTGTCTGTTCACGCCTGCCACGTTTCTCCTCCCTGTCTCACGTGGTGTCTGTTGACGCCTGCCACGTTTCTCCTCCCTGTCTCACGTGGTGTCTGTTCACGCCTGCCACGTTTCTCCTCCCTGTCTCACGTGGTGTCTGTTCATGCCTGCCACGTTTCTCCTCCCTGTCTCACGTGGTGTCTGTTCATGCCTGCCACGTTTCTCCTCCCTGTCTCACGTGGTGTCTGTTCACGCCTGCCACGTTTCTCCTCCCTGTCTCACGTGGTGTCTGTTCACGCCTGCCACGTTTCTCCTCCGTCTCACATGGTGTCTGTTCACGCCTGCCACGTTTCTCCTCCCTGTCTCACGTGGTGTCTGTTCACGCCTGCCACGTTTCTCCTCCCTGTCTCACGTGGTGTCTGTTCACGCCTGCCACGTTTCTCCTCCCTGTCTCACGTGGTGTCTGTTCATGCCTGCCACGTTTCTCCTCCCTGTCTCACGTGGTGTCTGTTCATGCCTGCCACGTTTCTCCTCCCTGTCTCACGTGGTGTCTGTTCATGCCTGCCACGTTTCTCCTCCCTGTCTCGTGTAGTGTCTGTTCACGCATGCCACCTTTCTCCTCCCTGTCTCGCGTGGTGTCTGTTCGCGCATGCCACGTTTCTCACCACATGAAATACATGATTTAAAGCTCTCACTGAAGCTCTGGTTCTTAGAGAGATGGCCAACAACCTCTAGACTCTAGAACATTCTCATCCTAAACAGCAGGGGAGACATGTTTTTCTGACGTACGTTTACATGTGTTAAGATTTGTTTGTGGATACAAATGCATGCCTTTCACAGGTGACTGGGGATAACTCACTACCTGGAGGTCCATGTCATTCTCATCGCTGTGATTGCATTCTTGCCGCATTGCTGTAAAAACGTTTCCTCTCCCCAACTTCACGAAAACCACGCAGCAAAGAGGGAGAAGAGGAACAGCGCTTGCCGGGAACCTGCTCTGTGCTGGGAACCTGCTCTGTGCCAGGCACAATCTGAGGTATTTCCGGCTCCTTGAGTTCCTTCCTTAGCACAGGCCCTGAGGTCTCCAGTTCCCATTATCCGGGATGCTCAACTCCACCTTGGGATTGAATGACCTCCACCCCACCCCAGTGCCACACAGCCTACACAGACTCAGGATTCCAGCCCGGCCTTTCTGAGCCCCGCATGAAACATCCCCTCCGCAGCACTGTCCTGTGTGGTTCGGGGGCCGCTCCGGTGCGGCTGTGCACCCACCACACCATCTGCACATCAGTGGCACGTTCAGGGACTCACTTACCACGTTTCCCGCAAGCGAACCCAAAGAGCCTTTGACGCTTTAAGTGCCTCCTTTGTAAAGTGGGGAGGAAAGGGCTGTGTTCTCTGTTCCCAGGATTTGCCAAAATTCCACGTCCAGTAAGACTTTGCACAGATCATGAAAACAGCTTTTATGCTACCCCAGAAAAATATTTATTCATATAGAATCCCAAAAAGAATTTAATAAAACGCACACTCTGCAAGATAGGCAGCGACAAAGATCAGCACGAGCACCAAGGCTCTGCTTCCTGGAGACACACATACAATATGAGGGCTAAGAAATCTCCAATGATAACACCTCCCTTGGATCTGGATAATCATGACATATTTTGTTTTTGGAAGTTACAAGGCACATGCAGCCAGCGTGCCAGGGAGATTAAAGGAACGCTGAAAGTCTCTTTAAGGCACTCGGAATTTATTTATAAAGTTATAATTGAGGTTCTAGAAAAGAACCCAAGATGGAACAAGGGTCATATCTATTCAACAAGAGTGCTGAATTTATGTCCTTGATTTCTAACCTCTCGGTCATCAAGGGTCTCAGCCCACCTGCGCCACGAAAGGGAGTCAGAAACCCGGGGGCCGCATTTCATCCACCCCAACTCCACCCTGCAAAGCACCCTTCTGAAAATCAACACTCGGGAAAGGTTTACAGGCATCAGGCGAACAGCAGGTAAAGCCAAAATAAAAGGATTGTTGGCAGACACACTTCCGGGGATTTCATTAACGCGCTCGGTGACCTTCAAATCCGAGTTGCACTCCTCCGCATCCGGCTGTCTCCTGGCAAAACCAGGATAATAACTCTCACGTAGCCTGCAGGCATGTTGTGACGCTTCATTAATTAAGGCTCCTGAAATCGTTTCCAATTCCCAGGCAGGTGCCATGAGAAGGTGTGTAAATGATGGCTTCTGCTGTGAGCAAAACAGAACATCTCTTCCCACTTCCCTGTCACGAGGGGACGATGGCTGGGACACACCCCACAGCTCCCCTGCCCGGCGTCACCTGCCCTTGGGCCCACAGAGAGACTGGGGCCCGGAGTGGGTTTTCTTCTATTTGTTTTTAAAGGATCCAAATTGGCTTTTACGAAACACTTCAAAGCCCTTTGGGATTTATAGGCATAATCCTACCTTGACACATGTTCCCCTGCCTTTGTGGAGAGCTGTTTCCAGGAGCGGGGGCTGACCAGAGCCCCTTCCACTTCGGTGGGGCAGGATGGCTGGGGTGCTCCAGCAGATCACGGTGGACAGAGAGTGTGCTTCCCGCTGACGTGGCTGGGGGCCCACAGCCTTTCCTGGCTTCCCTCCCCTCCTGGCGGCCGGAAGAAGCTTCCCAGGGAGAACTCCAGAGCCACCAAGGAGGGCAGAGCCTGCAGCTGCCACGCTGGGACTCCGGGCCCACGGTCACCAGGAAGCTCGGTTTTTAAGGCTCTGTCATCTTCAATATGCAAATGTGCTGTGTGTATCTATCCCATGGAAAGAAAGAGACGGCATGGAGGATTCGGGGTTTTCAGGTTCCTGCTTTCAGTCTGGTTGGCACTCACTCTTGCCGCCATGTCTGTCTGCTGCAAGGGAGGCCAGAACACGCAGACACCCAAGGAGACGAGTTTGAGAACAGCCCACAGTCCCCACTGCAACATGAGCCCGTGGTAGTAGATTTCCTGTTTGCTGTTTGCCTTTTAAAATTATTTCCTTTCCTTCTGCTCAGCGATATCACCCTTCTATTAACAATGATTATATGGCTCCTTTTTTCCTCAAGTGAAGTTTAAATATCTTGTAAAATCTTAATTTATATCATATCCAATATACAAGTCATCAACTGCTACATAACAAAATTAGTAACTTAAAAAAAAAAGTTTTGTTTTTTTTTGTTTTGAGACAAGATCTTGCTCTGTCGCCCAGGCTGGAATGCAACAGCACAATCTCAGCTCACTGCAACCTGCACCTCCGAGGCTCAAGCAATCCTACTGTCTCAGCCTCCCAAAGTGCCAGGATTACACGTGTGCACCACCACACCCAGCCAAAATAAGCTTTTATAATCTAACTCTCTCACACATACAACATTATTTCAATGGGATGGCTTTATATTTTAAACATTTGGTAACAGATAATAAAAAGCCTATGTACTCTTAATTTTAAAATTCCAATTCGACATTGACCCAGTGATGCCACGACACAGGTGGGACGCCACACCATCCTCGCTGTAAAGAGCTCACAAAATCGCAGGAGAGAAATGCACCTCCATCACCAATCACACTTAGAACGTGACGGTGAGAATGTGTTTCAACACATGGTCTCAGTGACTCATCAGAAAAATGGGGAAAATAATGCCTCAAACAGGAGACACCAAAACAACCTCACCAGTCACTCGTGGACGACGACGGAGAGTGCCAATCACAATCTGGCTTCTCCGAGGTTCTAATGTGAACATGGCATTTTTTCCCTTAATAAGACAATGTTTACCAGCCCAAGTATAATGTGATCAAGACAATTAAATTCTTGTGAAAGGCCTGTAACCTGAATGACTGGCAAGGGGAGAGGTGGGAGGGGATGTGTGGGCCCTGTGGGACCCTGAGGGAAGACCAGCTCCTCCATACAGTTTCGGGAGGTGATGTGTCTGCCCTGAGGGACCACCTGCTCCTCCACATAGTTTTGTTGGAATTCCAGGAAGCGAGGGCGAGTCCATTCCCCTCTGCCCGGCAGGGAGCCCTGGTGGCAGCGAGCCACCTTCACGTGTGGGCTCCGAGACCCCGGGAAAGGCTGCAACCTTTCTTTCCAATACGGTGCAAGGTATCCGCAGCCTGATACTTGTTTTGCATGAAAATCAATCAGCTTTAGGACCTCAGCACATCTGTTTCTGAAGACAATAAACTATTTTTTAAATATATTGCTCAATAAGAATAACAGATAGAAAGAAATACTAACAATATCCAATAAAAAGAAAATGTTTAATAAGTGAAGAAGGAGACTCTGGGATTCACTTCGCCCCAGCTCCGAAATGTTAATTATCGTTTGTTTGTATTATAAAGAATGGGGAAGGGCTCAGGCTGGGCACTGTTCCTCTGACTTCTGAGAAATTCTAGAGACAGCAGGCATGATAATTTTTTTTTTCTGTTCAAATTGGAGGTTAATGGCTGAGGCTGTGACAAATAAATTTTAGCACAGAAGGAAATGAAGAAATACGTAGGTTATTTCACGAAAAATTCCAGGCCCAAAGGAAGATAATGGGAAAATCTCCTGTGCCATTAATCTCACTGAGATGAGCTGCACTGGAGCCCAGAAAAGGGAGGCACAGGGAAGGAGCCATGGCTCAGCTGTCCGGGAGCCCAGCCTGCTGCTGCCAGGGAAGGAGCCAT
Source organism: Homo sapiens (assembly GCF_000001405.40). NCBI lineage: Eukaryota > Metazoa > Chordata > Mammalia > Primates > Hominidae > Homo > Homo sapiens. The sequence continues at coordinate 1,293,387 of NC_000008.11, read as the reverse complement.
GGCTCAGCCGTCCGGGAGCCCAGAAAAGGGAGGCACAGGGAAGGAGCCATGGCTCAGCCGTCCGGGAGCCCAGCCTGCTGCTGCCTGGCTGGGGGCCATGCTCCACTCCTGAGTCCCCCTGCACTGCACCAGGAGAGGGAGAGGGCATGTGGGCCCATGTGTGTGTGTGAGAGGGAGACAGAGACAAAAAGACAAAGAGATGGAAAGAGGAAGACAGAGACAGAGAGAGAGGGGGAGACAGGGAGGGATTTTCAGACACACAAGGATTGAAAATGCAGACCCTGCTCATGAGTACCCCTTTCTCCCCCACTTGTGGGTCAGGTTGACTTACTCCAGCTGCTTTGGACTCAAAGGCCTGGATAAGCACCTGTCTTAGGCATGTGGAAAAAAGAGACACGAGGAACAGCCGTTGTGCTCTGGGGGAGACGGACACGCCCAGGGTCCTAATGCAGGGAGGACACGTGCTTAGGAGCACTCAGAGGGGACCCTGACCCACGCACGGGGTGGGCACTGTTGCTGGAGGAGGCAGCGTAGGCTTGGGATGTGTGGATGAGCAGGAGTGAAATGAAAGACCTTGGGAAGGCGTTCCGAGAAGAGGGGTGACATGAGTGGAAAGGGGAGGCTCGAGACAGCAACACAATGTGACCAGCTCCAAATAATTCCTGGGTCAGAAGAAAAGTAAAGCCCCATCCACGCGACCTTTCTCAGTCTACAAAGCGTCCGAGCGACGGAGGCCGTTACATTGGGTAACAGAATATGTGTTGTCTTTTTGCTCAACCTACTTTCAAAAATATTTCAGGGAGAATTTAAAATAAAATTATACCACATATATACAGAAGTTATTAACAAAGGTATAAAATGAACAGATCAAAATTTTTTAGAGAAAGGAAAGAGATGAGCTGTTTCTTCACCTGAGAAGTCAAGTTGATCACACACACTTCTGAGCTGCCCAAAGACAGCGCACTGTCCCATCCTCCAACTGGAGGCAGCTCTCCCTGACTGGCAGGATGAGCTGTTTCCAGGTGGCTGATGGGACTCTGACATGATCCACAGGATGTCAGACCACATGCTAGGTCCACCTCTCCTCCTGTCCTTCCACATTCCTTGGCCAGAAAGAGCCAGGGCAGAGGGAACCCAATACCTTTGTTGTTTTTGAGTACAGGTGACAGAGCTCACTTTCCAGCCAACAGAGGAGGGGGTGCATGAGCAAAGCATGCTTCCCCCCAAAGCCAGCGATTCTGGAGGGTGTCCAGGGTTTTTGCTGTTTTTAATAACACAGGCTTAGCTGACACACCACAATTCATCTGTCTTCAGAGTTGGAACATTCTACTGAATCTTCCCTATTGATGTCACATCTCTAAACATTTCAACCCCTAGCATTTGCTTTCCACATCTTTATTGAAAGCCTCTCATGTCCCTACATCTTTCAGGCCCCTGGATTGTGTGATTAAGAGTCTTTTGAGAGTGAACATTTTGTAATAGTCAAAAGTTAGTCAAGGGCAAGACTGGAGAGAAGGCTGGGTGATTAGACTAAGCCATATGGCCTGCTGAGCAGTACAAAGTGTGGCTGGAGGGCAGTGAGATGGATTTGCTCGTATGATGAAAACTGGCCCCCGGGGGCTCAATGTTGGGTGTGGTGTTGGGGTCCAAAGCACACTGGAACACCCAACTTTGAGCAGGATGAGCTCTGCTGGGACATCCACTTATAGAATCTTAGATTTTAAACTGGAAGATATTTGGAGATCCCTTAGCCTGATCCCGTAATTTTAAAGATAGGAGATATGCTAAGAGTAGGCAGGGGCTTCCCCAGAATCACCCCGGATTAGGAATGGCAGGGCTTCGAATATACCACAAAACCCTCTGTGTCATGGGCTTCTCCTCCACACGGGAAATATGGCACTGAAGGGAGCCATACGTCTGCCTTTCATTCTTGCCTCGCCATGCAAAATTTTCCCTTTGACCAGTAATTCACTCTCACATGTAGAAATTGTGACTTTAGAGAGTAATGCCCATGATAGAAAAATAGCTACTCCTGCTTGCTTCTGGTTTCCATTTTCACACTTTTCCCATCCCTTTATCTTGAGTCCATGAGAATCCTTACATGTTAGCAGAGTTCTCTTGAAGACAGCAGATGTTTGGTTTGTGATTTTCCATCCATTCTGTGAATCTGTAACTTTTAACTGGAGCAGTTACACCATTTATGTTCAACATTAATATTGAGACGTGAGGTCCATTTCCAATCATCGTGATGACTGTTACCTAGATATTAAGTTTTCTTCATGATGTTATTATTTTATAGGCCCTGTGACTGTTATGTTTTCAGGAGGTTCTATTCTGGTGCCTATAGACCTTTTGTTTCAAGCTTTAGAACTCCTTTTAGTATTACTTGTAGGGCTGGTCTACTAGAAAAAGTTCTGTGGCTGGATGGGGGAGGTGGTTGTACAATATTGTGAATGTCCTTAACACCAGTGAACGGTACACTAAAAATAGTTCAGTAGTAAATTTCATGTTATGTCTATTTTTCCACAATAGCAAAAAGTAATGCCATTTCTTTAAAACACCACCTTACACAGTATTGTTTATGTTGACAGCTCCAAGCTATCAGGCCTGAGCATAAGCTTTGTGCACGCAGCATTTTAGCATTTTAACTACATACTGTCTGGAATGTAAAATGTATACATAGTCTAAAAAATCTCCCAGAAAACACAGGAAAGTGGATGGGAGGAAATTAAAGGTCAGCCACCGTCCTGCCACGGAGGCCTCTGCCTTTCTGGTCTTTCTGGTGTCTCCGCTGTCTCCCCATGGGAGCACTTGTTTCTAAAGGTCTCTGCGGGTGACTTGTCTCTTTTATAACTACTAACCTTTGATCCCTTCATTATAAAGGGTTTAGAGCCTTATATGATTTTATCCTCTGATGAGAATTAAAAGCTGTTAAAGATCTGGTCAACAGTCTCGTGGAATGGCAGGAGTGCAGGTGTGCTGGTCAGACAGCCCGATGTTCAAACCCTGCCGTCACTATGTAGGCACCATTTGTAAAGCGGGACCATCATATGCAAACTGCAGGTGTGTTGTAAATGACAACTCGATGGAATTGGATGCACCGTGTGTAGCCACGTCAGGAGCGCGACGGACGTGATTCCTTTCCCGACTTTCTCAGCTTTGCTAACTCCCTGTCTTCATTTTGTTCGAGTCTAGCTGACTAGATCTGCTTACAGAGGCCTGTGATGACTCATGTCACACGTTATGTAATAGAGTCAGAGCCTCTTCTCTCCTCAGCACCTGCAGCCCAGGTAGGAATAAATTCCCAACACCAATCACGTCACTGAGATAACACAACAGGGACCCTGAACAGTGGTTAGTTTTCTTCTTGGTGCATAGAACCTTTTTCAGCAGCTACCCCTTCCTTTCTGCCTATATCTTATCCCCAGGACCTACCATTTGATCTGTCTTGAGTATCAATAGATGGTCAAGAATATACTGAACTGGATAAAACCACTTACAAATCATCTTAAATATCTTAGGAAAGATTCTCTAAATTCCCATCACTGCTGAAATCCTGTGTTCAGACATCATGAGCAGGTTCTCCTCCTCCTCATCTGTGGTCCGCAGCAGAGCAATTCCTGCATTCGCGGGGGAGGCCGGGCTCTCCTGGGGTTGCACAGTCTCACAACATTAGCCTCGGGGGGGTACTTCTGTGAGAACACTGCACAGTGGAGGCTTCACCATCCATCTCAAAGGCAGCAGGGACTATGTAGGAACGCTAGCCAGGCCAGCCCCCAGGGACAGATATTCCCAAGGCTGCACTGAAAATGACATGGCAAAGCTGCTGGCATCCACAAGGAACGAAAGGAGCAAGGTATGAGCTTTTACAGCTCTATCCCCGCACGTGAGTCTTACTGATACTGTCCAGTGTGCAGAGGGGCTTAAAAATAGAAGAAGGGAACCCCGCAAAATAGACAGGGCATGTGTGTAGCAACCACTCTGAACTAACAGTGGAATTGAGGTGGCAACCCTGTATCTCCACTGAAAAACCAGGACTTGTTAAATGTGTCTTCTACATGTAATAATTTTCATTTCCTCCAATTTGGTCAAATAAGTAGCTGTCTCTATGTATTAGCAATCCTATAGCAAACTTACTGATCCATGTACCTCATCCAATCTTTAAATGGTTTTTGATGAATCCTTCACTCCCAATACTGGTTACTAGGACATAAACACAGCTAAATGCAGACATTGGCTTTCTCCAGGCTAAAAACAGCCTGGGGTCTCAATTCAGGGGCCTTCATGGAGTACATCAGCATTGCCAGTTCCCAGACAGAAGCAATACCGGCTCTATCTGCCAATGTCAAAAGAAAACAGATTCAAAGGGATTTTTGTTTTCCTTAGAGGTTTTCTTAAATTCAGTAACTCTAATGCATAAATGACTTGCATTTTCTAAGTACTGAACTTCATGTTAAAAATCTTATACAATTTTCTACAAAACAAGCCGAGCAACTGAATTCATTTGAAGCCTATGGAGGAATGAACACTGTGTAATAGAACCTAACAGAACCATGTACACACACACACTGAACCGAAACTAGTTCCCCTCCTAACAACCACACACACACACACTGAACCGAAACTAGTTCCCCTCCTAACAACCACGCACACACACACTGAAACGAAACAAGTTCCCCTAACAGAACCACACACACACACACACACACTGAACCGAAACAAGTTCCCCTCCTAACTACGTACACACACACACTGAAATGAAACTAGTTCCCCTCCTACCACACACACACACACACACACTCAACTGAAACTAGTTCCCCTCCTAACCACACACACACACACACACACTCAACTGAAACTAGTTCCCCTAACAGAACCATGCACACACACACACACACACACACTGAACTGAAACAAGTTCCCCTCCTAACAGAACCACACACACACACACACACACTGAACCAAAACAAGTTCCCCTCCTAACAACCACACACACACACACGCACTGAACCAAAACAAGTTCCCCTCCTAACAACTACATACACACACACACTGAAACGAAACTAGTTCCCCTCCTAACAACCACACACACACACGCTGAACCAAAACAAGTTCCCCTCCTAACAACCACACACACACACACTGAAACGAAACTAGTTCCCCTCCTAACCACACACACACACACACACACACACACTCAACCGAAACTAGTTCCCCTCCTAACAGAAACACACACACACACACATACTCAACCGAAACTAGTTCCCCTCCTAACAGAACCACACACGCACACACACACACTGAACCGAAACTAGTTCCCCTCCTAACAGAACCATACACACACACACACACACTCAACCGAAACTAGTCCCCCTAACAGAACCACACAAACACACACACACTCAACCGAAACTAGTTCCCCTAACAACCACACACACACACACACACGCTGAACCAAAACTAGTTCCCCTCCTAACAAAACCACACACACACACACACACACATGCTGAACCAAAACAAGTTCCCCTCCTAACAACCACACACACACACACACGCTGAACCAAAACTAGTTCCCGTCCTAACAGAACCACACACACATACACACAGACACACACACACACACACGCTGAACCAAAACTAGTTCCCCTAACAGAACCACACACACATACACACACACACACACACACACACACTGAACCGAAACTAGTTCCCCTCCTAACAGAACCATACACACACACACACACACACACACACTCAACCGAAACTAGTTCCCCTAACAGAACCACATACACACACACGCTGAACCAAAACTAGTTCCCCTCCGAACAGAACCACACACACATACACACACACACACACTGAACCAAAACTAGTTCCCCTCCTAACAGAACCACACACACACACACACACACACACGCTGAACCGAAACTAGTTCCCCTCCTAACAACCACACACACACACACACGCTGAACCAAAACTAGTTCCCCTCCTAACAAAACCACATACACACACACACGCTGAACCAAAACTAGTTCCCCTCCTAACAGAACCACGCACACACACACACACACACGCTGAACCGAAACTAGTTCCCCTCCTAACAACCACACACACACACACACGCTGAACTAAAACTAGTTCCCCTCCTAACAAAACCACATACACACACACACACACACACACTGAACCAAAACTAGTTCCCCTCCTAACAGAACCACGCGCGCGCGCGCACACACACACACACACACACACACACGCTGAACCGAAACTAGTTCCCCTCTTAACCATGCACACACATACTGAACCGAAACCAGTTCCCCTAATAGAACCATGTACACACACAACACTGAGTTGAACAAATGAAGCAGCTGGTTCACGTTATAAAACTGACCTTCTCTTTTTAAAAATAATTTGCTAAGGTTTATAACTGCCTAAAATAACTTGCTGATGGCCAGTTCAAGCATAAGCCCTCATTGTATTTAACGTTCTCATTCTACTGAGAATTGGTTTTCTCCTCGAATGCACTTGTGCAAATCAAGTCACTTTCCCCATACGGCCTAACAACTCTAATCCTTCCACAGGAGTTGAGTTGAATCCAGAGACACTGGGGAAGTAGTTCAGTACAGCACAGAGGGTGCACTTTGAAGATAAGTGTGGATTAACACTCCAGTTGCTCTGCTTAATGCCTTGGAGATATGTTACTGTTCTCATAGGGACTGAGTGTGAGATGCTGTACAGCCCAGCACGGATACACAGTTCAGGTCAGACTAGATCATTACAGCAGCAGAGGAGGGTATGGGCATGGAGAGGGGAAAGCTCTCACTGTCAAGCACCTCCGCATCCCAGACACAGGCCTCGGTCCTCCATTTATGCAATGTCCTCATTTTACAAACAAGAAAACAGTCTACGGGGAAAGCTCTTCCACAGATGGTAACTGGTAGAGCTTGCTTTGAACCCACCTTCTTCCTTCATTCTCTTTGCATTTCGATTTCTATATACATTGTATTCATTGGTATATTAGTCGGCTGTCACACTGCTATAAAGAACTGCCCCAAACTGGGTGATTTATAAAGTAAAGAAGTTTAATTGACTCAAAGAGCTGCATGGCTGAGGAGGCCTCAGGAAACTTACAATCATGGCAGAAGGCACCTCTTCACAAGGGCGGCAGGAGAGAGAATGAGTGCCAAGCAAAGGGGGACGCCCCTTATAAAACCATCACATCTTGTGAGAACTCACTATCACTAGACCAGCATGGCAGAAACCACCCCATGATTCAATGATCTCCACCTGGTCCTGCCCTTGACACACAGCGATTACTACAACTCAAGGTGAGATTTCGGTGCAGTCACAGATCCAAACCATATCAGTTGGTGAATTATAAAAGAAAAATGGAAGTGAACAAGTCAAAAATAGAAAGGTTTTGGGTGTTTCTTTGAGACAGGGTCTCTGTTGCCCAGACTAGACGGCAGTGGTGCAATCACAGCTCAGTGCAGCCTCAACCTTCTGGGCTCAGGTAATCCTTGCAAGGATTGGTGGGGTTGCAGGTGTGTGCCACTACGCCCAGCTCATTTTTAAATTATTTGTAGAGAAGAAGTCTAGCTATGTTGCCCAGCCTGGTCTTGAACTCCTGGGCTTAAGCAATCCTCCTGTGTCAGCCTACTAAAGTATTGGGATTACAGGCATGAGCCAGAAAAATAGAAGTATTTAAGGTGTATTTATGGCCTATCACTTCATTAAAGCAACCTATAACAAGCTTTTTTTCCCCTCTGAAAAAGCAGTGATTATTGTATGAATCAGCAGAATTATTTCCACAGACAGGTGTGTCTTGTTCACGTGGGCAGTGGACTATTATTATTCCACAGCCCCAGATACCAGATACCTGCACAACAGAATCCAGACAGGCCTTCCATCATCTCCAGGACAGGCTCTACTCATAAGCATATTCTTCTCAAATATCTTCCAAAACTAATCTAAACGCACAGTCTTATTTTCATTTGTTAGTGTCTTTTTTGAAGTATGACTGAGCTTTTTGAGAAAAATAAATCAAAAGACATTATTAAAAAAATAAATGTATGCACTGTTTTATTTTTTAACAATGAATCATGGCAAACAATTCATATGGTAGATATTGAGATGTGTGACCTCTAGTTTAGTCATCTACTTATATTCTCAGTCCACGATGGGAGCCATTGGGAACGTGACCAACACAACAGAACACTCAGAAAAATACGATGCAAGAGCCAAGTTTCCTCATTCCAGCCACGTGGAATTCAATTACATAAAAAATATGGCAGAATTTATACTACAGATAACCTGTTAAATGGCATGGGCATGATAGTGCTAAATTATGGAAAAACACCAAAAAGCAAGGGAAATAAATCGGGATGCAGGTGGAGCCAAGAACCTGGCATTTGCTGGCTTTGAGCCCTAAGAATCTGGTGCAAAGATGGGCAGGCAAAAACAAAGTAAAGGAACACAGAAGGTCAAGAATGAGGAGAAAAGAAGCTCTGGCTCATGCCTGTAATCCCAGCACTTTGAGGTGGGAGGCCAGAAGTTCCAGACCAGCCTACGCAACACAGTGAGACCTCATCTCTCAATAAACACGCAAATTAGCTGGGCGTGGTGGCACCTGCCTGTGGTCCCAGCTACTCGGGAGGCTGAGGTGGGAGGGTCAGGCAGCTGAGGCTGCACTGAGCTGAGACGGTGCCACTTCATTCCAACCTGGGTGACAGAGCAAAATAATAATAACAATAATAATAAAGAATAAACAACGAATGAACAAGATAGGAAAAATGTGTTGTGATGGACAGAAGAGCAATAAAAAGAATTGAGAGAAACAGGCAACACTGAAAGCGGTGAGTTGACAGCTCGTGGTTTGCGTGGGGACTGTGGTCTTGTCATGCAGCAAATCCTCACATCTTTACGTTAGCGCTGGAGCCCAGGTGACGGTCCACACACCTGCACACTCTCACTGTCTCCTCTCCGTGCTGCACCTCAATTACTGATGGGATCATTTTAATGGGTTCCTCTGAAGCAATTCCACAGCCCCGGATACCAGATACCTGCACAGCAGAATCCAGACAGGCCTTCCATCATCTTCAGCACAGGCTCTACTCAAAAGCATATTAACAAAAAATCTCTCCTGGAAATGTAAGCCTGCAGTGGACTCCTTAAATGACCACTGGCAACCACAGAGCCCTTTGTTCTGGAAATTGCTGTACTTAGCTACTGCAGGAGACAGCCGCGCAGTCACAATGCTCTGAGGTGTCTCACTTTCCTGCTGCTCTAAGGACAGGGCAATAGTAATTTTGAAAGAACTTTTCCTATTATCAAGAAGGCCACATACTTGTCATAGAAAATTTGGACTCTATAAAAGAAGCAGGAAGATAATAGGCATCTAGAACTCCGTCGTGAATGACAATCACTTTGAACGTTACTTTAGCTACAGATGGACGCTCTAGCATTTTCCACGTTTTCAGAAATGTTATAAAACAACACATTGAAGGGCTATGTGTGATTGTATCCCACGAACGATGTAGTTTACTCTCATACTTTAAGTGTGGTAGTGCTTAAGTTGCTTTTATAAATAAAATAGCAGTAAATATGCTTTACTTGAAGCTTTTTCTGAATATTTACTTATTTTTATGGATTGTATCCCAGAATTAGAGTGACAAGACCAAAGGGCATGAACATTTTCAAAATGCTTGTTAGGTGACAAAAAGCATTTTCACAAAAGGAAAGCTGAATATTCAATGAAAATTCTATCAGCATCATCGCTGTTCCTTTCTGCATTTTAAGCAAAGACAAATAGAAAACTGGAAATTATAACGAAGCAAAGCCGAGTGCCAAGGCTGAAAGGAACTGTCTTCTGCAGCTGCTAAAGTGATTCATCTTTTCAGCAGAGCAAAGGATGATACATTTGTAGTTTATTTTAAAATAACTCATATTCAATAAATCAAAACAAACATATGATACCCAAAGACACGTGCCTTTTATGAATGTGGAAGGTCTGGGCGCCATTGAGGGGACGAAGAGGGACAGATCCAGGGCGCTGGGTTCAGATCACACCACGTCTGGATGGTTCACGTGCTGGGTTCAGGTCGCACCACGTCCGGATGGTTCAGGGCGCTGGGTTCAGATCACACCACGTCCGGATGGTTCAGGGCGCTGGGTTCAGGTCACACCACGTCTGGATGGTTCACGTGCTGGGTTCAGGTCACACCACGTCCAGATGGTTCACGTGCTGGGTTCAGGTCACACCATGTCCGGATGGTTCAGGGCGCTGGGTTCAGGTCACACCACGTCTGGATGCTTCACGTGCTGGGTTCAGGTCACACCATGTCCAGATGGTTCACGTGCTGGGCTCAGGTCACACCATGTCCGTATGGTTCAGGGGGCTGGATTCAGGTCACACCACGTCCAGATGGTTCAGGGCGCTGGGTTCAGGTCACACCATGTCTGGATGGTTCACGTGCTGGGTTCAGGTCACACCACGTCCGGATGGTTCAGGGCGCTGGGTTCAGGTCACACCACGTCCGGATGCTTCACGTGCTGGGTTCAGGTCACACCATGTCCAGATGGTTCACGTGCTGGGCTCAGGTCACACCATGTCCGTATGGTTCAGGGGGCTGGATTCAGGTCACACCACGTCCAGATGGTTCAGGGCGCTGGGTTCAGGTCACACCACGTCTGGATGGTTCATGCGCTGGGTTCAGGTCACACCACGTCTGGATGGTTCATGCGCTGGGTTCAGGTCACACCACGTCTGGATGGTTCACGTGCTGGGTTCAGGTCACACCATGTCCAGATGGTTCATGTGCTGGGTTCAGGTCACACCATGTCCGGATGGTTCAGGGTGCTGGGTTCAGGTCACACCACGTCTGGATGGTTCACGTGCTGGGTTCAGGTCACACCATGTCCAGATGGTTCATGTGCTGGGTTCAGGTCACACCATGTCCGGATGGTTCAGGGCGCTGGGTTCAGGTCACACCACGTCTGGATGCTTCAGGTGCTGGGTTCAGGTCACACCACGTCCAGATGGTTCAGGGCGCTGGGTTCAGGTCACACCACGTCCGGATGGTTCAGGGCGCTGGGTTCAGGTCACACCATGTCCGGATGGTTCAGGGCGCTGGGTTCAGGTCACACCATGTCCTGATGGTTCAGGGGGCTGGGTTCAGGTCACACCATGTCCGGATGGTTCACGTGCTGGGTTCAGGTCACACCACGTCTGGATGGTACATGCGCTGGGTTCAGGTCACACCATGTCCGGATGGTTCAGAGTGCTGGGTTCAGGTCACACCATGTCCGGATGGTTCATGTGCTGGGTTCAGGTCACACCACGTCCGGATGGTTCATGGTGCTGGGTTCAGGTCACACCATGTCTGGATGGTTCAGGGCGCGCTGGGTTCAGGTTACACCATGTCCAGATGGTTTGCGGCCCTGGTGCATGCTCATTCATCGGCAATAACTGACACCATCACATGACCCTCTGGCTGTGGTTTGAACGTCTCTTCCAGGGCAGATCAAAGCCCAGTGTGGTGGAGCCACGTCGCAAATCAAACGTTGCAGATCAAAGGCTGGTGGGGTGGGACCGCGTCCCTCCACGCCTCTGTTCCCATCTCATACAGCTGACTCCCCGGGGAAGGCTTTCAAGGAGCTAGGACATCTGCCTCTCCCTGGTCAGCTCCTCCTTAGGGAGTGTGGGGAGCTGAATTTCATGAAAAACACTGGTGCTGTACTCTTGATTGTGTATGGATTTTATTAATAACAGCTCCCCAATGAGAATGAGGACGGGCTCAAAACTGGTCAACCCTGGGTCTCCGCTCATGTCTTTAATGCTGGCTGAGCCCCACAGGAGACATCAGGGAGTCCAGGGCTGTCTCCGCCGGGGCTGATGTGTGTTCAGCCTGTGCCCAGGGGACAGAAGGGCTGGGGAGGCGCAGGAACTTGGAATATTTACTGAGCATTGAGCTGTAAGCCACTGGGGGCGCCTAAGGGACTAGGAATCAAATCAAGGTCATGATGACAGGGAAAGCCACCAAGAGGCTGCCTTCGCCGGGAGCGAGGGGCGGAGGCACCTCCACCATCCCCCGTTTCTCACAGAACACAATGTGGCACGTGGCTCAAAACCCACATCTACGACTTTGAAGGTATCTGTATTCTGAAGTTGTGAAATCAGCACTGCTGAGACATCTATAGGATACAGACTAAAACTCGTAATATCACGCACACACATTTTTAAAAATTAAGCAATTACGGTGGGTTAGGCACTATAAGAACTTGGCATACATAATCTCATTGAAACCTACAGCATTCTCTGAGCTGGGCACTATTCTTATCTCATTTTTACAGAGAAGGCTCAGGAAGACCATTGCTTGACCAAGGTCGTGGAGCTATCGTAAGGATTCCTCGTCCACATCCAGCTGGCTCCAAATCCACATTCCCCATATAGCTTCTGATACAAACGCAGTGGACTTGTTCCCAGAATACGCATGTAATAGGTGAATGTGATTTCAGGGATAGACCTGAAGATACCTAAGCCCTAGGATGGCCTATGTGTCCCATTTAAGAATCTCCCCATTACAGGTGACATCTGCAAACACGAAGCTTGCATGGCAACCTGACCCCCAACTGCCCTTCCAGCCTCTTATCCTTATACTCCTCTGCCCAGATGAAGGTGGCACCAAGCTCTCCTACCTCCCCTCCATGCCCATGGCCCATGCACCTGCTCACATGGGCCCTGGTGGCAGCGGGTCTTCCCATTCTTCATTGAACAAAATTCCCCTTACTCCTCAAGACACACATCAAGTGTCACTTCTCCCATGAAGTTCTTTAACTTTGAGCCACAAGAAATCCCTCCTCCTTTATAGACCCCCAAACTATTACCTTTTCCTAAATCCTCCTATTAAATACCTTCCTGTTTAAAAACGCTAGTGGCATGTATTTTTCTGATACAGGGAAAATCAGTAGATATTTATTAAATAGAGATAAATAAGTATTATGACGCAGGTAGGTTTTCAGAAAATTTTCCTCAGTTAAATATTCATGGAACTCTTTTAATCTCAAGGAAATAGATGGGAAGGGGTTACGAGTACAGCCCGGCTATAAACTAAGTGCAGAGATGGTTCAAAGCCTCAGTAGCAGGACTCATGAGATTTGATCAATCAAATTGGCTGATGAAGAAGAAACCCCAGAGGCATCCAAACCAGCTAATGAAAAACCATCAGGAATGAATGAAAGGAATTATGCGACCCCTGAAGCCACATCTGGGGATCAGTTAAGGTCCCAAGAGCATTCACATACCACAAAGCTCAAAACTTCCAGACCTTACGTGAGTGCATGTCAGCAAGTTACTGAATTCTAAGCTCCTCAAAGTCCAGAACTTTTGTTCATGTTACTTCTTCATCTTGGTACAGTAGACACAACATAGGCACCTCCTGGGCTCTGCGCCTCCTGGTTCTCAAGCCTGTGTGTGAACGTGTATGAACCCCTTCCTTGGCGTGTAGACTGGGCCTGACACTGCTACTCAACAGAGGGCGGTCAAGGTCATGGGTGTCCCTCCCGTGAGTGGGTGATGTGGTGATGAGACTCCAACCTGCCTGCCACTTGCTCTGGCTCTGTTGCTGGCTTTGAAGCAGCTGCCATGAATCCTACAGCCACAAGGAAATAAATCTTACCAGCTGGCTGGGCGAGCTTGGAAGCCAGCACCAACTCAGCCAAGCCTCACAAGCTGACACCTTCATGGCAGCCTTGCTGAAGACCCAGCTACGCCATTCCCAGACCCTGGACTCTCAGACACTGAGATGACACATGTGTGTTGTTTTCCACTGCTAAGCTTACGGTAGTCTATTATGCAGCCATAGAAATCTAATACATCTAGAATTGCAATTTCCCTCCGCAGCACCTTCTTGGTATATTAATTGGGATATGTATTTCCGCCTTGAAGCTTAGTTTTGAACACATCTAACTTTCATACTTCTTGGTAAAATCAATTAAGACAGACATCATATTTATGCCCACATATTTACATAAAGTGCCAAACAGAGCTTCATTCATGGCAGGCAATTATAAAATTTTATTGGATTGAAATTGAGGTGAAGAAGATTCTAGAACATAGAATCAAGAACTGACGAATCCTAATACCACAATAATCCAAGGACTTTAGCGCTGTTCTTACAAAGGGCTTTTGAGGTTAAGAACTTCCTAACTTAAAATTATCATAGATAAGACTGTCAAAGCACACTACTGACACCTCTATTTGCAATGCTGCCCAAGTCCCAATTAGAAAAATACTATTTTGTTCTTGTTTTGTAAAATTCTGCAGTTAAAGCACACCCCCTGGGGTGAGTATAGCTCATTTCTTCCCCATTACTATATGTTCTTTATATTTTCTATATGTTCTTTATCCTCACCTTAACTGAAAGAAATCATAAGTGACTTTACTCATGTACCATCATGGGTTCAACAATCTGAAGGACATTTCTGCATAAATATCCCCTAAACATTAAATTGTCCAAAAAGTCGTACACATAGTCTTCCTCTCCTCTGGAAAGACTAAGAAATGCTTATGTTTAACCAAATGGAACACTGAAATTATTTTTATGGCTTAAAGCCTTTCATTGTCAAAGGGATCTTCATTATGTAATTCATTTATCAAATGAAAGGCAGTTATAATTGCCTATGCCTAAAACATATAGATAAGAGGGTCACACCACTGATTAGGTAAGGTAGAGAAGAAGGCACCAGCTACACAGGGATCTCTTTTCTGCAATATGTCCTTGGCTTGACTAAAGAAATACATCATTTTTATTAAAATCTGAATTTTACTAAACCTGATTTTTAAAGATTCATCAAGTTCCTGACAGTACCAGTAAGTAAACAGAATGATATGCAGTTGTTTTTTTAAGTTAGCATAAGGATTTAATTGTATTGGAATTCATTTATCCTTCTTGATATTTATCCCTCAACCAACAACAGGTAAAGTAATTGAGTAATGACCAGGCTCACGACTGCGCCGATGACATGGGGAGCAGAGTCCCCAGAGAGCTGAGGCTCTTTCAAGTCAAGGACCATGCTGTCTAATTCTGTTCTTACAACTGGAAGAGATCTTAGAAAGAATA
This sequence comes from Homo sapiens, assembly GCF_000001405.40. Lineage (NCBI taxonomy): Eukaryota > Metazoa > Chordata > Mammalia > Primates > Hominidae > Homo > Homo sapiens. Next base: position 1,278,268 of record NC_000008.11, on the reverse strand, counting down.
TAGATCTTCTTTTCCACTTTTATAGATAAAATAATTGAGAGTCCAAGGGAGTGAGTGGCTTGTCCGACGCATACAGCTCTTTGGTGGAGGAGAAAGAGCTGGAACACAGCTCTGCTGACTTCCGTGAGCACGGATGCCACTCCCTCACCTGACCTGGCGTGAGGTATCATCTGAATAAATGAGAAAAGAAAGGCATGTCTCCTGAATGTTGAAATTGCAAGAGACTACTGAGAAGCTGTTACTGACAATGATGACTAAAAATAATAACTTGTTTTTTAAGATGTTTGATGAGCCCCATCCCTACCAACTCCCTACCAATACCCAATCTAGAATCATGTTAAATTACCAGAGATTCAAGATAACGTTTCCGCTGTCAGCATTGTCACGGACATGACACATCTGCCTAACTGTCCTTGTGCAGTCACTGCCCCAGCAAATAGTGGGGAGTTGGACCCCTTAGAGAAACGTGCGGAGAAAGGTGAGGTTTCAGAGCAAGCCGGCCCTGCCAAGGGTGGGGGTGCTCCCTGACGTGGGTATGCTGATTCCTGCCCCGACCTCGGTGCAGCTGCTGCCAGCCTGGAAGCCCACCCCACCACTCATTTCGGATAACACTTGGATACTCAGATACTGACCTGCCTGGCTGATACTTCGATACTCCGATGCTGACCTACCTGGCTGATACTGGGATACTCATCTGCTGGGCTAATACTTGGATACCAAGACAGCTCAAGAATCATCTGTTTCATAATCATTTTTTTTTCTAATTCTCCTGACTCCTGGTAAAATTGGCCACTCCCATTTGACCCCACACATCTATCACAGGTCAGATGTTTGTTTTATATGCTTCTTGCTCTATGTATTTCTCCGTGCTCTCTTAATTTCTGCATCCTTAGTGCTTAGTCTAGAGCCTACCAAAAACAGGCTGCCTAGATTAATTTGAAATAGCAACAACAAAAAAATACAGTTACCAAATAACTGGGGGGGCTACATAGGCACAGATATACGTCTGCCACTTCAGAATGGGGAAGAAGCACATGTTATAAGTCACTCCTGGGTTCCAAAAATTCATTAGTAAAATAGCCACACTTTGAATGAAACACTATATTTCTGAGATTTCTAGATTCTGCCCTAAGGAAATAATCATGAATGAGCATGCAGATAAAGCTATGGACATAATATTCCAGAAGGTACAACTTGTATCAGAAAAATGATTAGAAACAGCTTAAATTTCCATGAAAAGGGGACCAATTCAGTAAATCACAGTGGACCCACAAAATGGAATAATATGCAACCACTAAAAATGATATTTAGGAACATATGTGATGTTATATGATTCCATAAAACAAACACCTATTCCTTGCTCATGACATTCCTGAAAACTCTGCCACAACATGAAAACTTAATTTTATTAATTTTAGTGAGAAAATGATAACGTCTTCCCATCCAAGATACTGAAGTTCTTTTTGCCAGTATAAAATATCAATTAAACAATGAAAACAACTTTACGTTTTAAATAAGCACTACATTTAAAGAAAACCAAGACATTTGGCCAATAAAATGTGAACAAGAGTGTCTTGTTCTACTCATCCAAGCAGACTTTCTAGAGGAGTCTGGGGACGTGTGCTGGGAAGTCAAAGCACCGACACAAGACGCACCACCTTTGGGCTTCCTGGTCATCGTGTACTCAAACCGCACTTAATGTGAAAACTATAGCAAGAGAAACACCTTCAGGGTAAAGCAAAGGCCGAACATGTGAAGATACACATGCAAGCAAAGTGAAGATGCCGCCTCAGCAGCCCTCCCGTCCCCCCTCACCCTTCCCTCCCCGGCACCCACTCAGCAAAGCCGGGTGGGTTTCCCAACGTGCGGCCAAGATCCAAAACGGTTCCATCTGATAGTGCCCGACGCGAATCTACATTCCAAGTGAATTCATGTGTCAGTCCAAGACACTAATGTTGAAGTATCACTTTTCATAGTGTTTGGGTAAAAAAGCAGCTATCATGATTTTTTAGGTTGTTATGAAAGAAATATAACATTGAGAGCTAGGGTCGGGGGGGGAGTGTTGATTGGAGTTGAGAGAGAGCAACTCCTTGAGCAATGCCTGAGTCTCTCCGTGGCAGGATGACAGTGAGTTTATATACATTTATATATATTATATATATATTTATATATTATATACACATTTATTTATATATTATATATTTATTTTTATATATTATATATTTTTATACGTTATATATTTATTTATATATTCTATATCTATTTATATATTACATTTATTTATATATTATATTTATATATATTATATATTTATTTATATATTATATATATTTATATACTATATATATTTATTTATATATTATATATATTTATATATTATATATTTATTTATATATTATATATATTTATATATTATATATATTTATATATTATATATTTATTTTTATATATTATATATCTTATATATTTATTTATATATTATATATTTTTATATATAATATATATTTTTATATATTTATTTATATATATTACATATATTTTATATATATATATGTCCTATTAGCTCTGTCCCTCTAGAGAACCATGACTCATACAGGGACAAAGTTCCAGAAGCCCTAGAGTGAGAACTACTTGGACCCTTTTCCTATAAACTTCTTACAAATAGAGGTTTTGCATTATCTTTTTGTCTTTGTGAAGATCTGGGAATGAAAAGAAATTCAGTTTGCATGAAAATGATGCTGTTCTGAGTTCCACCTGCATCTGGGATTGACGCTGATGTCTGACTGGAGAATGAAGTCATCTCCGGATGGCCCCAGGACCAGTGTCCAAGGCCTTAATGGTAAATGTGATGTATGTGAGCACTCCTTCAGCATCTGGGGTGCAAATCTATTGTGTTTTTTTTTTTTTCCATTCCAAATTCCCTGCTCGAGCTAGAGAGTGTACCTGGTTCTATCTGCTCTGTGGGCATCTAGTAAGCTACGATGCCTCACTGAGCCCCCAGTTACTTAATTGTAGACTGAGGGATCTGGACCATGTGACCGTAAAGGAATGATTTTTCCCTCCCCTTAACATTGGGATCAGGTTTTATACATAATAACTCCAGAGTTGCTCTGTGTAACTCAGGGAGGCACTGGGACCATGACATTGAGCCAGTGCTCGAAATTAAATTGCAGGTCCTCAGGGATCCTCTCTGCCTGGGCTGGAGCCTTCACCAATGTGGGCTCTGTCTGTCTGTCTGTCTGCGGTAGAGCAAGCAATAAACAGGGAAGTGAATCAGACAGCTGGGACTGCGGACACAGCAGCAGGCAGTGAACACTCACTCATGGCTGCCGCAATTCCTAGCACTGGATTAGGAGAGGTCTACAAGGAATATTCATAAAGTAATTGCTACCGAAGGAATTAAAGCCAGAGAGCATTTTAAGTTGATGAGTTAAGAGAAAGAGGGTTTCTTGCCTCCTTTTGTTTGGAATTATATACCAAACATCCAGCCTGAATGTTTGGTATGTAATTCTTAGCTTTAGTTCAGCTTGACCACAATTACGGCAAAAAAAAAAAAAAAAAAAAAAAAAAAAAGATAAATGAAAACAACTATCTCAGAAAACAAATCCAAAGTCACTCATTTTATGGTTTATGTTCTAAAACAAATCCAAAGTCACTCATTTTATGGTTTATGTTCTAAAACAAATCCAAAGTCACTCATTTTATGGTTTATGTTCTAAAACAAATCCAAAGTCACTCATTTTACGGTTTATGTTCTAAAACAAATCCAAAGTCACTCATTTTATGGTTTATGTTCTAAAATAAATCCAAAGTCACTCATTTTATGGTTTATGTTCTAAAACAAATCCAAAGTCACTCATTTTATGGTTTATATTCTTATACATGTTGGCTTATTTTATGGTTTATTTTCTTATACGTGCTGGCTTATTTTCACGTTCACATGAGAGTCTGTGTGGGGGCACAAGTGTGGTTGTGTCATGCGTGCGTCATTCCAGTACACTTATGGTGGGTGGGGAAGAGTTCACAATTTTAAATAATTTTATTTGTTAAATAAGTTTAAGATTTATTTGAAATATAAATACATAATTTATTTTAAAATTAAAATATTAAGTTAAAAATTTAAGATATAATTTTAAAATTTTCTATAAATGTAAAAAAATCTGACTCTTGCAAATTCCGATATGCTGAACAGAGCCGTCACGCTGTTAGAATTCTAATGATTTTATCTCAAAGCTTTTATTTAAATTGACAAGACTTTCATATATGAAAAATGGTTACTGAATGACTCAGGTTTGGAACTGATTTCAAAATCAGAAAGAGCATTAGTGAGCACACACCTTATTGTCCAGAGTCAGAGCAGATTCCCGGCTATATATGAAGATATTAAAGTCCATAAATTTCATTTAAAGTCTCCCATTTGGAATTCTACACCAATGTCATTCTAGCCTTTTGCTCTTTGAACAGAATCCCACTTAGCTCCCTGGGAATTCTACAACAAGTTTATCTTAATTTAACATGCAGCAGATATCCTGATTCATTAGAAGCACCTTTGAGCAGAGGTACCACATGGGCTGGAGAATTTGGATTAAATTCAAATTCAGGCCAAATATGCCTGCAGTAAACTCCAAGGGCTTGTGCAGAGCCAGGGGCTACTGGGAAGGATGGAGCTGCCTCTGCACATGATAAAGCCGTCACGGCACGTCTGAAGCAGCAGAGCAGGACGTTCCTGCCGGCCATCCACACTTGAGCACGTGAACTGCCGCAGCTCGAGACTCCTGGTCATCCATCTTGAGCATAAAACTCGTCAAGTTAAGGTGGGGCATAAAGGCACATTGACCCCCTGGGTCTCCACTCCATAAGCCAGCTGTGTGACCTGGGGTGATTTAGGGATGTGAGCTGTGCCTCATGCTCCCAAGCAAATGCTCAGCTGGCAACAGGGACTCAAGTCCCCAGCAGGGCTCTCTCAGAGCAGCCCACGTGGCTCCCGGACTTCCTACTGCTCCCACCTCTTTCCACACCCAAGTACTGGATATTAGGGTGCATGTGTGTTTGTGGCTGGTGGGAGGGCCCCCCTGTAGACTAACCCGGCCAGGTCCACTCAGACAAACACCTTCCAGAGACAGCTCTGCATAGCTATCCACAGCTACTATTTACTCATTTTTATCATAAGAATGGGCCTGAGGTAAAAATTCAGGACCCGGACCAGGATCAACCCCAGTGGTCAAATGGACTTTGTTGGAGATATTCAAGGCAGAGGTGGACCCAGATGGCTTTGGAATGTCAGCACACTCCGAACATTCCTTCCCAGGTTCCATAACCCACGGCACAGAAGCTCCTCTTTTCACCTTTTACGTGGTCATGAATCTCCATGAAAATCTGATGAAAACTACACACCCTTCTGCCCCCAAAGCCTCTACAGATGTTTACAACAGTGACAGGGACTTGCAGGCCGGCAGCTCATGGACCTTCTTTGACAGCTCTAGAGAGCCGTCTGTTGCATGATGGGAAGAGTCACCCGTGGTCCGAGTCCTACAGACCCTGAAACCTTGACACCACACTCCTCAGGCCTGGCCTTCCCATAGGGTCCTGCACACCAGTTGTCAAACGAATCTCCCATGTCCAGCGCTTCACACTTGATTATTCCCTTCCACAGCTGAAATCATTTGCATTGCTTTGGCATGATCATAAAACAAAGTTTAAAATGTTACAGAATTTGTATGATATATAGATATATTTATATGGAACACAGATGTGAATATATATTCTATATAAAACGTTTATGTGTAATATATATGTTTTCTATATATAAAATGTTTAATATAGATACGTACATAACTTCTATATACAAAACTTCTAAATATATAAAACATCTATATATATAAAAACTTTCTTTTCCAGCTCAATCTCACTTTTTGGAAATTCCTTGGCCCCTACCACAATATGCTTGCACACTCTGGACCCGCTATGCATTGTCTACATTCACTCACATAAAATGAGTTGATGTTTCCATCTCTAACTGCAGAAATACCAACTCAAATTCAATTTGTCCTACATTTTACCTAAAATGAGGGTATCCTAATTGCTTTTAAAATGTGATTACATCAACTTTCTTATTTTTTATTTGAGAAAACGGAGAATAATGAAATCATTCTAGGCTAGGCATGGTTGCTCATGCCTGTAATTCCAGCATTTTGGGAGCCTGAGGCAGGCGGATCACCTGAGGTCAGGAGTTTGAGACCAACTTGGCCAACGTGTAGTGAAATCCCATCTCTACTAAAAAAAATCCAAAAACTAGCTGGGTGTGTTGGCACACACCTGTAGTCCCAGCTAGTTGGGAAGCTGAGGCAGGAGAATGACTTGAACCCGGTGGAGGTTGCAGTGAGCTGAGGTTGCACCACTGAACTCCAGCCTGGGTGATAGAACAAGAGTCTGTCTCTTAAAAAATAAATTCATAAATAAATAAAAATTAAAAAGAAATCATTCTAATTGGATCTCCAGAATTTATTCATCTTAAACAACAAGTTTGTAGCCTTCAACCAACATTGTCCCATTTCCCCTCCCCCTGAGCCCTGGCAGACACCACTCTACCCTGTTTCTATGAGTTCACCACTTGTGGGAACCATTTTTATAAAACAGTAGATCAATATTCATCATCATTAGAGTACAACCATTGCTGTATTTACAACTCTTTATTGCAACTACTGATTGAATTTTCAGATGTTTCTCGGATGTACAACTATCTCGTTCGTGCCTGTGTTTCCTCGGTACTCAGATAATGCCTGATAAATGGGCTTGGGGCAAGACACATGAAGTGAATAATCAACAAATGCACAAGGAGGTTCATAAAGTCAAGTCTCCAGAATAAAAGTAAAACAGAAGTCACTATGTCCCCAGTGTGTGCCATGCATTGTGCTTAAAGAGCATAATTTTCAGAATCGCATTGAAATGGGCGCACCCCCCCGGCTGAGGAGTCCAGATGCCATGAAGTCACACCGCTGGCTGGAGGTCTCTCAGTGCTGGGTGGAGAAAGCTGGATTTTTACCAAGGCCTGTTTGGCACTAATCTTGACTCCCAATTCATGTTATTTTCTCCTTTTCACATGTTTTCTTTTTTGTGGGTTTATGATTTAATTAATTATTTAATCATTTAATTTGGTAATGGTTAGTTTGCCAAAATTAACTATGACTTATTTCATGAAGACGTGGGGAAAGAATTTGAGAATTGCAATATTAGGAAATGGGTCATCCGTCATTACAATTCTGAAATTTAAAAAATTACTTCCCATCTACCTTTTTGCAACACGTCTAACAATAAGAAACAGTTTTACTAAGTAGCAGGTCAACGGTGTATACAGTCGTGGAAACCAAATTTACGAAGAACATCTAGAAAATAAAAATCAGACCCTGACAGCAGAGGTTTCACTCTGTAGACACACACACAGAGAGGTAGACACACACACACACAGAGACACACAGAGAGAGGTAGACACACACAGAGAGACACACAGAGAGAGGTAGACACACAGAGAGACACAAAGAGAGAGGGAGACACACACACACACACAGAGACACACACAGAGACATAAATAGAGAGACACACACAGAGACACACAATTTTAAGGCAAAGGAAATTTTACTGGGAGAACGTCAGGGTCAGAGAAGTTACGTTCTTAAGAAGCCCCCACTTCAAATTAATGGCAAAGAGGTTAAGACAGTGGTGCCTGCTTCCTGGCCTGACTCTGTCCGCTGGGCTTAGAGCCTGCATTTCTCCTGAGGAAAGTCAATCTTGGACGTAAGGCAAGAGTGGAAACAGAGGACACATATACTGAAAATGATTTTTAAAGCAAAACAAATGCTTCTGCATCCTATAAGTCAATGAGGCTGTGACGATCAAAAGTCACATTCATTCTCCCCATTGCCCACATCACAGGTTCTACTTTTCCTTCTATTTCTGGACATTTTTCAGAGCTGTTGCTCCAGGACATCTGCAGACGTTGCTCCTCTGTTGATCCAAGTCCCTTCTGTGTATACGGTTCACAGCTCTCATATTCTCAATCCCATGCTGTTGGCTGTACACAGCATCCTGCACACGGCTTCCCATCTTGGTGAGACAAGACCCACCTGGTTTTTAAAAATCAAAGCAACCCATGGCCAGCAGGAGAAAGTTTTGCATCATGGTCAGTCAACAGGACCCCAAGGGAAATGGGAAAAGACCACCCGCTACTGTATGTTGAGAAGGGCAAGGCCTGTGATGAAAATGCTCCCCGCCCAGGAAAATACCGGTTTCAAGATGCACAGTTTCTTCCACACACAGGATTCTGCATGTGCCTCTCCACGGTCCATGAAGAGGAGATGAAGATTTAGTTCAATTTATTTTAGAAAATGAGTCACTCAGCGAGTTTCCCTTTTTGGTTCCAGGGCTTCTGGCGCGCCCATTACACCACGGTGATTCTCTAGCTTTAAAAATACAATGTCAGTGTCTAAAAATCCTCGCCAGCCTTTTTTGCTTATTTCTAGGTTCACAGCTTGAGTTCTGGGTCATCTGATCACAAGATTGGCTGGGGGAGGGGGGTGCACAGTCATTCTATTCTGGGGTGTTTTCCTTCCAAGGTCATTTTACAAAGGTGGGTGCTGCAGACATTTCACTCCTTCGTAATGGGTAACATTATTGTTAGATGTACCAATCAGAGAGGAGAGCACAATTAGGGATTCACAGCCACAATAATACGGGGTTTCAGGGTTGAGGGGGTCTTACTTCTCCCAGTCACATAAACAGACAAAGAAGATCTAAAACTCAGCTCAAATGTGTAAACACAAGCCCTGGAGCAAGTGTTACAGGAAGGTGGATGGCTCTGACCTAGGCTCACCGCAACTGCTGTGTGAAGCCACAGAGCCACGCCGTGCCACACGGGGCGGTCTTTCCAGCAGGTCCCATCCTCCCCGTACCAGGAGCCTCTGCAGGCTGGGAGCTCCAGGCTGGAACACCCTCTGGCTCCTCCTCCCGGCACCCAGCATGGTGTCCTGGGACTCATTTACTGCTGTGAAATGCAGGCAGGAAAATCAAGAAAATCCAGGAGAAGGGCAGGGAAGGAAGCAGCAACGAACATGGCCCGGAGAAGAGGTGGCAGA